>NC_000012.12:124079521-124381145 GCF_000001405.40 Homo sapiens | reverse complement strand
TCCAGGGCTGGATCACACAGGGCCATATGGATAGGGGGAGGACTTGGGGATTGTATCCAGGTGTTGGAGAGTTTGAAGCAGGGGGTGGCATGCGCTGATTTGCAGAGCAGCTGTGCAGGTCCAGTAAATTAATACCAGAAACCGCTTGGCGCATAGTAGGTGCTTAATAAACGTCAGGCATAATGATTAATGCCATCACTAGCATCTCCTATTCTACACACACCTCCTGATCCCACAGTGCCGGACCATGTGTGTAAGGATTAACTGTAACTCCTGGGACTCTCTCTGAGACCCAGCTTTGTGGGGATTCAGGGTGTTGGCACCATCCCCGTCCACTGCCTCAGAGACCCCACGCCGCCCCCCGCAGAGACACCTTGCACTCCAGGATGCTGGGCGCCACCACCAGGCCGACAGGAGACCCCTGTTCCCTGCGAGACTCTGAGCATCTCCCATGTCCCAGCCACCGCCCGGGCAGCTCAGGGCACCCAGCCCTGAGTCTTTCCTGAGCCTCTGTCTGCCAAAAATAGATTCGGGAAGCAGGGGGAGCCCTCGGCCGCAGCCGCAGAACCCACATGCCACCACTTTCTCAGGCCGCCACAGGCTCGAACTCTCCTGGGAGAGGCTCAGGATTCGGGGCAGGGCTGGGACTGGGCCCAGGACGTGTGCGGGGTTGCAGAGCTGGGCATCCCTGTGGGCCCTGTGGGCACTGGCAGGGGCAGGGCTGTGGCCCTCTGGCCGACTGTTGGTGTCGGAAACTGTGACTAACGGACGAGCAGTCGTTTCCCTTTTCCTCCCTGCGTTCCAAGGGGCTGTGCTCAGAGGAACCCTGTTTGCTCAGGAAGAAGGCAGGACAGGAAGTGATCCCACTCCCTGCCTGTGGCTGGGGCTTGGAGCCCGAGACCCCCTCTCCTCCCCTCCATGAGGCCCAGCTCCAGCCTGGCCACGGTGAAGGGCTGGGGTGGGCGGGGCCCACCTGGCATTTGCCCGAGAGCAGGCTGTGTGGTCTGGACGTCAGCAGCTTTTTCTTGGAATCCGGGTGCACCAGCGCAGAGGGATGTGTGATTCCCCCTGGCTGCCGCAAGGAAGTACCACAGACCGGTGGCTTCAAACAACAGAGATGTATTCTCTTCCAATTCTGGAGGCTAGACGTCTGGAACCAAAGCGTCCACAGGGCTGTGCTCACATTCAAGGCTGCAGGGGAGCCTCTTCCGTCTTCCAGCGACTGCTGGCAGTTCGTGACATTCTTTGGCTTGTAGCTGCATCTCTCCACATGTGCCTCCACTGCCACAGGGCCTTCGTGTCCCTGAATCCGTGTTTCCCTTTTCTTCCAAGGCTGTCAGTCCTGTTGGATTTAGGGCCCACCCCACTCCAGTGTGGCATCATCTTAACTAATGACATATGCAGGATCCCGTTTCTAAATAAGGTCTGAGGTTCCGGGTTGATGTGAACTTTGAGGGACACCATTCAACCCAGTACAGGGCTCTTGGCTGAGAGCTGCGGGCACCTCCAGGTGTGGCGGAGGGCCCACCTCTTTCTCAGCAACCCCAGAGGGATCAGGCTGCCGCCCCCCCGTCACACCAGGCTGTGGTGGGCACCCCCCAGTGTCTTTCCAGTCCCCCTGGGAGTCCCCAGTCACTTCGAGATGCTGCCTCCACGATGCCCCTGCTCTCTGCTGTCTATGCGTTCAAGCCCACGAAGGCTGGCCTTTCACAGTTGCTCAGCAAGTCAGTCAACAAACGCTTTCTGAGCCTCTGCCTGGCTCAGCGTGGGGACAAAGAGACACCCACCCCAGTGAGCTACCAAGACGAGTGGTTTGATGATGGTGCCTAAGCTGGGGGAAGAAGAGTGGGCTCTGTGTGTGAGGAGCTGGGGTTCCCAGGAGCAGGGTGCGGTGCGGGGAAAGTGGAGGCCCGACGATGAGGGCTTCTTTCCATTCCTGGACACACCCGGCATGTTCCCCACACTGGGGCCTTTGCACCTGTGACTCCCCGCACCTGCCACTCTCGTCCAGAGCCTGGCCTGGCCCATTCCCTCCGCCGTCAAATCTTGGCTCAAATGTCACTTCCTTGCAGAAGCTCTTCCAGACTGTTCTGTCCAGAGGAGCCCCTGCCTTGTGCTCCTTGTCCCATCCTGTTTCACCCACGCGACCCTCTGATCCTCTGAGTGCTGCTTCTGTGTGAGGAGCACGTTGCCAGTCTCCCCAGCGGCAGGGCAGCCTCCAAGGGCAGGACCTTGTCTACCCCGTGCCTTGTGTCCCCACAGCCCTGGTATGCAGAGCTGGGCACACAGTAGGTGTTCTGTAAAGGTTCAGGGAATGAAACGCGAGCTTCCCAGGCTGGCCTGTTCCCCCAGGGACAGGTGAGACTTGCATAGCAAGGAAAAGCTTCCTGTGTTCATTCACTCCACGTGTGCCGATGAAGCTGACAGGGTGTCCCCAGGAGGCGTGGTCACTCGCTCTGACTAGGAGACTCCTGGGCAATGTCAGGCAGGTTCTCTCGTGCTCAGGAAGGATGTCAGGGTGGCTGAGGGGCCAGCCTGTACCCAGAGTGTATCTGGGGCTCAATGGAAGAATAAAGCCCCCGGTAAAAATAAACCCTGGCACGCTTGGCTGCCGAGGTGGGGTGTGAGGGGGACGGTCACCCTCATTGCTACATGGCCGGGATCACTGCCCTTTGCACCTGCGGCGAGGCCCCAGGCATGGGGAGTCCCCGAGCTGACAGCCCAGGCCCCAGTCCTGATCTGCTGCTTCCCTGTGCCCCAGGAGAAGGAGAGGAACGCGCGGAGGAAGAAGAAGAAAGCGCCGGCGGCGGCCAGCGAGGAGGCTGCATTCCCGCCCGTGGTGGAGGATGAGGAGATGGAGGCGTCGGGCGTGAGCGGAAATGAGGAGGAGATGGTGGAGGAGGCTGAAGGTGAGGGCTGGCGCGGCTTGGAGGTGGCTGGCAGCTGTGGGTCCGAGCTCTGAGGGAGGGCATAGCGGGAACTGATCCCGGCAGCCTCCTCTCCCCTGAGTCATCTGGGTCCTCCTTAGAAGGGGCCTCGACTCCCTGGAAGGTGCGGGCCTGACTTGCCAGAAACTCACCAGTAATGGGCACAAGGATGAAGGCCATAACAATACTGAGAATAATCAGCTTCTCTGGGAGCCCCAAGCCTCGCTCAGCTCTTCTGATGCCCATGAGTCCAGTCTTATGCTTGGGTGACCAGACGTCCAGGCCAGCCCTGTGGGTGCCTGCTGTCTTTCACCCCATCCGATGTCACAGTTTAGAAAAAAATTTACTTTGGAAAAGTTTTTTTTTGTTTTTTTTTTTTTCAGACGGAGTCTTGCTCTGTCGCCCAGGCTGGAGTGCAGTGACGTGATCACGGCCCAGTGTAACCTCTGCCTCTCGGGTTCAAGCAATTCTCCTGCCTCAGCCTCCTGAGTAGCTGGGATTAGAGGTGCCCGCCGCCACACCCGGCTAATTTTTGTATTTTTAGCAGAGATGGGGTTTCGCCATGTTGGTCAGGCTGGTCTCAAACTCCTGACCTCAGGTGATCTGCCCACCTTGGCCTCCCAAAGTGCTGGAATTACAGGTGTGAGTCACCACGTCAGGCCCGAAAATTGTTTTTTGACCAGAACTCTTTTACAAGGTAACCAGCATAAATAGAACCTATCTGTCAGTCGGTAAATATTGTACAAGTTATATAGTTATTTTCAGTGTCTCCTTTTATTCCCAAGTGTCCCTATTTGAGTGATAAATAATTCAGTCCCCTTCTTTGGTGTCCCCGTTTTCTCTATGGGGAAACCGAGGCTCAGGCACTTAAAGGCCTGGGCCCAGGCGCCCCAGGTACCACGGAGTGTGTTGTTTGCACCAGCTGTAGACTAGACAAATGCCCCACCAGGTGAGTGCTGCTGAAGAGAGGGCGTAAAGCCATCGTGTGCATGGTGCTGGTGGGTCCCCCCGAGTCCCCTCAAATGCAGGACTGTGACCACATGAGCTGTGTGTTGTCCAGGGCTCCGGATAACACACGGCTCAACTTTGTTATCAGTGTGTATAGACCCGGGAACTGAACACGGGCTGCCGACACCTGGCCCCGCACTCTCGGTCACGAGTGCATCCACCTTCGACCCCCACCCTGTGCCTCTTTTTCCCTGTCAAAGGGGAAGCTGGGGGTCTAGACTGCTCCCCCTGTGGCGTGACCGAAGGCCCCTGGAGGACCTCAGCCCTTCTCTGCTGAGTGTCCCTGACTCTCCTTTCTGACTCTCTGAAGGAGAAACAAGCAGCCCGGCGGAGCCCAAGTCCTTGGTGAATTCAACCCTCCTTCCTCCTGCCCCGTCTGGGGTCCTTCTTGTTGTTCCTGTTGTCCCTCCCTCTCTGCCTTTGAACGCCCTGGCTTCTCCCTGGCAGAAGGTGCAAGTCACCTCCTGGTTCCATAAGCCCAGCCTGCAGATAAATCCAGGCTCCTCCAGCCCGCAGGGTTTCACCAGCCCGAATCCCCGCTTCCCGCTGGAAATGGGCAACTGGGCCCTTGGGTGACTCATCTCAAGTTGGGGGCGGGTCAGGGACACTGAGTCTGGCCTCCCCACCAGCTTTGGGTCTCTCTGACCCAAGTTGACCAGAAGCCTGGCTAGTGTCTGATGGAAGGAAGGCCTGGGCCACGAGTCCCTTGGGTCGTCCCATTTTGGGTCCTGGGTCTGTAGCCAGGAGAAGACCCCGGGAGCAGAAACCCAGTCCCCTCTGTAAATATCCCTCCAGTGTCTGAATGGGCGGGATGCAGGCTTGGTGGGAGCATTTCAGGAAGCCAAGCCATGGCCACACATTAAAACCGGAGCAGACGCCACCCAGGACTGTGTGGCAACGACCCCCGCATCGCTTGCAGAGCTTACGTAGCCCCGTAGGGACGGGGAGGGGCATGCTCTGCTGGGTGGGGGAGGAGGGAGGGCTGAGGTGGCTGGAGCTGAGGCTTCTGTGACAGTGGTGGTCTTCCGTGGCTGCTCTGAGAGATCAGGGACGGCAGGTGAGAGGCCCTGATTAAGCCTCCTGGTGCCCAGGGTGTTAGCCCATCTTAAGGACGAGGAGCCCAGGGGAGAGGAGAACCCCTCCCATGGGGTGTCCCAGCACATAGCCGGTAGGCTCGGGGTCTGCCGGCCCAGCCAGCGCACGCTGCGTGACCTGTCTCTTGTGCTCAGGATGGGGAGGTGAGGCAGGTGCTGGGTTGGAGCCTGAGGTTGCCCTGCCTGAATCTCCCCGGAGACCCAGCCAGCCCCAGCGGCACTGCAGGCCCCTCCCCGGGGGCAGTGGAAAGCGTCTTGTTGCATCTGGGCTGGAAATACACCAGCGCGGGGCTGGGAGTGATACCCTGGCCCAGTGGTTTCTCCAGTAATAATAATAGTATCCTCATAGTGAATGAAGCCATGCTGTTCTCCGCATTTGACAGATGGGGAGACTGAGGCATAGCGGGGTTATCCAAGGCGCATTTGGTGACCGGGGTTCAAACCCAGGCAGCCCGGTACTGGGGACCTCCAGGCAGAAAGGAAAGGAGGCCATCTGGTGGTGTGTTTCTATTTTTTATTTTTGGTGGTTTTTTGGTCACTCTTGTTAAGCACCTACTGTGTGTCAGATGCTGCACAAAGCACTTCACCTGGATTCTAGGGCAGCGGTGGCAGAGTGTTCCCTGGGATTTGTTAGAAGTGCTGATTCTTGGGCCCCAGTCCACACGTACTGAATCAGAAACCTCGGGGCATAGTGCAGCCACCTGCACTGTCACAAGCCCTTGGAGTGCTTCTCATGCAGGCTCCTGCCCCAGACCCCCTTGATAACTGTGAGACCGAGAAGTTAACTGCCCATTTTGTAGATGAACAAACTGAGACCCAGAAGTTTCATCCCTGGTCCTGGGGCCCTCAGCGTTGGCCTCCCAACGTCCTGTACTCTGACTGTGGAAGGAAGGGAATGACATTGCTGAAGTCACCAGGCAGAGGAAGGCCAGGGGTTAAGGACACAGGAAGCTGGGCTCAGTGCTCTCCCCTCCACAGCGTGGCCTTGGGCAAGCTGATTAACCTGTCTGCCTCCATTTCCTCATCTGCACATGAGAGTTGGTGGTCCCAGTCTTAGAGGTCTTAAAGGAGTCGTGTGTGAAGAACTCGGCACGGAGCCTGGCCTGTATGCAGCCAGCGTTGCTGCTGTTGCTATTGTTTCTAAAAAGGGTGGCCTCTGCTCTGGGGCCTGAAGGGAGGTGAGAAGCAGGAGAGACTGGAGGGTTGGTGGGGGGGCAATGAAGGCTGAAGAGGCCCCAGCAGCCCCAAAAGCCTCTCCCTGCAACCTTGCCCATCCCTGAGGTCAACACCTCCCACTCCAGGCATCCTGGGAGCCTGGTTCCACCAGGAGGCTGATGACTTAGGGCAAGGACACCCAGAGTGGCTGAAGCTCACTTTTCACCCTGAACAACCCCATTATTGGCTGGCCTTGAACAGGCCATTGGACCAGCCTGCTCAGGGCTATTGCAGGTCACCTGTGGCCGCTGGCCAGAGCCCAGAGGGAGAGGGCTCATCGGTCCATGGAGAAGGGCAGTCGGGGCAGGAGAGCGAGCAGCAGCGAGGCCTCACTGCTGTGCACTGGGCTTCAGGCCCCTCTTGGCCACGTTGCCTCCTCCCTCCCCTCCCACTACTTGGTGCTGCCTCACTTCTAACTCTTCTCTGACTTCCTTCCAGCCTTACATGCCTCTGGGAATGAGGTGCCCAGAGGGGAATGCAGTGGCCCAGGTACGAATGTGGCCGGCTGGCCTGGGGGGTAGGGCCGGGCCGGGGCGGGCATCCCAAGGTCCCCGGTCCTCCACAAGGAACCCCGCTTCTGAGCACATGCCTCTTTCTGTGAGCGCCACCGTTTGTGCTCCGCGGCCTCTGGGCTTCCTTCCCAGCACAGTGGCTGTTCCCCATGCTGGTCCCGGGCTCACTCCAGCAGACCAGTTTCCCGTCTCCACTGCTTTGCTGATTTTCACTGGTACGCTTGGGTCTCCGACCGGGTTTGATTTCCCTGATAGCAAATGCAGGGGTTTTCAAGTATCCCCATTTTACAGAAAATGGGAGACATTGAGACTCAAAGAAGAGCCGGGTGTGGGTTTGGGGGCTAGAGAGCCAGGAATGCGGCTGGGCTCTCCTTGCCATCCTTGGGTGCGTGCTTTCATCCTGCCACTCCGCCAGCACAGATCGCGCTCCTGCTGTGTAAAACCCATGCTGAGGCCGTTGGTGTGGGCTGTGCCCGGGGCCCCTGCACACGCACTGGCCTC
Source organism: Homo sapiens (assembly GCF_000001405.40). Lineage (NCBI taxonomy): Eukaryota > Metazoa > Chordata > Mammalia > Primates > Hominidae > Homo > Homo sapiens. The sequence continues at coordinate 124,373,888 of NC_000012.12, read as the reverse complement.
GTTGTCCACCGTGCCCGGGGCCCCTGCGCACGCACTGGCCTCATGATTGTCCACCGTGCCCAGGGCCCCTGCACACGCACTGGCCTCATGATTGTCCACCGTGCCCAGGGCCCCTGCACACGCACTGGCCTCATGATTGTCCACTGTGCCCGGGGCCCCTGCGCACGCACTGGCCTCATGATTGTCCACTGTGCCCGGGGCCCCTGCGCACGCACTGGCCTCATGATTGTCCACTGTGCCCGGGGCCCCTGCGCACGCACTGGCCTCACTGCCCACTGTGCCCGGGGCCCCTGCGCACGCACTGGCCTCACTGCCCACTGTGCCCGGGGCCCCTGCGCACGCACTGGCCTCACTGTCCACTGTGCCCGGGGCCCCTGCGCACGCACTGGCCTCACTGTCCACTGTGCCCGGGGCCCCTGCGCACGCACTGGCCTCACTGCCCACTGTGCCCGGGGCCCCTGCGCACGCACTGGCCTCGTGATTGTCCACTGTGCCCGGGGCCCCTGCACACGCACTGGCCTCATGATTGTCCACTGTGCCCGGGGCCCCTGCACACGCACTGGCCTCATGATTGTCCACTGTGCCCGGGCCCCTGCACACGCACTGGCCTCATGATTGTCCACTGTGCCCGGGTCCCCTGCACACGCACTGGCCTCATTGTCCACTGTGCCCGGGTCCCCTGTACTCACACTGAGCGCATTCTACACTGTCATGTGACGATGATGGTGGCGATGGTGGTGCAGCAGCAGGCAGTCACCAGGCAGTTGCCCTTGCCCTCACAATTGCCAGCTTCTCCGCCCTGTGAGATGGGAACTATTGTTCTCCCGTTCTGCAGATGGGAAAACTGAGGCCCAAGAGGTAACCTGAGTTTCCCGTGGCACGCAGCCAGTGCGGGGCAGAGCCGGGGTTAGAGCTCAGATGAGAACATGGAGACCCCCAGGACGAAGGCCTTTGCCCACGGCCACCCTCAGGCTGGCTCCATCTGTCGGGGGTGCTGACCACCAGGAGGTCCTGGGGTTGGGAATTAACCAGGTTATGCCAGCAGGGTCAGTCTGGGAGAAAGGCGGCCAGGCGAGGGCAGCAGCTGTGGGTAGGGGCCTGGTCAGGGGCTTTGTCTCAGGGGTGGGGCTCTAGGCAGCAGCCCAGGTGTGTAGGAGCCTCGGGGCTGTTTTGGCATCAGGCGACAGAGCGGCCTCATCCGGAGGGTCAGGGCCATGCATCTCTTCTGGAGGCCCCGCCAGACCCTGCTCATCCCCTCTTCCTTCTCGCCCTGCACAGCCACTGTCAACAACAGCTCAGACACCGAGAGCATCCCCTCTCCTCACACTGAGGCCGCCAAGGACACAGGGCAGAATGGGCCCAAGCCCCCAGCCACCCTGGGCGCCGACGGGCCACCCCCAGGGCCACCCACCCCACCACCGGAGGACATCCCGGCCCCCACTGAGCCCACCCCGGCCTCTGAAGCCACCGGAGCCCCTACGCCCCCACCAGCACCCCCATCGCCCTCTGCACCTCCTCCTGTGGTCCCCAAGGAGGAGAAGGAGGAGGAGACCGCAGCAGCGCCCCCAGTGGAGGAGGGGGAGGAGCAGAAGCCCCCCGCGGCTGAGGAGCTGGCAGTGGACACAGGGAAGGCCGAGGAGCCCGTCAAGAGCGAGTGCACGGAGGAAGCCGAGGAGGGGCCGGCCAAGGGCAAGGACGCGGAGGCCGCTGAGGCCACGGCCGAGGGGGCGCTCAAGGCAGAGAAGAAGGAGGGCGGGAGCGGCAGGGCCACCACAGCCAAGAGCTCGGGCGCCCCCCAGGACAGCGACTCCAGTGCTACCTGCAGTGCAGACGAGGTGGATGAGGCCGAGGGCGGCGACAAGAACCGGTGAGTGGGCGCCAGGCAGCCCTAACCTTGGCTTTTGTCTGCAGACACTGAGCAGCGACTACCTACTTAGACAGCCGCACCCAGTCTGGCTCTGCCTGCTTTGGGGGAGCCCGAGGTGTGGTTAGGGAGGCAGACTTGGAGTAGAGTCCAGGAATGAGAGATGCAGGCCAGGAAGGGGCGGAGGTGTGGCCGGGAGGACCTCCCCAGGAGGTGACATCCAAGCTGAGACCCGGACAGAGGAGGCAGCCCTGGGCAGCGCTAGGGAGAGAGTGTGCCAGGCAGCCTGCTCGCTTCCTAGGGCCGCCCTCACAAGGTAGTTCGAGCCAGGTGGCTTTTAACAAATACAGTCCTGGAGGCCAGGAGCCTGGGGGCACCATGCAGGCCGAGACGCAGCCTCCGAGCCTCTGGGCAGATCCATCCCGCCTCTTCCAGCTCCTGGCCGCTGCTGGCGGTCGTGATTGCTGGCATGCCACTCCGTCTTTGGCTCTGCTGTCACATGACCTTCGCCCTGTGCATCTCTGTGTCCACACTTTCTTCTTCTGAGGACACCAGGCATTGGATGGGCAGCTGTCCTAATCTAGTGCAGCTTCATCTTAACTTGATTATATCAGCAAACAGTCTATTTCCAAATAAGGTCACATTCACAGAGACCCTGGGTTAGGACTTGAATGTACCTTCTCTGGGGGGACACAGTTCTACCCTCAGCGTGGTGGGAACAGCAAGTGCGAAGGCCCGAGGTGGGAATGAGCTTGGTGGATTCAGGTGCCAAAGGGTGGCTCAGGGAGGGGGCAGCCTGGCAGGACGGGGGGCAGCTCTCACGGGGGTGGGGGCACTGAGTCACGCCCTGGCAGGTGGGGGCTGCATTTTGTTCTCAGGGCAGTGAGAAGGCCTTTACGAGCCTCTCCCAAGAGAGCCAGATGTGATTTACCCATGAAACCATGTGGGGGATTTGCTGGGAGTGAGAGGCACAGTCAGGAGGCAGCTGCAAGTGCCCTGGGGCTGGTGATGGAGATGCGAGCGTGGTGGCCGTGGGGTTGGGGAAAAGCCACAGGTTCAACATGTTTTTGGTGGCTCATCTCCCATCAGCCAAGGGTCCAGGGCTCAGGATCACAGGTGATCACCTTGGATCACAGGTGCAGAGGTTCCCCTTGCAAATTCCTCTCCAGCTGGGGTGGCCTGGAGGACCCCAGTGTCGTCCTGTTTGGGTGTTGATGTCTCTGAGGTGTGTTCTTTCCTTTCTGGCCTCTGTCTTTGCTCCTGGCCTGGGTGACCCCACATCCCTGAGAATGCCACCTTTTACCCATTTTCAGCACAGATGCTTTGGGCCTCAAGGCCTCCAGCCCAGAACCAAAGATGGCTACCCAAGTTAGGGCCAATCTCGGTTGGCAGAGGGCAGACCCGCGGAGACTGCGTCCTGCTCACATCTGGATGGCTGGAGGAATTGTTTTCTGGTGGGGCAGGCAGGCCATTTTATTTCAACTACAGTGTGGTCTGTTTTCTCCCCTCCCAAGTCCCTTGGAATGGTCCTGGGCAGAGCAAGCGAGGGAGGAAAATCAGACCCGCAGGGTCATGCGGGGCCCTTGTCTCTGCCCTGGGGTTCACCCTGGGCCATGTTAAAGGGGGAAGTCCTAGGACATTCCCTAGGAACTGAGGTTCACCCGGATCTCTATAGGTTCCACAAAACAAAATCTCAGGGTCCCCAGGAACCACTGCCAACAGGAACCGCGCCCATGCGTGTGAGAAGTGGACGGCCTGACCCTGACCCTGTGATGAGCAAAGGCCTGGCCTGCGGGTTTCTGAGGGCACCAAATCCCTGAGCTTCTTGCCCGACAGTCCCAGCTTGGAAAACAGTGTTCATGGTGTGGCTGGGTCTGCCCTGGAGGCAGGCAGCCAGGGCCATTGTGCCTGGATAGCGGGGTCAGGGCAGACGGCTCCCCGCCCCGCTCCTGCTGGCTGTGGGGACAGAGTCATAGAAACACATGTTTCTGCCTTCGCCGGGGGACCGCTGAGGTCATGGGGCAGCCCCATTGATAAGCTGCCTCCCAGAGTCTGTATTTTGGGTCCATGTGGCTGGCCCCGGACTGGGGAGCCGGGGGATCAGCTTGCATCCTGTCCGTCCCCAGAACACTCAGGCTAGGCCTGAGGCCCCGCAGGGCACTTGCAGCCTCCCGTCCTCTCCCCTGCAGCCCCGCCCAGGGCCGTGTCCTCCCTCCCCGAGCTGGGCCTGGCGTACGTCCACCCCTTGCCCAGTGTCCAGCACACAGCCCCCGGGTGCAGGAGTCCTCGGCTGGGAGTCAGGACACCTGGTTTGTCCCGCCCTGTGCGACTAGGCCCAGGCCCCCGCCCTTGGGGCCTGCTTTGCCCTCTCAGTGAACGAGGCTGGACTCTGGCCAGCCTGCTGACCTCGTCCTGGCCGGCAGCCCGCCACCCCTCCCTCTGCCGGCCACGACTGCGCAGGGCCGGGCGGACGCTGGAGGACGCGGACGAGATGCGTCAGAGTAGGCCCTGGCAGCCAGGGCCTCCCGGGAAGGGCTGGTGGGACGGGCGGGCCCCCCAGGCGACCCCTGCTCCTGGCTGCCCGCCCAGTATCATCCCTCCTGCCTGGCAGCCCCAGTGGGGGAGCTCTGTGTTCCTGGATGGACGCAAGATGACTCTCATCTGGCCCCCCGCCCCGGTGACTTTGGGAGAGAGAAAATCACATTCTCCTTCGGCCCGCTGGCACTTTCTTCGAGGTGGCTCTGCCTGGGTGTTTTCTTGGCAGACGACCAGAGATAGTGGCTTCAATTGCAAAACCCCGAGCCTGCCTGCCTTCCCCTCTCTTACTCTTCAGAGAAGGTGCCTGGGTGCTTTTTTGGCAGGGCCTGGCCTTGGGAGTCCCCTCCCCCAAGCCTCAGTTTTCTCATCTGTAAGGTGGGCGTGGATGGCTTATTGCAAGAATAACTCAGTTAATGACGGGCCACAGTGGGCGCTCAGAGATTAGCTGCCCTCCTTTGGATCTGCTTTGGGACACCCCCTAGAGGTCACCCCAAGAGGGGGCTGGAGTGCAGCTCCTTCAGCTGTCCCTCTGGCATTTTGGAAGATCATAACAGCAATTTCACCTTTGTTACTTTATTCTGCAAGTGACTGATGGCACCAGCATGCGCCAGGCGCCGGGGGCGCTGGAAACTGCACAGACAAGGCCCTGACTCCAGGCACTTACATTCTAGTGAGGGCATGGAGAAGGAAACCATTGTTTACGGGATGAGTGGGTGATGGGCAGATGGGGCATGGGGAGCAGGGGAGAGTGGGCTGGTCAGGCAGGGAGGGCCTCTGGGGAGGTGACATTGGAGGGCAATGAGAGCCTTAGTGTGAGGGAAAGCCAGACCCCCTGGGAACCACCAGTGCAAAGGCCCTGTGGCCGCATGAGCGTATGTCCAGTGGACAGCAGAGAGGCCTATAGCAGGGTGTAGAGTGGAGTGAGCAGCCCAGGGCAGAGAGGGCGGAGAGGTCAGAGAGGTGGGCAGGCCCCACGGGTGGAAGTGACGGGTCAGGGTTTTATCTTGGGGCCTTGGAGAGGCAAGGGATGCCTGTTCACAAACCAGCCCTCCCTCTCCCTCCTAGCCCTAGGATGGTGGCAAGGATTGTCCCAGCTTGATGACCATGGGGAAACTGAGGCAAGGGCTGGGTGGAGAGGGGATGTACTGTTGCAGGCCCAGCATGTTCCGATGAATGTCCCCAGGCCCTTATTCCCCCTCTCGTGCCCTGCCCCCCAACCGGCCTTCATGAGTGGGAAGGAAAATGACAGTGAGGAGAAGGTGGCCCGACCCACTCGGCCCCACGTGCTGGTCACCAGCATCCCCACGCCCACCCACGGACAGCCCTTGAAGCTTTCGTCTCCACTCTCCAGATTGAGAAACCGAGGCACAGTTGGCTAAGTCACATGGTCAGAGAGGGGATCCGAGCCTTTGCTCGCAACTGCAGGGCTGGGTAGGCAGGGTGGGGCCCCTCCCAGACACATACTCTGTGCCAGGCCCTGAGAGTCCCCGCCCCACCCAGGCCGCCAGAAAGGAAAATAGAAGTGGCTGCCTTCCAAGAAAACAAAGGAGAGAGGCCGGTCGCGGTGGCTCATGCCTGTAATCCCAGCACTTTGGGAAGCCAAGGTGGGTGGATCATTTGAGGTCAAGAGTTTGAGACCAGCCTGACCAACATAGTGAAAGCCTGTCTCCGCTAAAATACCAAAAAATTAGCCAGGTATGGTGGCGTGTGCCTGCAATCCCAGCTACTAGGGAGACTGAGGCAGGAGGATCACTTGAGCCCAGGAAGCAGAGCTTGCAGTGAGCCAAGATTGTGCCACTGCACTCCAGCCTGGGCAACAGAGCAAGACTCTGTCTCCAAAAAAATAAATAAATAAATAAAATAAAACAAAGAAGGGAGAGTGGAGGGTGGGGAGAGCCAGCCAGGAGGGCTTCTGGAGGTGGCGCTCCTCCAGCATGGCTACGGGACAAGGGGCGGTCAGATGGGCCCTGAGCTCTGAGCGTTTTCCACCTTCCTCCTCCACTATTGGTGGCCGCTCCCTCTGGGGGCTTAGGACTCTCGTTCCCCTCGAGAACTTGAACCCAGCCCTTGTGCTGGCTGCTGCCTTCTTTACCCATGAGAGAGCTCTGGCTGGGATCAGAAGACCTCTTGTAAACTATAAAGTGGTACCTCCATGACCACAGTCCCCACTTGCTCTGGGGGCTCAAGAAGGGTTTGGGCCTCTGTGTGTGCCCCCCAGAGGGTACCTGCTGAGAGCTTCTGGGCAGCAGCCCCTGCCCCCGCTCACCCCCTGCCAATCTGACTGCCCACACCCTACTAGGTGAGGGGCCACAGGGAAACCAAGGCACAGGGAGCACTCAGGCCCCACATAGAAAACGCGAGCTCTCGGGCAGACTGCATGGGACAGTGGCACCTCATGTTTTGTGTGTGTTATAAAGTCATATTTTTATCTCTATAGAATTATCTTTACACATATACAAACGTTTGCATTTCAACCTTAAAATTTATATTTTATTTTTCTATTTGTACACACATATAAAAATATTATTTTTACTGTTCATAGAGAAAATACAGCTGATACGTCGAACCCTTTATGGCTAGCATATAGTATGGTCCTCATTTCATTTTGTAACCGTTATTAAGATATCATTCATATACCATACATTTCACCATTGAAAGCGTATCATTTAGGCTAGGCACAGTGGCACACACCTGCAATCCTAGCTCTTTGAGTGGCTAAAGCAGGAGGATAGCTTGAGCCCAGGAGTTCAAGACCAGCTTGGGCAACATAGAGAAACCTTGGCTCTACCACAAAAAAGAAAAAAATGCAAAAATCAGTCAGGTACGGTGATGTGTGCCTTTAGCTTCAGCAATTCCGGAGGCTGAGGTGGGAGGATTGCGTGAGCCCAGGGGGTCAAGGCTGCAGTGAGATTACAGCACTGCACTCCAGCCTGAGTGACATAGCAAGACCCTGTCTCAAAAAAAACGTGTATCATTCAGTTCTTCTTAGTATATTCAGTGTTATACTAAGAAAGAAACCCTATGCCCATCACTAGTCACCCCTATCCTCCCTCCTCCCAGCCCTGGCACCCACTCATCTCCTTTCTGTCCCCGATGGATTGGCCCGTTCTGGACTTTTCACAGAAACGGAATCTACACTAGAGGCCTTCTGCGACTAGCTTGTTTCACGCGCATCGTGTCTTCAGGGTCCACCCACGTCATAGCCCGTGTCAGAGCCTCATGCCTTTTGATGGCCATGTGTTCCATCGTGCGGACAGGGCACGCTTTGTCTCCTCATTCGTCTCTTGGTGGATGTCGGGTTGTCTCTGCCTTCTGGCTGTTGTGCGCTGGGCGGTGCTGCAGTGGTGGGCACGTGCAGGTTTCTGCATAGACATTTGCTCTCATTTGCCTGGTGTGTGCCTAGGAGTGGCAGTGCTGGGTTTAGGGCAATGAGGGCTCACCGACTGCTTTCCAAAGTGGCTGCAGCATTCTCTTTTAAATTTCAGCTTGCAAGTGCGAGCTGGTTGAAACGGATGGTGGTAGGTAAACCTGTGGGGAGGGACATAGGGGTGGCGGCAGTTGAAGCCGCAGGTGGAGAATGTTGGGACAGGTGATACCATCTGTGTTTGGACCTGGGTCAGGGTACCTTGTCTGTACCTTGAGGATGGCGGGGAGAGCACAGCTGGGCCCAGGTCCAGGGAGTGAGGCATGGCAGTGGCCAAAGGAGAGGCTTTAGGTGGTCCTGGGAGATCAAGCAGGGTCTGGACAGGTGGAGGGAGGGGAGGGAGGAGAGTGGGCTGGCGGTGGGGGCGGTGGAGGTGCATGCAGAAGTCAGGGTGACCTTCCTCGTCTGGCCCCCGTCTGTGCGCCATGGGCAGCCTAAGCAGGCATCACCGAGTCTGTGTCTGCTCTCCCCGCTCAGCTGAGCGTGTGGCAGATGCAGACAGCAGGCTGGTACCTGCAGAACAGGCCGGTCACATGCCGGTGGCCCCATGGTCCTGCTATGGCAGAGATTGAAGGAGGGGACTGCCGGCAGGGGCCTCAGCACCCTGGGCATCGGCCCTGCTCATCTGCAGGAAGGAGATGGGTGCCTCTGGGCGCCAGGCATCCAGCACTGGCAGCTGGGGACTGGGGTGGTGTGAGTTGTGTCCCTGTTGTCACAGCTCTCACCTCGAGGCCAGTAGGCTGTGACTTATAGTCTGCATAGGACGTCGTCACTGTGGTCACAGCACAGAGTAGGGGCTGTGCCGACAGGACCTGCCAGCTTCTGGCACCCAGAAGTTTTGCCCTCTGGCTGAATTCCAGGCCCGTGGCTGCTGCCCTCACGCCTGCCATGTGGTCATTTCACTAGCTTGGAAGACCTAGGACAGAGACTGGGTTCTGCGTCGCCTCCAAATACACCCAAATGCAGGCCGGGCTGCTTCCATACCCCCAAACGTAGGCCGGGCCATCTCCATACCTGCAAACGCAGGCCAGGCCACCTCCATACCCCCAAACATAGGCTGGGCCACCTCCATACCCGCAGACGCAGGCCGGGCCACCTCCATACCCGCAAACACGGTCCAGGCTGCCTCCAAATACCCCCAAACTCAGGCCGGGCTGCCTCCATACCCCCAAATGCAGGCCGGGCTGCCTCCATACATCCAAATGCAGGCTAGGCTGCTTTGTGCCTAGCAAATGCAGGTTGCAGGAGGGAGTCAAGAACTGGGCAGCCCCGGGCAGCCACACTGGGCAGGTGAAGGGTTCTCAGGCTGGAGCAGATCCAGTTCCTGCCCTTGGAGACCTCATGCCAAGTGGGGAGCCAGATGGGGATTATGGCAGGTGCTATACCCGGTGCTGGGGACTTAGAAATCCTGGAAGGCTTCCTGAAGGAAACGGCACCCACCGAACAGCTTGGGAGCCACACCCCAATGCACGCTCTGCCAGGCACCGTGTACCCTGTGTCGGCCTCTGGTCGCGCATCTCAGTAGCAGACAGAGGAAGGGACTGCGACTGTGGCTAATGAGTAGACAGTGGGCAGGCCCTACCTGCCCCTCCACACAAAGTCTGTGGCCTGGGCCCTTGTTATCATGTCCTCGTCCTTCGTGGATAGTGTGTGGGAGAGAGTCTAGGAAGTGGGTGCAGCTCCCCCACTCCTGCCTCTGGTAACCGGAGCTCATTCGGCTCCATGCCCACTGTCTTGCCCTGGCACCCGAGCCTCTCAGATTCGAGTGATGAGGAATCTCTTGGTGAATCTCTTCATTTCTCTGTCCCTGAATCGGGCTGATTCTTTGGCTTTCTGGCAGCTTCGGAAGGGCCACGTGTGGTGTGGGCCCCAGGTCTGGGCTTCTCTGGGATTTTCCTTGCCTGGAGATGTCTTTGGGGATGTTTGATCCCAGCCTGGGCCTCTAGCACTGCCCGGCTGGCCTCTAGGCTGGGGTGGGAGGCTGGCTTGGCCCCTGATGGGGCCTGCAAGAACCAGGGGAGTGAGTGAGGAGGCACTTGCCCGCCCACTCGTGCCTCCCCTCCCCTGGCCCCAAATCTTGGTCTGTTTTCCCAAGAGAAACCGTTGACATTATCTGGGTGAGCTGCACAGTCGCCTCGTGTCTCAGGGCCTTAGCCTCGTCCCCAGGGCTTGAGACAGGAGAGGCCATCAAAACCGGGCAGCCCCCCCACCCTGGGAGAGTCCGGCTGTGGGCCCCCAGCTGATGGTGCTCGTGTGCCCGCAGGCTGCTGTCCCCAAGGCCCAGCCTCCTCACCCCGACTGGCGACCCCCGGGCCAATGCCTCACCCCAGAAGCCACTGGACCTGAAGCAGCTGAAGCAGCGAGCGGCTGCCATCCCCCCCATCGTGAGTGCCCACCCCCAGAGCCCCACAGAGTCCACCCTGACCTTGACTTTCCCATTCATTGAGACAGAGAATCCCACGGGCGGGAGCATGCACCTGCAGCCTAGCTCATCCGCTTCTGTTTCCTGGAGAAATCCCCGTGGAGCTGAGGTGGGAACAGCTGGGGAAGCTGGCAGGCGTACCGGGTGGGGCTCCCAGTGAAGGCGGGAACTGGCGGCCTAAGGCCTCCCCCCTTCCACCCCGCAGCACCCTTGAACCCCCAGATTAGATACTGGGTCATGGGGAGGCAGGAGCTTCCCCCACCCACTCAGCTATAGCAACAGCTTGGCCAGGGAAGGGTGGCCTACCAGTTCTGATCCTGGGGCCCTCTGGGAACACCCTCCTGGAAGGTTCTCTCAGCTGGGTGCGTGGGCCCTTGGAGGTGCCTTCTCCAGGGAGGTGAGTCTGGCCTTCCCAGTTGCAACTGGGGGCTCCGGGCTAAAAGACCCTGAGCTGACCAGGCTGGTGGTCCCTTGGGACTTTGAGTGATGGGCTCAGGGCGTGTCAGGCTACACGGCCCAGTCCCCGAGGCCCACAGAATCCTGTTGCTCAGTCCTGGCTTCCCTGAGACCCAGAGGATTTGGGTCCACAGAAGGAGCTGGAGGAGAGAGTCACAGCAGGCTCTAGCCTCCTGTCCACCACCAGGCTGCTAGGCCAGGCTTTTTGGGAGGTGGGCTCCCCCTGTCCATCACCAGGCAGCTGGGCTAGGCTTTCTGGGGAGGTGGGTTCCCCCTGTTCACTACCAGGCAGCTGGACCAGGCTTTTTAGGAGGTGAACTCCCCCTGTCCATCACCAGGCAGCTGGGCCAGGTTCTGGGAGGTGGGTCCCCCTGTTCACCACCAGGCAGCTGGGCCAGACTTTTTAGGAGGTGAGCTCCCCCTGTGCACCACCAGGCAGCTGGGCCAGGCTTTTTGGGAGGTGGGCTCCCCCTGTCCATCACCAGGCAGCTGGGCCAGGTTCTGGGAGGTGGGTCCCCCTGTTCACCACCAGGCAGCTGGGCCAGGCTTTTTGGGAGGTGGGCTCCCCCTGTCCATCACCAGGCAGCTGGGCTAGGCTGTCTGGGGAGGTGGGTTCCCCCTGTTCACCACCGGGCAGCTGGGGCAGGCTTTCTGGGGAGGTGAGCTCCCCCTGTTCACCACCGGGCAGCTGGGCCAGGCTTTCTGGGAGGTGGGCTTCCCCATGTGCTCTGTGCTAAGACCTCCCTTTCTTGCCGCACCTGGGACCTTGAGCATGTCGCTGGCTTTCCCGGGCCTTGGTTTCCAGGCTGGTCGCGTGCATGTCTCTCCCTGACCCTGTCACTTTCAGACACCCTCTGTGAATGCTCACTTCTGCCTGCTTCCCTCAGCAGGTCACCAAAGTCCATGAGCCCCCCCGGGAGGACGCAGCTCCCACCAAGCCAGCTCCCCCAGCCCCACCGCCACCGCAAAACCTGCAGCCGGAGAGCGACGCCCCTCAGCAGCCTGGCAGCAGCCCCCGGGGCAAGAGCAGGAGCCCGGCACCCCCCGCCGACAAGGAGGGTGAGTGCACACCAGTGGCTGAGTGGGGCTGGGGCAGCAGGGGACTGACGGGCAAGGGATGTTTGTGTGTCTAGAGCAGCTGCTGCAAACCCCATGGCCACAGTGGCAGGGAAAGCAAAGTAAACGAATGGAACAGTTGAGCAGGGGGAGGCAGTTGGGAATGGTAGGGACTGCGGCAAATTGGAGAACTCTTGTTTTCTCTAAAGTGGGCACGTATTGGCCTTGGCCAAGAGTCACCCCGTGGCAAATCAGGCCTGGGGTGGTTCTTCCAGCAAAGCCAGAAATCCATCTTATGTGAAATCCCCCTGGTCCCTGGTTTCTCAACACTGGCAACTTCTCAAAATTTTCAAAAGCATTGTGAACACGCAAAAACATGTCTACAGCCCAGCCTCTGATTCGGTGTGAATCAGTCCACGCAGGAGCTTCTGGAATCACAGATGGGGCCCAGCACCCGGCTGGCAGCAGCTCTGGGGCCTGGGCAGGAAGGGCTGCCCTCCCCAGCTGGCATCCTGACCTTGCTCCAGGCCCAGGTCTCTGGGTTCACCAGGAGCCAGGGTTGGGGGTGACTCCCGAGCCGCTGTGTCACAGGGACTGCCCCGGGCACACCTCACTGTCATCACGTGAAGCTCAAGGTCAGGAGACAGGCGGGCGTGATTGCTTGTTCTCTGGATCTTCAATCTCTGCCCCACTTCCCACTAGGCCCAAGAAATTCTGAACCTGTGTCCCCAAAGAGGCATCTTCTCCAGGTCAGCCTGGCACGCAGCAGGTGCTGTTGTGCCTTGCAGGTGTTGGGGGCTGCTTCCCCAGAGGTTCCCCACCCTGGGCTAGCCCCGGCGCTTGCTGGCAGGCTGCTCCAAAGGTCTGAGGGCAGCAGGACACCAGGCCGACCTCCTGACCAGCACAGCCCAGGGACAAATCCGGGTGACTGGAGCTACCATCAGCTGTCCCCTCCCCGCTGCCTTGGGTGTGACATCCCCCTTCTCTTTTTTTTTTTTTTTTTTTTGTTTGAGACGGAGTGTCACTCTCGCCAGGTTGGAGTGCAGTGGCACAATCTCCGCTCACTGCAACCTCTGCCTCCGGGGTCCACCGAGGCTGCTGGGTCAGGACATTTGTTGAAAACCCAAGGCCCCAGGCACCATGCTGGCAGAGCGGGGATTAGGTAGGGAGAAGAGGAAGTCTCTGCTCTGGGGAGCTGCTGTTGTTTTGAGTGAGGAGGATGTTAAACCAGGGAACACGTAACGAAGCAAGATGGTTTTAGAGTCGTTCATCCACCATGAGAAACAAAACGGGTTGAGTGAAGAGCGGCTCCGGGAAGGACCCTGTGGAGTGGGAAGCAGCCCCGCAGTGGGAGCTCTCTGGGTGGGCATTGCGGGCAGAGGGAACAGCACAGGGAAAGGCCCTGGTGTGGAAACACGCTCGGGGTGTGTGAGGAGTCGCCGGGGGTGGTTGTGGCCAGGGAAGGGTGGGCGGGTGGACAGTGAGGGAAGTGGGGACCGGATTGTGTGGGGCCTCTCAGGCCACAGCGGGCAGTGGATTTTGTCTCAGGTGTGGCAGGGGCTGCTGGAGGGATTTGAAGTGAGCGTGTGTTGCGGAAGGGGAAGGAGGTGCTTGTTATCTGATTTGTATCTTGGAAAGCTCTGTCTGGCCGTTGTTGAGTCAAGGGCAGCAGCGGGAGGTCACAGCGCAGCTCTTGGCAGGCGACAGAGGCTGCCTGAACCGCACAGGTGGCCGTGGAGGTGGAAGGAAGGGCGCATCGGGAGTTTGTTTTGGAGGCAAAGCCAGTGGGGCGTTGAACCCGGTGTGGGGATGACGCCAGGGATGTCTCGCTGGAACTGGGATGCCCCATGACCAGGGCTGGGCTACCTGGGGCCAGGGTACAGTGTGCGGCCCAGGGTGTGGCTCTGGGAGACGTTGCAGGTTTGGGGCGCCAGCCCGGGAAGGAGCTGTGTATCCATGTCAGGGGCCCCAGCAGCTTTGGCCAGCGTCAGATCTGATCAGGGCTGGAACTGCACGGTGCCAGCCAGGTCCTGCTGAGCCAGGTCGCAGGCCCCTGTCCTGGGAGAAAGGGAGCCACCGGCCAGCAGTTCCCGCGGCTGGCACTCAGCCCGTTGGTGTGGCCAGGGCCTGTGCCGTTTCCTGGCCTCATTCCCCGTGGGGACGGTGCACCTGGCGTTAGGCCCTGCATGCCTTTCTTGCACAGCCTGGCTTGCAGCTCAGCTCCCGCAGGGACACACATGAACTTGACACCCAGCGCTACCTCTCTGGTCTCTCAGGAAGCCAGCCTATTCTGCCCCTGGCTCCCACACAGAGCGGCTCAGCCAAGCAGGTCCCTCGGGGCCCCCTGGGCCCAACTGGAGGAACAGGTTGTCTCTCCAGGCTCTCGGCCGCCCGCCCAGCCTGGCCTAGCCCCAGTTTGCCTTCCAGCATCGAACAGCTCCCCTCCTCTCTCTCCCAACTCTCTGGAACTGGGCTGGAGGAAGCACCAGAGGCTTACAGGGCTGGGTAGCCAGAGGGGCCAGGTCCAGGGCGTTTGCAGGATCTCCAGATGTGAGGCAGGCCCTGTACAGGTGCCTCCACTGGGGACTGGTTAAGAATGAGAATTCCCCTGCATCTGTGCCCCCTGCCTCCTGTGGGCTGCCCACCTCGCCAGGGCACAAGTCCAGGGGAAACAGTCTTCAAGGAGAGAATTGGGGGCAATTTGGTACATAGGCCTTCTTGCCCACCTGCTCTGCTCACAGCAGGCATCATTAATTGATCTTAGCACTCTCCTCCGCTGTCACACCCTGATGGGCCCTCAGAACCTCCTTTGTTCATCTGGAGGCGGCGTGATAGATGACACCTGCCTGCCATTCCTGTCCCAGAACCCAGAGGGCTCCGTCATTCCCAAGTTGTGTCTCTGCTCAACTTCTTGGCCGGTTATCTCTCCATAGGATTGGTCCTCAGGGAGAGGTTCAGAGCTGAGGACAGATTTCAGCAAAGGGCGAGAGGCCAGCAGGAAGATGCCATGAAGCCAGGCCTGAGCCCCGGGGCCCCGCTGAGTTTACAGGATCTCCCCAGGCCTGAAATCTAGGACCCATCATTGCTTCTCTGCCGCAGGCCATGTGGCATAGCAGTCTGGATTAAGGCCATGGTCTGCAGCCCCAGTGCCTGGGTTCGAAGCCGCTATCTGCCACTTGCTAGCTGGGGCCTTTGACCAGGTGGCTTAACCTCTCGGCTTCCATTTTCCCGTCTGTGAAATGGGGACAGTCAGTCAGTTCCTTGTAGGGTGCTGTGAGAATAAATGAGTGAACACGCTTACATTGCTGTCAGCCGTGGAGCCCTGAGAGAGCATGACCTCTCGGTAATGCCCTTTGCACACTCCGCCTGGTAAGTAGCCCTGCCTGAGCTTGGCTTCTCAGCCAGCCAGCGCACAACCGCTGCTTGCACTGGCTCAGTGGGCTTCTGATCCTGACTCGGCTAAGTATTTGCTGGTGAACTCAGATGAGCCCATTGGTGTGTCTGTACCTCAGTTTCCCCTCTGTAAAATGTGTCTGGCAGCAGTCTCTGTGTGAGCTTAACCGGAGGCTCATGGAGGCCGTGGGATGCTGAGCACAGTGCCTGTGCTGAGTACCACTCAGCAAACTGAGGCTGACGCTGTGGTTGTTACTTGGAGGGTCTGGGCTTATAACCCCCCACTGCCCGCCACAACACACACACACAGGCGCACACACATCCATGCACTCGCACACACATGCACGTGCACGTGCACACACATCACAGGTTACCTCCTTCAACATTGTGTACAGGCACACACACATCCATGCACTCACACACACGCACATACACGTGCACGTGCACATACACACATCACAGGTTACGTCCTTCAACATTGTGTACAGGCACATACACACATCCATGCACTCACACACACATGCACATGCACGCGCACACACATCACAGGTTATCTCCTTCAACATTGTGTACAGGCACACACACACATCCATGCACACACACACATCCATGCACTCACACGCACGCACGTGCGCGCGCGCACACACACATCACAGGTTACCTCCTTCAACATTGTGTACAGGCACACACACATCCATGCACTCACACACACATGCACGCACGTGTGCACACACACACACCACAGGTTACCTCCTTCAACATTGTGTACAGGTGCACACACACATCCATGCACTCACACACACATGCACGCACGTGCGCACGCACACACACATATCACAGGTTACCTCCTTCAACATTGTGTACAGGCGCACACACACATCCATGCACTCACACACACATGCACATACACGTGCACGCGCGTGCGCGCACACACACACACACATCACAGGTTACCTCCTTCAACATTGTGTAGAGCACAGGCCAGCAAGCTTTTCCTGCAAAGAGCCGGAGAGTGAACATTTTAGGCTTTGTGGGCCAGACAATCTCTGTTGCAAGGATTCAGCTCTGCCATAGACAATACATAAATGCACAGATGTGGCCACGCTCCAGTAAAAGCGTATTCACAAAGTCAGACGGCGGGGCCAGGCGTGGGGGCTCACGCCTGTAATTCCAGCACTCTGGAGGCCAAGGTGGGAGGATCTCTTGAGCCCAGTAGTTCAAGACCAGCCTGGGCACACATAACAAGACCTCATCTCTACAAAAACAAAATATAAACTAGCCAAGCATGGTGTGGTGACACGTGCTTGTAGTCCCAGCTACTTGGGAGCCTGAAGTGGGAAGATCCCTTGAACCCAAGAGTTCAAGACAAGCCTGGGGCAACATAGCAAGACCCCATCTCTACAAAAGTAAAACAAATTAGCCAGGCATGGTGCGGTGGTGGGCGCCTGTATTCCCAGCTACTTGAGAGGCTGAGGTGGGAGAATCACTTGAGCCCAGAGGTGAAGGCTGCTGTAAGCCGTGACAGCACCACTGCACCCCAGCCTGAGTGACAGAAGGAGACCCTGTCTCAAAAAAATTAGGGGGCAGACAGACCCTCTGAGATACCATTTGCCACCTCCTGGCTTAGAGGCCTGTCCAGGGACCTTGGCTTGCTGGGCTTGGTTGAGTGCTTGTGGGGTTGCAAAGCCAGAGGGTCCCGTTCTCGTCCTCAGCGGCAGCTGAGAGCCCCCAGCTCAGACCTTGAGATCCCCTCCCCTGCTGAGCAGAATACCATGGGGTTACAGAGCAGCGCCCAGGCAGGCAGACTTGGGGGGCTTCCCGGAGGAGCCCAGGCCGTCACAGGCCACCACTACTGTGGGTGCAGGAAGGCCATTTGTGTAGGGTCAGCCAGGGCTCCCGAGGTCTGACTGCCCCACCTCCTGCCCTCAGCAGAGAAGCCTGTGTTCTTCCCAGCCTTCGCAGCCGAGGCCCAGAAGCTGCCTGGGGACCCCCCTTGCTGGACTTCCGGCCTGCCCTTCCCCGTGCCCCCCCGTGAGGTGATCAAGGCCTCCCCGCATGCCCCGGACCCCTCAGCCTTCTCCTACGCTCCACCTGGTAAGTAGCTCCGCCCGAGCTTGGGCTTCTTCAGCCAGTGCACAATCGCTGTTTGCACTGTTTGCACTGGCTCAGAGCTGCACACAGAAGCATCTTAAAGCCTTATGGGACCTGGCTGGAGGAACAGCCTGGTCAGTGGAGGGAAAGGGGGAGATCTTTTAAGAAAGCTGCCCCAGGGTTGAGATGGAAGCCACTGGCAAGAGGGAGCCACAGCAGGTGCTTGAGCTGGTGAGGGGCAGGCTTAGAGTGGGAGCTATGTTTTCCGTTGACGGCTTAGAGCTAGAGAATGGGCAGATGGTAGAAGAGCCTGGGGAGGGAGCAGAGGCGCTACCTTGGTTCACAGACTCTGTGAGGCTGCATTTCGGCCCTGTTCTAGGTCCTGCAGTCCTGCTGGGCCTCACCAGCTGTAAAGCAGCACAGCCGGGGGCTGGTACAGACTGCTGTTGGTAAAGGCTGGTCCCGAGGGATGCGTGGGCCAAGGGAGCCAGAAGAACAGGGAAAGTCATGCCAGGCAGACGGAACAGCAAGTGCAAAAGCCCAGAGGCAGGAGAGAGCAGGCAAAGCTTGAGAAACTGAATCTGGCCACCACTGCCGAAGCTCGGTGCCCAGTGAGCTGGGGAGACCCAGGGGCCAGGTCAGGCGAGCCTGAAGGCCAAGTCGGGGGCTAAGACTTTCTCCTGAGGACAGTGGGAGCCATCGAGGGCACACAGCACAGGGAGGGTGTGCACCAGTAGACTTTTCCAAAAAGGTCCTTTTGGTTCCTATAAGGGGAAGGGGCTACTGGGGGCTACAGTGGAAATGGGGAGACAGGGGATCCAGATGAGAGTTGAGGGCGCTTGGATCAGGGCCTGGGCAGTGGGTGAGGTGGGAGGCTTCCCCAGGATAGTGGTGTCTGCACCTAGGACTCGGGTCACTAATGAGGACAGAGCCAGGCAGGGCAATAGAGGAGTGCGCATGGATGGGCACTTCCTGGCCAGGACAGGGAAGAGGTGGAGTGCAGCCTGGAGTGTGTGTCCGGCAGGGACGTGACCGCTCCTGGGCCCCACAATGGACAGACATGTGCTCCACAGGTCACCCACTGCCCCTGGGCCTCCATGACACTGCCCGGCCCGTCCTGCCGCGCCCACCCACCATCTCCAACCCGCCTCCCCTCATCTCCTCTGCCAAGCACCCCAGCGTCCTCGAGAGGCAAATAGGTGCCATCTCCCAAGTGAGTGGTAGCCCTTCCTTTCTTGGGGGCTTAGTCTTCTTATCTGTAAAGTGGGGGCAATGGGACCAATGAAGTCTGAGTGGGGGCCAGGCTCTCGGGGGCCTGGGTCATCTCCACTCAGGCATCTGGGGTCTGAGCTGGCTGGGTCCTGCCCCAGGCACTCAGGGCCTCGTCCCTGGGGGGTCACTCTGTATTGCAGTCAAGGGCATGGCTCAGGAACCAGGCTGTGTGGCCTCAGGCAAGTTACTTAACCTCCTGTTTCCCCCACTGCGAAATGGAAGGGCAAATGCAAGGGGCTCAGAGGGCATGGCCCCTTCACAGGGGAGGGGGCCGAGGCTTGGGAGTAGCAGTGACTTGTCTGCCGTCACACAGCTGGACAGCAGCCCCAGCCTCTGACCCACACGTGGGCTTTTTGAACAGGAGCGTCAGGCACTCTGGACTGTGGGGGAGGGACCAGGGTGCCCCTGTGACCCCACAACTCCGCCCCTACAGGGAATGTCGGTCCAGCTCCACGTCCCGTACTCAGAGCATGCCAAGGCCCCGGTGGGCCCTGTCACCATGGGGCTGCCCCTGCCCATGGACCCCAAAAAGCTGGGTAAGGCTCCTGGCCCATCCGTCTGGGTGGCTCAGGCTGGGCTCTGGCTGTCCTGTGGGTGGGGCGGGGGAGGAAGGGGTATCTTGGCCCACGGTACTCCAGGTAGCAGCTGGGAGGTCCCCCCTCAGCAGCCCTGGCTGGAACATGGTGGGGAGGGGCAGCGCTTCCCAGCCCCTGGCTCAGGTTGGGTGGGGACAAGCCTCCCGGGACCCTGCTCCGGCAGCACGTGACTCGCTCCTCTTACTGGTCCTCAGCACCCTTCAGCGGAGTGAAGCAGGAGCAGCTGTCCCCACGGGGCCAGGCTGGGCCACCGGAGAGCCTGGGGGTGCCCACAGCCCAGGAGGCGTCCGTGCTGAGAGGTGAGGGCCCTTCTGCCCTGGGCCCCCAGCATCTGCCCCTGTTCCTCGGGTGCCCAAAGGGCCCTTTATTCAAAACCTGCTGGGAAGTGTCATCTCCCAGAGGGTCTGGGGGCCCCTCTTCACAGCTGTCTCCCTCACCATTTAGGGGTAGGGGGACTCCCTCTGCGTTGAAACAACTAGCACAACTTGTGGGTCTCTCAGTCAGGGTGGCTCTCAGGACTGGGGCCTGGGGAAGGAAGGGCCACAGACACGCCCTCAGCCCCACATCTTGTGTCTTCCAGGGACAGCTCTGGGCTCAGTTCCGGGCGGAAGCATCACCAAAGGCATTCCCAGCACACGGGTGCCCTCGGACAGCGCCATCACATACCGCGGCTCCATCACCCACGTAGGTGTCCTGGGGTGCGGCAGGAAGGACGGTTGGGACCAGCACGGGGCCAGCCCATCTTATAACCCCTCATTGTCACCAAACCATTAGCCTCAGCCGATGGGGTGATGACTGGGGGACAGCAGTTCACTCCATGAACTTTCATCTAGTCTGCATGGAATCAGGCACTGGGATTGCCAAGCACAGCTCAAAACTCTGCCTTCAGGGAGCTGCCATGTAGTGGAAGGAAACAGACCAGGGTAAATAAGTAGGCTGGTGAAAACCGAGCAGGCAGGCAGAATGTGAGCGTACCGCGGCTGAGAATGCCTGGCCACGGACATTGCTTAGACAGGTGAGGAAGGTGACATGTCAGCTGTGGCCAGAAGAAATTGAGGGTGCAAGCCATGCGGGAATCTCAGGGAACAGCATTCTAGGCTCAGGGAACAGCATGTGCAAAGACAGAGCATGAGAGGGTTCCTGAATCGTGCCAGGACTGGTGCCCCAGCCTTGCAGCTGGTGAGCTGTGGACCCAAGGTTTTGTGCCACGTGTGTCTGGCTCTAGAACACAGTGACAGAGCGTGGGTCCACACACTTGCACACGTGCATGCATGTTCTAACAGTGGAGCTTCGGGCAACAAGATGGTCCACAGGGAGGTGTTTTTCACTCAGGCAGCGTCAAATCCCACCACAGAGGAGCCATTTACACTTTGCCCTTCTCTGAAATCTGCAGGTTTTAAAAATCTGAGCTTTCAAAGGCAGCTGTGCTGAGTGGGAAGGGCAAGTGCTTTGGACAAAAGTCAGGCTGAGGGCCCTCGGGTGCCAGCTCCACCACCTACTCAGACAGGCAGCGGCCTGCCCTGACTCCGTTTCCCCTTTGCTAACAGTATTCCTGGGAGAGTCATTCTCCTGAAGTCGTAGGGACCTTTGAAGTTCCCAGGCATCCACCTGCTCTGGGTTCCTGAGTGGCCATGACCCGCGCCCTTCCTCGAACCTCCCAGTTACACACATCTCTTTGATTGCTTTTGGCAGACAGCCAGCTGCCAAAACATGTGAGATAGGCAAGGGTCAAACTTCCGTGCAGTCTCACTACCAGATAGTGAGGAAGTCAGCGTGTGGCCTGCACGCACAGAGCCGTTTATTAACTGAGTAGGTGCCATAGGCAGGGACCACGTGGTTCCCAGCTGGCAAGGGAGGTCAAGGAAGTCCCAGCTCCCTGATCCTCCAGGGACTTCCTGCCCATCTTGGGAGTAGAGTTCATTGGGGCCAAGAGCAAGAGGCTACAGGCTCATCTCCTGGAAGCAGACGTTATGCAAACAGAAGCTTCCCTGTTAATGGGAGTTTGTCCAGTGTATTCTCCCAAGAGCAGGGGCCACCGGCTGGATTTCTGTTCTCTGTCCATGTCCCTGAAGATGGCACCTCTAAAATACTATAGCTCAAAAACATCAAGCTGGACACGGTGGCTCTTGCCTGTCAACCCAGCATTTTGGGAGGCCAAGGTGGGAGGATAGCTTGAGCCCAGGAGTTTGAGACCAGCCTGGACAAAAAGAGGCCTGTCTCTACAGAAAATTTAAAAATTGGCTGGGCATGGTGGCACATACCTGTAGTCTCAGCTACTTGGGACTGGGAGGCAGGAAGATCACTTGAGCCCAGGAGTTTGAGGCTGCAGTGAACTATGACAGTGTTCTGCACTCCAGCCTGGGCAATACAGCAAGACCCCTTCTCAAAAAAAAAAAATCAGATGCCTCAGTTTCACCATGGAGAGCCCCCCTTTTTAAATCATTTATTGTGGTGTTCAGTAAGCCACTGATTTCTGCAGTACAAACCCAGTTCTGACATGGACCATCTGATGTTAGGGCTGGATACAGAAAGGGGTGCACTTGTGTTAGCTGCCTCTTGGGGGGCTTTTCCCGCCAGGATGCTGCAGGAATCCTGTGCTTTCCTGATGGGAGAGGTGGCTGCCCCGAGCTGTCACCTGACTCAGCACCTATTGTGCCACACTGTTAGTGTACAGGTGTCTTAAAGCACAGCAGGGAGATGCTGCTCAGAGTATTTGCTTTGGGAAGTTTGGGGGGAGCTCATCAGAATTCAGGGCGTCTTGCTGTTGCCCTCCGCAAAGACCAGGATCTGCGGTGAACTCCCCGGGGTACCAGGTGCTGCCCTCTGCCAGGGGATGTCCCCAGCCAAGCAAGTCCAGCCAGAGACTCAGAGCTCACTGGTCCAGGTCTTGGGATATAGTAGGACCTTTACCGTTGAATCTGCTCCTGGAACCCTAGAAAGAGAAGAGGGATATTGAGATTTGGGGACCCGTCGTCTGTGCCAGATGCCTTTGAGAATCATCAATGCAGAAGGTCTCCATTTGTGGATGTGCAAACTGAGGCTCAGAAAGGAGGTCCCACGGCAGCTTGGTAGTAAAGTTGCTGTTTGACACCCAACATTCTGCTTCCAAAGTCATATTCTAACTCTGATGCTTGTGTTCTTGAAAGTCACCCAAGGCAGGATGCTGCCCCACGTGGCCATCTCCTCTCTGCTTGAACACATCCTCCAACGGGAAGCTCATTCCCTATATGGCAGTGGTTCTCAATTGGGGGAAATTGTGCCTCCAACTCTCTAGGGACATTTTCGATTGTCCTAACTTGGTGGGGGACACACTGGGGAGGCGTGTACTCCTGGCTTCTAGTGCTTTGAAGCCAGGGATGCTGTTAACAGCCCACAGTGCACAGGACAGCCCCACAGCAAAGAAGGGTCCAGCTCCAGCTGTCAGGAGGGCCGAGGTGGAAAACCTGGGTTAGAACTAAAATTTCCGGTGTGCTGCCCTGACGTGAGTCCTTGTCCTGGTTTTAGGAAACCAAAGTGCATGACGTGGTCACGGGTACAGCACAGGAGCAGAAACCCCAGCGTCCCCGCCAGTTACCGTTTTCGGTAACTGAATGTCAAGGCTCTGAGTAGACCCCACGCAGTGGTGGGGACACAGACTCCAGGACCAGAATGCCTGGGTTCAAGTCCCCGCCTGCCCCTTATTAGCCAGGTGACCCCGGGTAAAGTCACTGTGCCTCCCTGTGCCTCGGTTTCCCCATCTGAAACAGGCATAATCAATAGGGTTGTCTTAGGGTTGTTTCGAGGATTAAATGAGCAAATCCATAGAGAGCACCCAGAACAGCGTCCACTCATGGGAAGCACTTGACAAGGGATCTTCATTCTTCAGGTTCCTCATAGGGTTTTGTTCCATGCAAACTCTTACCTATTTGAGACAGTGTGTGTGTGGACACGCGTGTGCATCGGTGGGCACATGGGCTTTTAAGCACGTCTTTGCCTGCATTTGAGTTGAGAGGGGTCCTGGGCTGCAGCCTCCTGGGCGCTCACCCCTCTGCACCTGCAGGGCACGCCAGCTGACGTCCTGTACAAGGGCACCATCACCAGGATCATCGGCGAGGACAGCCCGAGTCGCTTGGACCGCGGCCGGGAGGACAGCCTGCCCAAGGGCCACGTCATCTACGAAGGCAAGAAGGGCCACGTCTTGTCCTATGAGGGTGAGTCGCAGGAGGAGAGGAGGCCCAGGACCAGGGGAGGAGTGTGCTTGGCCCACTGAGGTAGCTTCACAGGGAGGCAGGGCTGGATTGACATCAGAAAGCACAATCTGATAGGTGGTGACCTCCTTATCCCTGCAGGTATGCAAGCCAGCAGCAGGGAAGCGTTGGCCTTAGCTGCCTCCCACCTCTGCCCAGTTCTTTACAGTTTAGAAAACAAACTCATGGCCAACCTTTTTAGAAGCATAGGAGGGAAACTGAGGCCCGGAACAGAAGCCCGAGCTCACGCCGCCAGGCCTCCAGCACCGTACTGACAAACCACGCACTCTCTCATTGGCCATGAAAGAGGCCATGGCCAGAGTGCCCCTCGCCCCACTGTGTCCCAGGCTCTTGCTGCGGAGCCCCCATCCTCTCCCTCTCTAGGCTCTGGGTTCCAGAACGAGGAGACCCTGCCAGGAAGGAGTTAAGGGAATCGAGTGCCGGGAAAGAGAATTTCCTGGCAGCCTAGGGCACCCAGGGGTGTGGAGATGAAAGCTGCTAATGGGCGCCTCTCTCAGCACTGCAGCTGCGAGGCCCGGAATTGCCTCTCCTCCATCCACTTCCGCCTGTGCCCGCAGCCCCCTCCCCAGGCCTGGGAGGTGGAGGTGGCACCGTGTGGCTTAGGAACATAATGCACTCCCTGCTGCCACAGAGATAGCCTTGGAGACAGGCCTGCAGCTGTGTCTTGGGTGCCAGCTCATGCCCTGGTGCCCCTGGACCGAGTGCCCTGGGGGTGGCGGGAAGCCTGGGAAGGGCTGGTGGTGGGGTTAGTCAAGAGCTTGTCTTGAGAGGTCACTGGGTAGAGTCCCACCTTGGGACCCCAGACCAGTGCCTGAGCCTTTATAGGCCTTCAGCGTATCGTCTTCATCATGGGTTTCAGTCGGGGCCTTTAAACTCTCGTCTGCTCCCTGGGCCAGGTAGGCAGTGCAGGCAGCGGCAGGTGTGAGACTGTAGGGAGTGGGGAGGACTGTAGGGAATGGGGAGGACTGTGGTGCCTGCTCACGCCGTCCACTCCCCTGCGGCCACCGGTCAGCCAGGTTTCTCATCTCCGTTTTTATCTGAAATCTCCCGATGTTTAAACATCGGCGATTAATTTGGAACGTTTTCTGAACAGCAACCTAGTACCCTCCTGTTGGCAACCCCTGGAGTAGCTCACGGGCCGTGGGCCACACGAAGCAATGGTTGAAAAGCCCGAGAGCCTGTCAGTTGCTCATTCCCTCTGAGGGGTGGGGCGGGGGCTCCCGGGGCTCATTTCTGATAGCTCTGGACTCGGCTGCCCTGGAAGGAGAGCCCTGGCTAGATGGGCAAAGCCCAGCCTTTACCTTCGGGGGCCACCTCCGTCTGTTCACCTCTCTGCCTGTCCGGGGAGCAGTGAGCCGGGCCCATGTAGGCTCCTTTGGCCTGGCGAGGCCACCCCTGCCACCCCTCACCACTGCCTGCAACACACACCTCTCCGTGCACACGCAGACTTGTGGTCGGACACTCACATGCACATCGGCACAGGTTTCTGGGTGTGACACGTGTATACATACAAAGCCGTGTACTGCCTGCACCCTGGTACATGTGTGTACATGGACCCACTTAGTTCTCAGCAGCCAGGCTCACGTGCATGTGCCCACATCCACTCCTGCACACACAAGACCCGTGCCAGTGCACATGCGTGCTCCTGCCTGCCACACGTCCACACACTGCTGATGTATCGGTGCACACGCGTGCTCCTGCCTGCCCGCACCTCCACTCTGCTGTATCGGTGCACGCGTGCTGCTGCCTGCCACACATCCACACTCTGCTGCTGATGTATCGGTGCACGTGTGCTCCTGCCTGCCACACATCCACACACTGCTGATGCGTCCTTGCTCACGTGCATGTGTGTGCACTTGTTCACGCCCCATGTCGGCACCCGTGGGTGTGGACACAGACTCACGTGCTCATGTGGTCACAGGCACACCCTTGCTTGCAGACAGAGCACCCTGGAGGGCTAGGGTACAGGGTGCAGGCAGCGTGCCCTGCATCTCCCACCGTGCAACCCCCTGGAAAAGCTCCTGGGTCCTGCTGGCAGGCCCCCAGGGCCTGCAGGCTGCCAGCTCCCTCTGGAGGCCTCGGCTGTGAGGCTTTGTGACGGGGCCAGCATGGAAGCACTGCTGGCTCCTGCCTACCGGCTCTGCCTGTCCTGCCTGCCCACCGTGGTCCTGGGCCCGTGCCCAGCTCCTCACCGAGTGCTTTGTGTGGTTTCCAGGTGGCATGTCTGTGACCCAGTGCTCCAAGGAGGACGGCAGAAGCAGCTCAGGACCCCCCCATGAGACGGCCGCCCCCAAGCGCACCTATGACATGATGGAGGGCCGCGTGGGCAGAGCCATCTCCTCAGCCAGCATCGAAGGTGATAGCAGGGAGGAGACTTCATCTCTCGGTGCCCCCTGGTGGGCGGTGGGGGGATGGCTGACCCCGTTTTACAGATGGGGAAACCGAGGCTGGGCTTTCTGAGGCTCCATCTGGAGGTAGCGCAGGGACCTTCCCGTGCTGGGTCCTACTCCACCATCATCGTGGGGATGACCACTGGCGGCTGTAAACACTGACCCCTGTCACTGCCCAGTGTCGGCTCAGGGAGCCACGGAATGATGGCCTCACCCTCTCCTACCCAGGTCTCATGGGCCGTGCCATCCCGCCGGAGCGACACAGCCCCCACCACCTCAAAGAGCAGCACCACATCCGCGGGTCCATCACACAAGGTACTGCCCTGTTCCCTGCTCCCTCGTTGCCCCCAACGGGTGTACAGTCACGCAGGGCGCGGGAGGGAGAGACACAGCCAGAGTGTGGTGGGAACTCAGGACAAGTATGCAGAAAGGCCTGCAGCACACATGTACATGATCAGTACGTGAGCTACGGAGCAAGGGTGTCTCTTACTTATTTCAAAACAAAAACAAAAAGCAAAATACCACCGATCACCCCTGTGCTTTTAGGTGTCACATAGCAACTGTCCTGTGCTTGGCACTAACCCAGGTGCCACCTGCGTATCGTTTTACAGAACATCCTGGTGAGGCACATGCGATTGGGAGAGGCTTGGAGAGCTCCGAGAACTCTTTCAGGTTCTCGCGGCTGGTCCATGGCACAGCCAGCTACTGTGAACTTGGCAGCTTTGTGGGTTTTATTTTTTATTTTTTTATTTTGTTGTTGTTGTTGCTGTTTGAGACAGGGTCTCATTCTGTTGCCCAGGCTGGAGTGCAGTGGCACGATCTCAGCTCACTGCAGCCTCCGCCTTTCAGGCTTAAACAATCCTCCCACTTCAGCCTCCCAAGTAGCTGGGACCACAGATGCACACCACCACATCTAGCTAATTTTTGTATTTTTGTAGAGGTGGGGTTTCACCATGTTGCCCAGGCTGGTCTCGAACTCCTGAGCTCAAGCTGTCTGCCTGCCGCAGCCCCCCAGAGTGTTGGGATTACAGGCGTGAGCTACTGCACCCAGCCTGTGGTTTTAGCTTCATGATTTCATAGTGTTCCCGACTTGCTGAGGTGGTTCAGTTAATATTCTTGTTTTATGTGTGAAGAAGCTGAGGCCCAGAGAGGTCAGATTTCCTGGTCAAGGTCACACAGCAAGTGGGGATTTGAACTCAGGCAGACTAGCTCCAGAACCCACTGGTGTGGAGGCTCTTGATGGGTCTGGGTGGGGCGGGGCGTGAGGGTCAGTGCTGTCGGCCCGGCAGGGATCCCTCGGTCCTACGTGGAGGCACAGGAGGACTACCTGCGTCGGGAGGCCAAGCTCCTAAAGCGGGAGGGCACGCCTCCGCCCCCACCGCCCTCACGGGACCTGACCGAGGCCTACAAGACGCAGGCCCTGGGCCCCCTGAAGCTGAAGCCGGCCCATGAGGGCCTGGTGGCCACGGTGAAGGAGGCGGGCCGCTCCATCCATGAGATCCCGCGCGAGGAGCTGCGGCACACGCCCGAGCTGCCCCTGGCCCCGCGGCCGCTCAAGGAGGGCTCCATCACGCAGGTATGGCCCAGGGCCAGGCACACGGGCCCAGTTCTAGGAGGGGTGGCGGTGGCTGTGGGGCACTGCCCTGGGCCTCTCCACATGGGGAAACCGAGGCTGAGAGCCCTCGCGTACCTTACAGTCACCCAGCTGCTCATCACCGGGCCTCAGCTGTGCGTGTTCCAGGGCTGCGCAGGGGGCACCAGGCTCCTGACCTGATTCTACTGAACTCACATTGTTCCCATTCTTCAGGGAGGGAAACTGAGTCCCAGAGAGGCCAGGCAGGCTTCCAAGGCCACAGGACTAAACATAGTGACGAGTAACTGCCTCCGTTGAATCTTTGTGAGGGTCCAGGTGCGGCCTGAGGATGTTGCATGCGTTCATTGTTTCACCCCCTAGCAATGCTCTGAGGTCGTTTTCTTAATGACCTTATTTTATTGCTGAGTAAATTGAGGTTCAGAGAGGTTCAACGACTCACCCAGAGTCACGCAGCAAATGCAGTTGTGAAACCCAAATTCAGATGTTCCTACAGCCGCAGCATCCACTGCACCCACCAGCAGGTTGCACCACAAGAGGCCCCAGTCCCCCCAGGCGGCCCCAGCTCAGTAGGGGAAGTTCCGTGCCGATGGTACGAGGACGAGGAGCTGTTCGGTGGAAAGCCCCTGAAGGCCACTGTCCTTCCACATGGGCAGAGGTGGCCTCTTGTGAAGGGGAAGGAGAATGGGAGCCACCACGGGGCTGTGGGGCTGTGAGGCGGAAGGACTGGGGTGGGTGTCCCGGGAGGGGTTCCAGCTTGTAGGAAGGTTTTGAAGCCAGGGAGAAGGCAGAAGCAGTAAGATCCCTGATTGCCAGGGGAAGGGTTTGGCTCTCAGCCCCTAGGCAATTATGGAGTCCTTGGAAGCATCCACCGCATGACCAAGACAGGGTCCAGATTCTAGAATATTCTTTTGAAAAACAAGGGCAGTTCCCCTTCTTACGACAGTAATGAAGACATCCCTAAATAGAGTTTTGTTGCTTGCAAAGCCCTAAAGTCCCACCATATCAAGTGTCTCCGAAGCCTGCTGAAAAGAGGCAGGGGACCTGGTGGCCTGGCTACGAAGGTCCCAGTCTGGACTGTGACCCCCCCATTTCCTCACCATCCTTTCTGTCTGGAGGGCAAACACCTCAGCCCTGACCTCAGTGTCCCTGGGGCTGAAAGCCTCAGGGCGGGTAGTATTGGGTCTGGGTGCTGACTTTTTCTGCTTGGCATTGGGTGGGCCATGGAGGGTCCCAGGCTGAACAGAGGAATGTTTTTTACCCACATGAGGGTGTTGGGCTTCTTTCTCGCAAACTCCAGGGACCATCAGAGAGCCCACCACTCGCGGCAGGGAGAGTTGACTGTTGAACTTTTTACCCCTTTCTGCAGTCCCCCCAGGGAGCGTGGGGACCAGGGTCAGGCCCAGGGTGCGCAGGGCAGTAAGTAACAAGTGTGCCATCTCAGGGTTAGCAAAGCCCTCTGTCTCCCTGCCTCTGGAGGCATCAGATGTCACTTCCATCTTATAGATGACAAACTTTTTGAGGCTCAGAAGGGGGATGCAGCTGGTCTGGGCTATGGCTGTGGCCAGGGCTAGAGCTTACATCCCCTCTGCCCCAGGGCACCCCGCTCAAGTACGACACCGGCGCGTCCACCACTGGCTCCAAAAAGCACGACGTACGCTCCCTCATCGGCAGCCCCGGCCGGACGTTCCCACCCGTGCACCCGCTGGATGTGATGGCCGACGCCCGGGCACTGGAACGTGCCTGCTACGAGGAGAGCCTGAAGAGCCGGCCAGGGACCGCCAGCAGCTCGGGGGGCTCCATTGCGCGCGGCGCCCCGGTCATTGTGCCTGAGCTGGGTAAGCCGCGGCAGAGCCCCCTGACCTATGAGGACCACGGGGCACCCTTTGCCGGCCACCTCCCACGAGGTTCGCCCGTGACCACGCGGGAGCCCACGCCGCGCCTGCAGGAGGGTGAGTGGGGTGTGCATGGGCGTGAGTGGGGTGGGCGCCTGTCTGGAGAAGCTGTGCCTCCCCATCCACCATTAGCTTAGTTTGCACCTGGGATATCCTCGCCACCCGCTTTCCACCACATCCAAACCACCTGCAGGCCCGTGGGCTCTGCCTCCGATTCCAAACCCTGTCCAACTCCTTGCCACCTCCCAGACCACCGTGGTGTCTCACCTAGCTTCCCCCACGCCCCTCCCTCTTCCTGCTGTAATCCACTCTGCAAACAGCTACCCGGATACTTTCTAAAAATGCAAATCATATTATTCCACTTCCCTGCTTCCATCCTTCTAGCAACTTCACACATTTTGCTATGGCCTTGGGGCGCCTGCCTGTTGGGGCCCTGCCTGCCTCTCATTCAGCCGGATTCCTTCGTCCTCCCCAGCCCCAGCCCCTGGGCCCTCTTTCTCTTTGTTCCCTGGCCATGCTTAGCTCGGTCAATTCAGTATTTGCTGGGGGCCTTTGCGTGGCTCCTCCTCTCTGCCTGCCATGTCCCCGCCTTCCAGATCTTTACTTAGTGGGTTTCTTTCCATCCCTCAGGTCTTTGTTTACATATTACATCCTTGGGGAGGCTTCTAACCAGACCCCCTATCTCCAGTTCATATCACATGCTGTGACATTTTAAAATTGTCTTCCGGCCAGGCATGGTGGCTCACACCTGTAATCCCAGCAGTTTGGGAGGTCAAGGCAGGCAGATCACCTGAGGTCAGGAGTTCAAGACCAGCCTGGTCAACATGGTGAAACCCTGTCTCTACTAAAAATACAAAAAAATAACCGGGTGTGGTGGTACGCACCTGTATTCCCAGCTACTCGGGAGGCTGAGGCAGGAGAATCACTTGAGCCTGGGAGGCAGAGGTTACAGTGAACGGAGATCGTGCCATTGCACTCCAGCCTGGGCAACAAGAGTGAAACTCTTATCTCAAAAAAAAAAAAAAATGAAAGAAAATTTTCTTCTGAGCGTGTTTCACTCTGTAATTCTCATTTGTTTGCTAGTTTATCACCTGTCTCTCGCATTGAATGTCAGCTTGTGAGGGCTGGGATTTCTGTTTCGTTCACTGGGGTGACCCCAGTTCTCACAACAATGCTTGCCACGTAGTAGAGGCTGCATCAATATTTTTTAATTGATTGAGTGAGTGAATGGATGAAAGAATGAATTTTTTAAAAACTATAACACAAAAGCAAATGAGTCAGTGAGCAAAAAGTGAACTAAGGCAATGAAGAAATGAAGGAGTGAATGAAGAGACCTGGTCCTTGGGATCCCGAGGTCCCTATCCTCAAACAACTCCCCGTAAATGCCAGCCCCAGAGGCCCGATGCATCCACCTTGCCCGTCCACAGGCAGCCTTTCGTCCAGCAAGGCATCCCAGGACCGAAAGCTGACGTCGACGCCTCGTGAGATCGCCAAGTCCCCGCACAGCACCGTGCCCGAGCACCACCCACACCCCATCTCGCCCTATGAGCACCTGCTTCGGGGCGTGAGTGGCGTGGACCTGTATCGCAGCCACATCCCCCTGGCCTTCGACCCCACCTCCATACCCCGCGGCATCCCTCTGGACGCAGGTGATTGCCCTGGGGCTCCCAGAACCCTGCAGTGGTGCTGAACAGGGCCACGGACCTCATCAGTGTTCGCTCAGGGACTCCTTAGGCATCAACTGTCAGGTTCCCCTGGATGGCGAAACTGAGGCCTCGGGATTGGAAGACCCAACAGTGTAATCATGAGCTTAGGTTGGAGCAGAATTTCTCTTAGTAGTTTGCAGGACATGTGGGGTTAAACATTTCAGTGGTTTTCTTTTCCGGCAGGACTTATCAGTGCCTTTAGCAATGCAAAGGTATAGAATGAGGACTTGAGTATATGCATTTTTCAAATAGACATGATCTGAAAGTCTTTTTTAAAAGTTGCCGGGCACGGTGGCTCACACCTGTAATCCCAGCACTTTGGGAGGCCGAGGCAGGCGGATCACAAGGTCAGGAGATAGAGACCATCCTGGCTAACACGGTGAAACCCCGTCCCTACTAAAAATACAAAAACTAGCCGGGTGTGGTGGCGGGCGCCTGTAGTCCCAGCTACTCGGGAGGCTGAGGCAGGAGAATGGCGTGAACCCGGGAGGCGGAGCTTGCAGTGAGCCAAGATCGCGCCACTGCACTCCAGCCTGGGCGACAGAGCGAGACTCCTTCTCTAAAAATAAAAGAAATTAAAAAAAAAGAAATAAAAAAAGTTGCATCCCTTTGGAGTGTTAATCTGCATTGGGATGTCCTATGTTTGGGACAACTTTGATGCAAAAAGCATCCTTCGTAGAAGTCACCCTCTTGTGTCCTGGCGTGATGTTTTCCTGCTGTCCGACGCTCAGTTCTGGTTTGTGCTTTGGGCAGCCACACATGTAGGTGGGAGAAGCTGTCCGGGTGCAGAAGTAGGGGGCATCCAGACAGGTGGAGCGACACCATCAGGCCTAGGTATGGCTGGCCTCACATGAGCTCCCCTCTGCCCCGCAGCCGCTGCCTACTACCTGCCCCGACACCTGGCCCCCAACCCCACCTACCCGCACCTGTACCCACCCTACCTCATCCGCGGCTACCCCGACACGGCGGCGCTGGAGAACCGGCAGACCATCATCAATGACTACATCACCTCGCAGCAGATGCACCACAACGCGGCCACCGCCATGGCCCAGCGAGCTGATATGCTGAGGGGCCTCTCGCCCCGCGAGTCCTCGCTGGCACTCAACTACGCTGCGGGTCCCCGAGGTGAGTGGGTGGGCAGACCACCTCCGCTGGGTTTGGCCTTATTCCCAAAGGACATGGGCGTGCCCCTGTGGCCTCGCGGAGGCAGCTAGACCTGGTCACCTTGTGGGTCACCTTGTGTGAACGGACCTGAGTGGGTGGCCTGGGGTTGTGCGTGCTGTGGGTGCTGGTTGGCATCTGGTAGGTGAGTGCACAGCGTGTGGCTCCTGGCTGCATCCTCAGTGGGTGTGCGTGCATCTGTGTATACTCTTAGGATACAGGGGCCTCAGGAGTTTAAAGATCAAAATGTGGCCGGGCACAGTGGCTCATGCCTGTAATCCCAGCACTTGGGGAGGGCGAGGCAGGTGGATAACAAGGTCAGAAGTTCGAGACCAGTCTGACCAACATGGTGAAACCCGTCTCTCCTAAAAATACAAAAATTAGCCAGGCATGGTGATGCGCACCTGTAGTCCCAGCTACTCACTAGGCTGAGGCAAGAGAATCACTTGAACCCAGGAGGTGGAGGTTACAGTGAGTGGAGATTTTACCATTGCACTCCAGCCTGGGCAACAGGGCAAGACTGTGTCTCGAAAAAAAAAAAAAGATGAAAATGTGAGGCTGTTTGGAGTTTGTTCCTTTGCCTTGTAAACAGCCCACAGCTGCTTTGCGTGCACACGTTCCAGGGCCATCCTCAGAAATGCTTCTGGAATAACCAAGTTCTAGCTGGGGCTCAGCTGGAAAAGCTGAAGTCACACTTAAGTATTTTGAACAGTGAGGATTGAATACAGGGAATGGATTGTGTAGGCGTCAGAGGCTGAAGGGGCACAGAGGGCCTGAGATGGGAACCAGTGAGGGCAGCTGCAGGAGATGCCCCGGCTCGGGCTTGGGAGCAGAAGAGGAGGTGGTACCG
Organism: Homo sapiens; assembly: GCF_000001405.40. Classification (NCBI taxonomy): domain Eukaryota; kingdom Metazoa; phylum Chordata; class Mammalia; order Primates; family Hominidae; genus Homo; species Homo sapiens. Next base: position 124,340,936 of record NC_000012.12, on the reverse strand, counting down.
AGAGAACCTGAGCATTCAGAAAAGGGTTCCATGGCTGGTGCTGGGAGCCGAGGAGGGAGTGCCTGCCACCAGCTCTGCTGGCTCCAGGAGTGTGTGCCGTGCTCTCCAGGAGGGTGATCTGGCCGGTGGGCAGCCTGGCCTCTCTCCTCCCTGTGGCTACAGCCCTGGCCCAACACCTCCCGCAGGCATCATCGACCTGTCCCAAGTGCCACACCTGCCTGTGCTCGTGCCCCCGACACCAGGCACCCCAGCCACCGCCATGGACCGCCTTGCCTACCTCCCCACCGCGCCCCAGCCCTTCAGCAGCCGCCACAGCAGCTCCCCACTCTCCCCAGGTAGCGCCACTGCCCAGTCTGGGGTGGGGACCCCGGCATCCATGGGAGGCGGCTGGGGGATGGGCGGGCAGAAGCCCTGCTCTCTTTCCCACCCCAGAAGACAAAGCCAGGCTCTTCTTCGGCCCTGGGGCTGAGTCTCTGGCCTTTGGGTTTCCTAGGAGGTCCAACACACTTGACAAAACCAACCACCACGTCCTCGTCCGAGCGGGAGCGAGACCGGGATCGAGAGCGGGACCGGGATCGGGAGCGGGAAAAGTCCATCCTCACGTCCACCACGACGGTGGAGCACGCACCCATCTGGAGACCTGGTAGGGCATCAGAGCCCCCACCCCCCGCTCCGGGACTCCTTGTGGGCCGCAAGAGGCCTCCCCCTGCTGATGCCACTGACTGTCACCAGGTACAGAGCAGAGCAGCGGCAGCAGCGGCGGGGGTGGGGGCAGCAGCAGCCGCCCCGCCTCCCACTCCCATGCCCACCAGCACTCGCCCATCTCCCCTCGGACCCAGGATGCCCTCCAGCAGAGACCCAGTGTGCTTCACAACACAGGCATGAAGGGTATCATCACCGCTGTGGAGCCCAGCACGCCCACGGTCCTGAGGTGGGCCAGGTTGGCATGGGGGAGGGGGCGGGCAGGTGGATGGGTGGTCAGTAGGAGGATGAGCAGATAAGAGGATGCTTGGTGGGAGGTATATGGGAGGTGGGTGGGTGGGCAGATGTGTGGGGGTAGAAGAATAGACTATGTGTGAGTAGTGGATGGGTGGGTGGTCGGGTTAGGTGGGTGTGTGGGTCAGTGGGAAGTTAGGTTAGCTGCGTGGGTGGATGGATGGATGGATGGGGGGGTGGTCGGGTTAGGTGGGTGGGTGGGTCAGTGGAAAGATAGATGGCTGGGTTAGCTGGTTGGATGGGTGGATGATCAGGTTTGGTAGGTAGGTGGGTGGGTGGAAGGATAGATGGCCGGGTTAGCCAGATAGGTGGTTGGGTTAGGTGGGTAGGTGGGTCAGTGGGAGGATAGATGGTTAGGTTAGCTGGGTGGGTGGATGGATGGATGGGTGGGTGATAGGGTTAGGTAGGTAGGTGGGTGGGTGAGAGGATAGATAGCTGGGTTAGCTGGGTGGATGGATGGGTGGGTGGTCACGTTAGGTAGGTAAGTAGATGGGCAAAAGGATAGATGGCCAAGTTAGCTGTGTGGGTGGGTGGGTGGTAGGTAGGTAGGTAGGTAGGTAGGTAGGTAGGTAGGTGGCTAAGAGGATAAATGACTGAGTTAGCCAGATGGATGGATGGATGGATGGATGGATGGATGGATGGGCAGGTGGTTGGGTTAGGTAGGTAGGTGGGTGGGTGAGAGGATAGATGACTGGCTTAGCTGGGTGGGTGGGTGGGTGGGTGGTAGGTAGATCGGGTTAGGTAGGTAGATGGGTGGGTAAGAGGATAGATGGCTGGGTTAACTGGGTGGATGGATGGATGGGTGGGTGGGTGGTTGGGTTAAGTAGGTAGGTAGGTGGGAGGAAGGATAGATGGCCAGATTAGCCATGTGGATGGATGGATGGGTGGGTGGCTGAGTTAGGTAGGTAGGTGGGTGGGTGAGAGTATAGACGCTGGCTTAGCTGGGTGGGTGGATGGGTGGGTGGTAGGGTTAGGGAGGTAGGTGGGTGGGTGAGAGTATAGATGGCTGGGTTAGCTGGGTGGGTGGGTGGATGGGTGGGTGGTAGGGTTAGGTGGATGATGGAATGGATGGTTGGATGAGTAATTGTGGGGATGAGTGGATGGAGGCCCCAGTGGATGGACGATGAGTTGGGCGGTGGGATGAGTAGATGGGGAGGTTGTTTGGTTTGAGAATAGAATCTGTGGAGAGGGAGAGACTGAATGGGGACTGTGAGGAAAGACTTTCCCGGTCCCCCACATTTAGCAAGGCCAGCAAGGAAAAGAGGTGTCCCTCTTGCCTGGACAAAGTCCCAAGTTTCTCTGAGATGGGAGAGGCCCCTGAGTGCCCTCTGGTGACACACACTCCAGAGACTGTGGGCAGAGCTGCTTCACCAGGGGGGTGGGGTCACACCTCAACACCCTTCCCTGCCCGGAACCTTTTTTTTTTTTTTTTTTTGATGGAGTTGTACTCTGTCGCCCAGGCTGGAGTGCAGTGGTACGATCTCTGCTTACTGCAACCTCCACCTCCTGGGTTCAAGTGATTCTCCTGCCTCAGCCTCCCAAGTAGCTGCAGTTACAGGCACGTGCAACCACACCCGGCTAATTTTTATATTTTTAGTAGAAATGCGGTTTCACCACGTTGGCCAGGCTGGTCTCAAACTTCTGACCTCAAGTGATCTGCCTGCCTCAGCCTCCCAAAGTGCCGGGATTACAGGCGTGCGCCACCGCACTCAGCCTCCAGGACCTATTTAGAGGCAACTTACTCCTCCAAAATGAATTTTCATTCAAAAAAGTACTTGTGCCCCAACTTGCCGCTTGGATGCCTGAAGTCATACCTCCCCTAATCATTATTTCAATTATGAAAAATGGCATCGTTTCCCAAAAGCAGTGGCGACTTTGTCACCCCTGACTCAGACCCAGCAGGTGCATGAAGCACTAATCCCTGGCTGTGGGGAGCAGGGTTCCGCACACAGGCTCTGTGGGATATGCCCGTGACAGCCGATTCAAAAATATAATGGAGAAAACGAGTGCCTGCCCACTGCCCGCTCATGAATGAGGCTCTGGGAGGTAGAGTTAGCGAGAGATGGGGGTGCCCCCATGGAAACGCAGGGCTCCGGGAAGGCCACGTGGGTGGAGCAGCCGGCTCCTGTTCCAGCCCCAGCCCTGTGCAGGGGCAGCTGTGCCCCAGCTTCTCACTCACAGAGCTGGGAACAGCAGCTTTCTCTGTTCTCAACGCCCACCCTGGCCGCCCCCTGGCATCCTTCCCCTTGCTCTCTCACTCCTCACGTGGCTTTTTTAGCTCTTCGGGTATCCTGAGCAGGCCCAGCTCCCTCATGTGCCCCCTCCCTGAAGACCTCCTAGCCCTGCCTCAGCTTCCTTGCCGTTCTCTCCTGGTACCTCATTGACTACCTCCACACAGTTACCAGGCTCTGTAGAGCTTGGGATATCTGTTAATGTGATCGTAGTCTGTTTTCTGAATTAGATGGTAAGATGCTTGCATCCGTTTTATGACCGCTGTATTCACAGTGTCTAGAACAGTGCCTGGCACCTAGTAGCTGCTTAATCAGAAGTTTTGGAATGATGCAAGGAATGAATGAACGAATGAGTGGGATGGGTCAAACCATGACGCACAGAGTCTGGCAGGTTACAGTCAGGAGGGCAGTTTCACTCTGGGAGCAGCAGGGGATGTGGATTTATCCCAGGGCAATGGGGACTCATCGAGGGTGGTGGAGGAAGAGGGCAGCTCCCATGACTGCCTGACCGCCTTCTCTCCTCCCCCAGGTCCACCTCCACCTCCTCACCCGTTCGCCCGGCTGCCACATTCCCACCTGCCACCCACTGCCCACTGGGCGGCACCCTCGATGGGGTCTACCCTACCCTCATGGAGCCCGTCTTGCTGCCCAAGGAGGCCCCCCGGGTCGCCCGGCCAGAGCGGCCCCGAGCAGACACCGGCCATGCCTTCCTCGCCAAGCCCCCAGCCCGCTCCGGGCTGGAGCCCGCCTCCTCCCCCAGCAAGGGCTCGGAGCCCCGGCCCCTAGTGCCTCCTGTCTCTGGCCACGCCACCATCGCCCGCACCCCTGCGAAGAACCTCGCACCTCACCACGCCAGCCCGGACCCGCCGGCGCCACCTGCCTCGGCCTCGGACCCGCACCGGGAAAAGACTCAAAGTAAACCCTTTTCCATCCAGGAACTGGAACTCCGTTCTCTGGGTAAGACCACCCTGACAGCGGCCACCTTCATAGACGCGATTATCATGCGTCAAATTGCTCACGATAAAGGGGCGCGAGAAGGAGGTGCGCTGGCCAACGGCTCCCCTCGCGATGGTAAGACTTCCGGCCCGCACCCACCCCGTCTCGTGGTCCAAAGATATTTTCAGATCTCTGCTTTTTACTTTGGCCCCCGTTTTTTTTGTTGTTGGTTTTGGTATTTTGTTTTGAAGCCCATCCGTCCTCGCCGGTTTGCACGCGCTGACGACTACTCCGGCCGCGCCTGCCCCTCTGGTTTGGGGGCGCTCATCATTTGCACATCATTTTACCATGGTTTTTTTTTTTTGGATTTTTGCTTTTTTTTCTTTAATGAATGGATCTGTGATTCTGACTTCGACTGCGCCCCCATCTCCCTCTTTGCGCCTGTGTCCAGGGAGCAGGGATGGGGCTGCGGGAGGGCTCGGGCCTACGCCCCCACCTGCCGGCTGCCTGGATGCTGTCGGACTGGGGGAAGTGGAGGCAGGCGGTGCAAGGAGAAGCTGAGGCGGGGCAGGGACCTGCGCTGTCGAGGAGGAGCTGGGTCTGGCTCTTGCATCTTGCCCTGTCCCCAGCCCCTGTACCCCAGAAAAAGGGGAGCCCTCTGCCTCTGGACCCCTGCCTTGGCCCTAGTTCATGGCTCCTCTCTGTTGGACTGGGATGGCCGAGGCTATAGCCCAGGCGGGGCCCCGGGGACCCAGGGTCACTCCCAGCCACACCCCCACTTCTCACTCCGCCCCACACACTCCTTCCCCAGAGACCCATGCTGCCCCCATCTCACGCTGGCCTCGCCCGGCCTCCACCACCTGAACCCATCTCTGTCCCTTCTTGCCTAATCTCTCTCTGTGTCTCCCTCTCTGTCTGTCTCTGTCCCGGGCTCTGCATCTCTCTCCACCTCTCCCTTGGCCTCCCTGTCTCTCCCCAACACCCCTCTCTGCCTTACTGTCTTTGGGAGCCCAAACCCTACCCCTAGCTTGGGTTCCCCTTGACCCCCCCGGGGTCCCAGCCAGCTGGGAGGGCAGCCCTGCCCCTCGGGCTCCGAAACCCTGGGCCCGGTGCCTGACTCTGCACCCCCCGCCTGCCCTAGGTTACCACGGCAGCAGCTACAGCCCCGAAGGGGTGGAGCCCGTCAGCCCTGTGAGCTCACCCAGTCTGACCCACGACAAGGGGCTCCCCAAGCACCTGGAAGAGCTCGACAAGAGCCACCTGGAGGGGGAGCTGCGGCCCAAGCAGCCAGGTACGCCCCACCCAGTACCCAGGCCCCCGAAGCCCTGCACAGTGAGGACCCTCAAGGCCCCATCATGCAGATAGGAAAACAGAGGTGCCTAAAGGCCAAGGAATTGGCTGGATCATGAGGCTCAAAGGCATGGGGCTGGGATTTGGGCCCAGCAGCCCTGGGGCCAGCAGACACCCCCTGACCAGCTCTGCTCTGCCTGCAGGCCCCGTGAAGCTTGGCGGGGAGGCCGCCCACCTCCCACACCTGCGGCCGCTGCCTGAGAGCCAGCCCTCGTCCAGCCCGCTGCTCCAGACCGCCCCAGGGGTCAAAGGTCACCAGCGGGTGGTCACCCTGGCCCAGCACATCAGTGTAACTACGCGTTCTCTGCTGCTGCTTGTCACCTTTGCACCTGGGGGCACCAGGCCTGGAGAGGGGATGGGGAACCCCACAGCCCTTCTGTCCTGGCGGGGTGGCTGGGGGATCCAGGGCATGGCGCTGGGGGGATCCAGGGCGTGGGTGAGGGTGAGATCCCAAAGCCCCGAGCACCGGCACCATCACCGCCCCCTAATCCATGGGAGGAGCCTGTGATGCGAGCCGATGGCATCTTCACGGGCAATGAGGCCTTCCTGGTGGCCCAGGTTTCTCAGTGTCATGGGCTGGTCTCATCAGCCATCTGCCAACTACCAGCTTGGGACCGCTGACCACAGCCCCACTCCCATGCACACTGGGACACGGAGGCCCAGAGGGTGGCGGGCAGGTCCACAGTCACCCAGGAAGCTGGCCCCACCCAGGATTCTGCCCCGAGCTCCGTCTAGCCCCTCCCCACCCCCAGAAGGTTCTGTCAGGAGAGTGCTGCCTGACTCTGGGCCCCCCCACTTGCCTGCAGGAGGTCATCACACAGGACTACACCCGGCACCACCCACAGCAGCTCAGCGCACCCCTGCCCGCCCCCCTCTACTCCTTCCCTGGGGCCAGCTGCCCCGTCCTGGACCTCCGCCGCCCACCCAGTGACCTCTACCTCCCGCCCCCGGACCATGGTGCCCCGGCCCGTGGCTCCCCCCACAGCGAAGGGGGCAAGAGGTGAGCGAGGGATGGGGGTGCCTCTTGCTGGTCAGCCGGCGGGAGGCCTTCGTCAGCTGCCTGCCTCAGAGCTGGGTCTGAGCTCAGCTGCATATGAGGCCCGCCTGGTGCCATTGCACAGGCAAGAAATGGAGGCTCCAGGAGATGGGGGAGTCACAGAGCGGATACATAACGAATAATAGCTGATGAAAGTACATGCTGTGCTCAGTGGGTTCCAGGCACTCACGTGTACCCTTTACACACAGCCCCCCAGGAGACATAGGCAGCATTCTCCCCATTTCACAGATGAAGAAACTAAGGCCTGGAGAAGTGAATTCACTTGCCCACAGGGGCACAGTCAGTAGGTGACAGAGGGGGATTTGTTCCAGGGCTGTATGATTAGAGAGCAGCCTTTCCACACATGCACACCCACACACATGCGCACACACACACATGCACACCCGCACACATGCGCACCCGCACACACACACGTGCACACCCACACACATGCGCGCGCACACACATGCACACCCGCACACATGCGCGCGCACACACACATGCACACCCGCACACATGCGCACACACACATGCACACCCGCACACAGGCGCACCCGCACACCCCTGTAGACACAGGCACATGCACATGCTCACGCACACTCCCACTCCCACCCCCGCCCCCACCCCCACCCTGGTGAACCGTGGGGCCTCTGGGGGTCAAAAGAGAAAGAGAGGGGAGGGCCCTGAGCTCCAGGGTGAAGGAGGCGTTTTGGTGGGGGCGGGGGGGGTAATGTGTGTGCGAGGACAGACATGGCAAGACAGCAGGACATCTTTGGGGGGCAGTGGTGTAGCTGGCACTGGGGTACAACCAGAATTCAGAGCAGGGGTCAATAAACTGTGGCCCATGGGCCAGATCTAGCCCGGGCCCTCTGTTTGTACAATTCATGAACTAAAAAAATGATTTTACATTTTTAAAGGGTTGTTTAAAAAAAAAATAAAAATGATAACGATACATGCCAGAGATTACTTGTGGTCGAAAATGCCTAAAACGTTTATGATTTGGCCACGTACAGGAAAAGCGTGTGGGGCCCTGGTTTAGAGTGGAGGGAGGGTGCGCCCCCTCAGTAGGGAGACCTCTGACCACATCTGGGGCCCTTTCTCCATCCAGGTCTCCAGAGCCAAACAAGACGTCGGTCTTGGGTGGTGGTGAGGACGGTATTGAACCTGTGTCCCCACCGGAGGGCATGACGGAGCCAGGGCACTCCCGGAGTGCTGTGTACCCGCTGCTGTACCGGGATGGGGAACAGACGGAGCCCAGGTACTTCTGTGGGCACATGCGCTGCCCCCGGGATGCTCTGGTATCCCTTGCCCATCCTTGGCCCCAGTCCACCGTGGTGCCATGTGGAGAGTGACAAGGGCACAGGGCTCAGCTGGGTGACCTCAAGCCTGCCAAGCAGGTTTCACCAACTTGGGGGTGTGATACATGCCCACCCTCCCTGGGGAGACCTCAGTGGTAGCTTTCCATGCTTTGGGCTGGGATCTCAGCTGGACCAGGCCCCCGTTGACAGCCCCTGTTGAACCTCTAAGAAATAATGAGCTAGGTGTGCTGGGCCAGACCGGGGGCGATGGGTGAGGTGGGACCTGAGAAGGAAGCTGGGCCCGCTGCCCCTGGGGAAGGGCATGATCGGAACCCAATTTCAGTCCTTGGGGCTCTCTTGAGAGGGTCAGGCTGGAGCAAGTGGTCAGAGGCAGCCCACCACGCAGCCAGGCGTCTCCCAAGACACCCCTAGCCCCAGGACGGGTGAACCGCAGAGGAGATTTCAGGAGCCGTGATCTTCTACCAGGCAGGGGATGCAGGCGTGGGGGCGGGTGAAGCTTGCTTCCAAATGTCTAAGGCATCTCAGGTGGTGAGTTCCCCATCATCAAAGGCATGCAAGCTCGGCACCAAGTGAGCTGATGTGAGGTGTTTGATCCTCACAGCAGGATGGGCTCCAAGTCTCCAGGCAACACCAGCCAGCCGCCAGCCTTCTTCAGCAAGCTGACCGAGAGCAACTCCGCCATGGTCAAGTCCAAGAAGCAAGAGATCAACAAGAAGCTGAACACCCACAACCGGAATGAGCCTGAATACAGTAAGGGGCCTGCAGGCTCCCGGGGAAGCATGGGGCCACAGGTGGGCGGGTGGCCTGCCTGGGCAGCTGGAGCCGCCCAGTGGCAGAAACCCACGGTGCACCTTCGAAAGCTAAGTGGCCCTGCTGACCACCTCCCCCCAGGCCCTTTGCCTCACATTTGGGGAGCCCCAGGGCAGTTTCTTGATTTGCTGGGCTTTCCATAGGAGCTTACTGGCACAGAAGAATAGCACCCAGCACATAGTAGGTGCCCAGTGAATACCTGCATGAATACTGGGACCAGGGGTTGGATCCCTCCCACACAAGGGCCGGGCGCCTCCCACACTCAGCACCTGTGTGGCTTTGCACCCATTGACGTGGTTGCTGGGTATGAACGCCCCACTCTGCTTCCCAGTCCCTAGCACAGCGCCTGGCAGTTAGCAGATCCACCAGGGAATACGTGAGTGGGTGGGCAAATAAAGAATCTGTCACAGTCCCCGACCCCAAGAAGCCTCATCTGCCAGGGAAGTTTGGACAAATCACAGATGCTTTTCCCTTCCTGGGGCTGGAGTAGAAACCTTGCAGATAGTCACTGGCTTGCCGGGCACGGTGGCTCATGCCTATAGGCCCAGCACTTTGGGAGGATGAGGCAGGAGGATTGCTTGAAGCCAGGAGTTCGAGACCAGTCTGTGCAACATAGCAAGACCCCATCTCTACAAAAAACTTTAAAAACAGGCACACACCTATAGTCCAAGCTACTGGGGAGGCTGAGATAGGAGGATTTCTTGAGCCTCGGAGGTCAAGGCTGCAGTGAGCTATGATCACACCACTGCACTCCAGCCTGGACAACAGAGCAAGACACTGTCTTAAAAAAAAAAAAAATCTCTGACCCAGGCTGGTAACTCCAGGGCCCTGTAAGTGCAGTCCAGGGAACCGTAGCATCAGCATCCCCAGGGTACTGGTTAGAAATGCAGGCCCTTGGCCAGGCGCGGTGGCTTACGCCTGTAATCCCAGCACTTTGGGAGGTCAAGGCGGGTGGATCATATGAGGTCAGGAGTTTGAGACCAGCCTGACCAACATGGTGAAACCCCGTCTCTACTAAAAATACAAAAATTAGCCAGGCGTGGTGGCGGATGTCTGTAACCCCAGCTACTCGGGAGGCTGAGGCAGGAGAATCACTTGAACCTGGGAGGCGGAGGTTGCAGGGAGCCGAGATTGCACAACTGCACTCCAGCCTGGGCAACAGAGCGAGACTCTATCTCAAAAAAAAAAAAAAAAAGAAATGCAGACGCTTGGCCCTGTCCCAGGCCTGCTGCATGAGAACCTGCAATGCACAAGTTTCCCCAGGTGATGCCAGCACACCTGGCCTGGACCACACGGGACTGGTAGGGCAGGTAATTCCCAGAGACCTGGGGGCCTCACCCACTCTGTCACCCGCTTCCAGATATCAGCCAGCCTGGGACGGAGATCTTCAATATGCCCGCCATCACCGGAACAGGTAACCCATCCAGCCCTTGCTATATGGCTGCCCTGGTCCCCTCCGCTCCCTCCCCACCCCTGCTCCAGCTGTCATGAAGGGACGAGGAGCCTTCGCTAGTCTGGGTGTACCCCCTCATTCTGGGATGAACTAACCGCACAGTAGGATTCAGAGTCACACAACAGGCAGGCGAGGCTTGTTCCCTGTGTAGACAGGATCCTCGCTGTGCAGGGAATCTCTGGAGTTAAGATCCCCTCGGGTGGTTAGTAAGTATCAGATGCACCCTCACCAGCTGGAAACTCACCTTGCTTCTTCGCCAGCCTCAGCTGGAGATGCACATGTCTGGACGAGGGGTGGGCCTGAGCTCAGAGCACAAGCCTCCGAGTTCACTCGGGCGTTTGTTATAGCTAGAGCTTCATTCCTTAAATCCAGCCAGGGAACTGGGAAGCCTTACTTTTTCTTTCAAGATCAAATACAGGTGTGTGGCAGAGATAGGTGTAAAATTGACACGCACTTTTAAGCTGAAACTTAAGACTTCTATGATCTTTTGGACTTAGGGGTCCCTTGAGGTTGGAGCCCCATCCTCTAGGAGGGCCCCATTGTGTATTTCCTTGGTGAGTCTGGGGTGTGGCCTCTGGGGGTCACTCTGCATGGGCAGGCCTGGCCCAGTGGGGCTGAGGCAGTTTTGGGGTCGGCTGCCTCTGTGTGGGTGCCTGGTTATCCTCTGGTCCTTTGGTGGAAGCTGAGGCCAGGATGGAGGTCGGAGAGGTTTGCTGATCTTCCCTGGGGAACATTCCTGGGCCTTGAGCCCTGGGAATGGTGAGCGAAGGATAGTCGTTCAGATATTATCAGGGGGTCAGCGAGGCCTCCAAATGGGAGTCCCAACTAGGACACCTCCACCTGCCCAGTGACTAGACACCGGGGGCATTGCCAAGCCTCAGGCAACGGGAAGAAGACAATTTGGTCGAAACAACAAGAGGGTTAGAAATGAATGTTCCTGGGATGTTCTAAATCTTGAAGTAGGTGCTAGACACACAGGTGTATCTGTGTGTAAAAACTCATGGCATGGTACAGTGAAGATTTATGCTAACACTTATATATAAATATTTTGTATTTATCTTTTTAAGACACGGTCTTTCTGTCACCTAGGCCAGAGTGCAGTGGTGCAATCACAGCTCACTGCAGCCTCCGCCTCCCAGGCTTAGATGATCCTCCTACCTCTCAGCCTCCTGAGCAGCTGGGACTACAGGCATGCGCCACTGCACCCGAGTAATTTTTTATCTTTTTTGTAGAGACAGGCTCTCAATATGTTACCCAGGCTAGTCTTGAACTCCTGTCCTCAAGCTGAGGATCCTCCCACCTCGACTGATTTTTGTTTTTTGTGTTTGTTTGTTTGTCTGTTTGTTTGACAGAGTCTTGCTCTGTCGCCCAGGCTGGAGTGCAGTGGTGCAATCTTGGCTCACTGCAGCCTCTGCCTCCCGGGTTTCAGCAGTTCTTCCACCTCAGCCTCCCAAGTAGCGGGATTACAGACACCCGCCACTACACCTGGCTAATTTTTGTATTTTTAGTAGAGACGGGGTTTCATCATATTGGCCAGGCTGATCTCGAACTCCTGACGTCAGATGATCCACCCACATTGGGCCTCCCAAAGTGCTGGGATTACAGGCGTGAGCAGTCACGCCCAGCCTGATTTTTTCTTTTTATGCAGTTTTAGTCCACAAGAAGAAATTTTCCAGGCTCCAGTCTTTGCCACTCAACCTGTGTCAGACTTCACCTTTATAAATGGAGATCGTTAAGCCTGGAGCCAGCTCCATCAGGTCACGGACTCGTGGCCTTGGGTAGAAGGCCCAGTCGCGCTGCTGTGATTTCAGCACTCACCCTTGTTGGAAATGTTGCTTTTTCTTCATGCACATGGCTGTTTTTTCAAAAGTGCTGCAGAAATGTGGCCAAGACAGCAGAAAAGGTGTGAGCATCCCTGGCTACAAACGTATTTGAAACCAAAAGGGAAAAGAAAACGCAGGCAGCCAGCAGTTGCTACAGAAACGTGATTTTCAAAGCATCTGCATCACCCGCAACCTCATGGAAGCCTCGGTTTGGTTTACAAAGGAGCGAGTGGTCGGAAAGACGATTTGACCACTTTGTATTCGTATGATTCATTCGGAGCAGAAGTTTAAAACTCCATGAAACACTTGCCCCGTGGTGGGCACGGTGGAATGGGGCTTCACTGGGGGCTTTTGAAAGCAAAGGCTGGTTTAACAAAAGTTCTGAAAAGACAGCACCTCTGGGGGGTGTGCAAAGGCCCCCACCTCCACGTGGTTCACAAGAAAGAAAAAAGGGAAAGGAAATGTGGTTAACAGAAAAGGAGGTTTCCCCGATTGTCAGGAGGTGTTCTGGAAGCATCCTCTTGGGACCGGTTTGTTGATTCGACCACTTTGTCCTTGGGACTGGGCAGCTGGGCCAGCTGGGGCCGGACCAGGGCTGGTCCCGTGATTGTGTCTACTTCTGCCCTGTCCCCTGCACGCACCGTAACTGCATGGCTATGACCCCGCCCTCAGCGTCCGTCTCTGCACCTCTTTCTCCTCATGGCTCCTGGGTGGGGAGAGGCAGAGGGAGGAGAGCAGGCCCAGCTTGGTGGGGAGGTACGGGGCTGCACGTCCCATCACACAGGTGGAGGTGGGGCAGCGGGAGGACCATCTGGTCACCTTCTCTCTCTCAGTCCCTTCCCCAGCCCCCAGCCAGCCCCCAGCTCTGGCTTGAGCCAATTTTCTAGCAGCCTGTTCCCCAAACAGGGTAGCCCTCCCATCTCCCACCCTCTCCATTAAGGCCACTTGAGATTTAAAAAAAAAACAAACAAAACAGCCCCAGCTAGGATTGGAGGTGCAGACGGGGCTTGTGATTTCCCAGAGGACAGAATAGGAATGAGAATAGGGGCTGGTGGGGGCATCTGACCTCCCCTACCCCACCTCCCTGGCAGTGCCCAAGAGCTTCCGGGGCCCCAGGTAGAAGGAACCAGCCTCTCCCCTTTTATCACCACCCAGCAGGAAAAAAAGGGTGGGGAGGGATAGGGAAATAAATATGTTGCTTTGCCGAAATGTGCTCACTGTGTATTTCTCTCTCCTCCTCCTCCTCCTCCTCCTTCCCTCTCTCTCTCCCTTCTCTCTCTCTGTCGCCCCTCTGGCTCCCCCTCCCCGGCCCCCATGTGTCTGTCTGTCTGTCTGTCTCTCTCTCCCAGGCCTTATGACCTATAGAAGCCAGGCGGTGCAGGAACATGCCAGCACCAACATGGGGCTGGAGGCCATAATTAGAAAGGCACTCATGGGTAAATATGACCAGTGGGAAGAGTCCCCGCCGCTCAGCGCCAATGCTTTTAACCCTCTGAATGCCAGTGCCAGCCTGCCCGCTGCTATGCCCATAACCGCTGCTGACGGACGGAGTGACCACACACTCACCTCGCCAGGTCTGCAGGCCACCCCCGCCCCGCCCCCGTCTGTCCCCACCCCCGGTGTGATTAATCCTCGCTCCTCCGCGCTCCTCTGACAACCCCCTCCTCGAGCTTTGGAGCTTGTGACTTTATTTTTGTGCGTGTTTGACCTCGTTCTGGAGTTTGCTAATCTGAAGCTGGGCTGACACCCCCCAAGTGTCTGTACCCTCTGCCCCCCAGCCCCGGCCCTCCTGCCCACTAGGCCCGAAGCGCTGCCGCCTCCCTCGGACACTCACACTGCTGTCCGCCCCCCAGTCCTCCCGCCTTCCTCCCTGCGGGGACCCGGCTTCTTGGCCCATCTGTCTCCTTGGGGGAGAGCAGGCTGGAGTGAAGCCCCACCCACACTGTGTGGACAGGGGAATGGCAGCCAGGCCTGTGCTCAGCATCTGCCAGGCCCACTATGTGTCCTCAGCTGCCCCTTAGCCTGGTGGGGAGGAGCCCAGGGTCTGTCTCAGCCCTGGGAGTCAGGGAGCCTTAGGGGTCAGCCTGGTTCCCCATCAATACCCTCTGTATCGGGGCAGGGAGCTGAGGAGAGAGTTGCAGTTGTCCAACCTGGACACTGAGGCCCCAAGAAGCTTCTGGAGCCTCTGTGGGGGTCAGGCCTGGCCTCAGGGGTCCTGACTTCTCTGCACGGGGCCTGGATCCTGCCTAGCCTTAGCATGGTCCTGGGGCCACGCTCAAACTGGAAGCCCAGCTTCATGCTTAGGGTTCCAGCCCCTGGGGCTGGGGTCGCTGCAGGACAGCCCAGGGGGCTATTGCAAACAGCAGACAGTTTAGCCACCTCCCCCTGCCCAGCAGAAACTATCTCCACCCTCCAGGCTCATGGCTGGCCATCTGGTCAACCCTGGCTTCCCAGCTGGGGCGGGCAGCAGGGAGGAGGGGTTCACGTTACTGCTCTCCCTCCCTCTTTGGAGGGCCCATGGCAGGACCTCACCCTGCCCCTGTGGCCCCACCGTAGCGTCGGTGCTGTCTTCACTGCCCAACGCAGCCCCTTCCCATCTTGTCCCCCTGCAGGTGGCGGCGGGAAGGCCAAGGTCTCTGGCAGACCCAGCAGCCGAAAAGCCAAGTCCCCGGCCCCGGGCCTGGCATCTGGGGACCGGCCACCCTCTGTCTCCTCAGTGCACTCGGAGGGAGACTGCAACCGCCGGACGCCGCTCACCAACCGCGTGTGGGAGGACAGGCCCTCGTCCGCAGGTGGGCACCAGGTGGGGACAGGGCTGGGCTCGCTGAGCCCCCAACACTGGGCTGTGAATGCTGCCGGGGCACTGAATGCTGAGCGCCTGCTGCATGCAGAGCTCAGACTCGGGCCTGTTCTGTGGAAACGCTGTCCAGGGGCCTGGGCAGCTGAGCCTGGCTCACGAACCATCAGGATGCTTCTGCCAGGGGCACAGGCAGAGGAAAAGGGTGTGGTTGGGGCCGGCCAGATCACATGGGCCTGGTGGACCATCCAGGGGAGCCTGGACTTCCTTTGATGGGTAGTGAGGAGGCGTGGAGGGCTTTCGGAAGGGAAATGCTCATCTAACATAGGGTCAGAAGGCCCCTGGGAGAATAGACCAGAGGGACGGTGAATAGGCTACTGCTATAGTCCAGGCAAAAGACAGCGGCAGGGTGTGAACAGGGACGGAAGTAGAACAGGTGAAGAGAGGCAGACGGTTCTGAGACCTGTTCGCAATTAGAAAGGTCTGGGAGGACTGTTGGACAGAAACGCTGAGGCCTCTGTTCCCGGTGTGGTGGGCAGGCGGCCAGCAGGGGCTGCCGGGCTCACAGAGGCCTCCTGGGCATCTTTCGCTTCTTCCCGCAGGTTCCACGCCATTCCCCTACAACCCCCTGATCATGCGGCTGCAGGCGGGTGTCATGGCTTCCCCACCCCCACCGGGCCTCCCCGCGGGCAGCGGGCCCCTCGCTGGCCCCCACCACGCCTGGGACGAGGAGCCCAAGCCACTGCTCTGCTCGCAGTACGAGACACTCTCCGACAGCGAGTGACTCAGAACAGGGCGGGGGGGGGGGCGGTGTCAGGTCCCAGCGAGCCACAGGAACGGCCCTGCAGGAGCAGGGCGGCTGCCGACTCCCCCAACCAAGGAAGGAGCCCCTGAGTCCGCCTGCGCCTCCATCCATCTGTCCGTCCAGAGCCGGCATCCTTGCCTGTCTAAAGCCTTAACTAAGACTCCCGCCCCGGGCTGGCCCTGTGCAGACCTTACTCAGGGGATGTTTACCTGGTGCTCGGGAAGGGAGGGGAAGGGGCCGGGGAGGGGGCACGGCAGGCGTGTGGCAGCCACACGCAGGCGGCCAGGGCGGCCAGGGACCCAAAGCAGGATGACCACGCACCTCCACGCCACTGCCTCCCCCGAATGCATTTGGAACCAAAGTCTAAACTGAGCTCGCAGCCCCCGCGCCCTCCCTCCGCCTCCCATCCCGCTTAGCGCTCTGGACAGATGGACGCAGGCCCTGTCCAGCCCCCAGTGCGCTCGTTCCGGTCCCCACAGACTGCCCCAGCCAACGAGATTGCTGGAAACCAAGTCAGGCCAGGTGGGCGGACAAAAGGGCCAGGTGCGGCCTGGGGGGAACGGATGCTCCGAGGACTGGACTGTTTTTTTCACACATCGTTGCCGCAGCGGTGGGAAGGAAAGGCAGATGTAAATGATGTGTTGGTTTACAGGGTATATTTTTGATACCTTCAATGAATTAATTCAGATGTTTTACGCAAGGAAGGACTTACCCAGTATTACTGCTGCTGTGCTTTTGATCTCTGCTTACCGTTCAAGAGGCGTGTGCAGGCCGACAGTCGGTGACCCCATCACTCGCAGGACCAAGGGGGCGGGGACTGCTGGCTCACGCCCCGCTGTGTCCTCCCTCCCTCCCTTCCTTGGGCAGAATGAATTCGATGCGTATTCTGTGGCCGCCATCTGCGCAGGGTGGTGGTATTCTGTCATTTACACACGTCGTTCTAATTAAAAAGCGAATTATACTCCAGTTACAAAGGTTTCTTCTCTACCTCAGACTGGGCAGCCAATAGGGCAGGCGTTTAGGGGACAGTGGGAGTATACCCCTGGAGGGCCAAGGCCACATCCGCCTGAGTCACCAGGGAGTGGATCCTTTTGCAAGTTGAATATTTATACCCTTGGTAAGGACATCACCATGAGGACATCAAATAGTCACATCTGTGGTGAAGGTCTCAAGTGTTCACACCCATGGTAAGAGTGTGTCAGATGTTCACATGGGTTCACACCCATGTGTCAGGTATTCACATGATGGTCAGGGTGTCATGTTCACACTCATGGTGAGAGGGTGTCAGGTATTCACACCCATGTATCAGGTATTCACACCATGCTGAGGGTGTCAAGTAGTCACACCCATGGTAAGAGTGTCAGATGTTCATACTCATGGTGTTAGGTATTCACACCATGGCGAGGGTGTCAGATGTTCACACATGGTGTCAGGTGTTCACACCATGGTGAGGGTGTCATGTTCACACTCATGGTGTCAGGTATTCACACCATAGTGAGGGTGTCAGATGTTCACACATGGTGAGAGGGTGCCAGGTATTCATTCCCATGTGTCAGGTGTTCACACCGTGGTGAGGGTGTCAAGTGGTCACACCATGGTGAGAGGGTGTCAGATGTTCACACCCATGTGTCAGGTATTCACACCATGGCGAGGGTGTCAAGTCACACCCATGGTGAAGGTGTCAGATGTTCACACATATTGAGAGGGTGTCAGGTATTCACACTCATGGTGAGGATGTTAGGTGTTCACACTCATGGCAAGAGTATCAAATATACACAGGGTGAGGGTGTTGGGTATTCACACCCATGTGTCAGGTGTTCACACTCATGGTGAGGATGTTAGGGGTTCACACTCATGGCAAGAGTATCATATACACAGGGTGAGGGTGTTGGGTATTCACACCCATGTGTCAGGTGTTCACACTCATGGTGAGGATGTTAGGGGTTCACACTCATGGCAAGAGTATCACATATACACAGGGTGAGGGTGTTGGGTATTCACACCCATGTGTCAGGTGTTCACACTCATGGTGAGGATGTTAGGTGTTCACACTCATGGCAAGAGTATCACATATACACAGGGTGAGGGTGTTGGGTATTCACACCCATGTGTCAGGTGTTCACACTCATGGTGAGGATGTTAGGTGTTCACACTCATGGCAAGAGTATCACATATACACAGGGTGAGGGTGTTGGGTATTCACACCCATGTGTCAGGTATTCACACTCGTGAGGATGTTAGGTGTTCACACTCATGGCAAGAGTGTCACATATACACAGGGTGAGGGTGTTGGGTATTAACACCCATGTGTCAGGTGTTCACACTCATGGTGAGGATGTTAGGTGTTCACACTCATGGCAAGAGAATCACATATACACAGGGTGAGGGTGTTGGGTATTCACACCCATAGTGAAGGTGTCTAGTATTCACACCCGTGGAGTCCAGAATGGCCATCACTTCCTAATTGTAGTATTCTAATGTCATCCCTGCCCATAGAGATCATGACCGGGGATGTCCTGGTGTGTTTTGAATACAGGCAGGAGAGAGAGCAACTCCTGCCAGCTTGTTCAGGTGCCTCTTGGGTTCAAGTCTACCACATCTTGGGTGTGCCCTGTCTTGTGTCCGCAGCATCCCTTCTGGAGCAGAGTGGAACCTGGGAATGGCCACAGTTCTTCACTATTGACCCAGTCACCCTCGGCCTTGTCCCTTGGTGCCAGTGGCCTGGCCCTCCCCCTCATTTACCTGCCCTTTCCGTATGCTGCCACAGCAGCACGGCTGCCCCTCCACACTCCCCCAAAGCCTGACACCCCACCTGGTGCCCGGTCCCGTGTGCAGTGTCAGTCCCCAGAGCCAGATTGGGTGGCTGAGCTGGAAGAGCGTGAGAGAGACTTCATATGCCCACTGGCCCCCAGGTATAGCTACAGGCGCCCTGGCATGGGGAGTGCACTGGGGCCCCCTGTGGTGCCACTGCCTGCTTCCCTAGAGAGAGGAAGCCCACCCTTGCCCTGGAGCTTCCCCTGCTGGTCCAGAGTGTCTTGAAGCCTCCTGGTAGGGTTTCCATCTGGACAGCCCCATCACAACCTCTTAGCCATCCTATGTCCCCAAGCCCATGGGGACAGCGCTGGCCTGAGTGTGGCCGCTGAGGCCTGCCCCCATCCTAGAGCAGAGGTCAGAGAACCTTTCCTCTTGGCAGAGCCATGAGGTCAGCTCTGCCCCAATAGCATTCCTGGAGCCACTGTGGAGTGAAGACCCCCAGTCTGTGTCCCACTCCACCCAAGACCCACCAGACATGTAGACAGTTGGCAGCCAGGAAACGCCTGCCCTGCAAAAGCTGAGTCTTGCTGGGTGGGTTCCCAGGGTGGCCCCAGCTTCCCAGGCCCCTAAAAGCTTTCGGAGTACAAAGGGGGTGGGAGGTGGGTCCTCTGCCCCTCATGGGCGCAAGATAATCTGCAAAGCAGGGCATGCTCTTTTTGTTCTTCCTTCAGAAGTGCGTCTGAGTCATGCTAAGCGTGGGGATACCCAGGGTCCTGGAATTCTGCCTGTCCCCATCTCTCAGCCTTCATGCCCAGGCAGTCTGGGATGCTGACCTCAGTTCACCCAGAAAGAGGCAGTCCCAAATCCCCAAAGAGGGCCCACCCTGGCCCAGCTACTGGTAAGCAGGGACAAAGGGGTGGTGCCAACACAGATGGAATTCATCCTTGGGGGCTCTGATGGGGATTTGCCAGCAAGGATAGCCAAGGCTGGGGGTCCCTGGCCCTGTGCTGGTGTCTGACCAGCCTCACATCCAGCACTGCAGAAACCAGCCCCACAGGACTGGGGGGCAATGAAAGGGAGAACCATGGTCTGCTGGAAGCAGAAATTGCCACCTTCTGCCCTGACCTTCCCAGGGGACCCAAAGCCTCCAGGGCCCAGGCTTGCCCAGGGTCCTGCCTCCCCTGGAGTGGGGACCAGGGAGGAGGGGCATCCTCAGGGGCTCTGCCCAGCCTCACTGGCTCTCGGTGTCCCACCCTGATTACTGTGCCCAGGTTAAAAATAAGCAGAAGCCTTGGGCCCATGCAGGACCTGGATTCCAGCTTGGTGACTGTGATCTGTGTGAACTTGGGGATGCTTTGGGTGCCCTCTGGGCCTTGGTTTCTCATCTGTGCGCTGGGCTTTCATGCGTCCCAACAGGGCTGAGCCTGGTGCTGGGCTGTAGTTCTGAGGCCGGCAGGCAGATGGCAGTGTGGGGCCGGCAAAGGGCACTGTCCCAGGCAGGCCTGCCCTCCACCCAGGGCACAGAGTGGCCCCTACCCAGAATCCAGGATGGGTTGGGGTGTTGGTCATGCCAGCCGCCAGGGGTTACCCACTCACATCGGTGAGGCCCAAGATCCCACAGCACCTTGTTGAGCCACCAGTTAGACCAGAGAGATGGGAGTGGATCACAGGGCTCAGCCCTCACGGTCATCACCATCAGCCCCTGTCTCTGTGCCTCTGAATTGGTACCACTCAGCACCATGGCGTATCTTCTCTGAGGACCAGGGACTTAGACCCAACCCAGGCGGTTGTTTGCAGGTGCATGGAAAGCTCGCAGCCTCCTGCCCTCAGAGGGTCCACTCTGTCTCCCAGCTACAGCCAGTTGGTCCTCAGCCTTCAAAGAGGTCATCCTACCTACCCCCAAAGAGGTCATCCCACCTACCCCCAAAGAGGTCATCCCACCTACCCCCAAAGAAAGAGGTCATCCCACCTACCCCCAAAGAAAGAGGTCATCCCACCTACCCCCAAAGAAAGAGGTCATCCCACCTACCCCCAAAGAAAGAGGTCATCCCACCTACCCCCAAAGAAAGAGGTCATCCCACCTACCCCTAAAGAAAGAGGCCATCCCACCTACCCCTAAAGAAAGAGATCATCCCACCTACCCCCAAAGAAAGAGGTCATCCCACCTACCCCTAAAGAAAGAGGTCATCCCACCTGCCCCCAAAGAGGTCATCCCACCTACCCCTAAAGAGGTCATCCCACTTACCCCTAAAGAAAGAGGTCATCCCACCTACCCCTAAAGAAAGAAAGAGGTCATCCCACCTACCCCTAAAGAAAGAGGTCATCCCACCTACCCCTAAAGAAAGAGGTCATCCCACCTACCCCTAAAGAAAGAGGTCATCCCACCTACCCCTAAAGAAAGAGGTCATCCCACCTACCCTTAAAGAAAGAGGTCATCCCACCCGCCCCCAAAGAAAGAGGTCATCCCACCTGCCCCCAAAGATGTCATCCCACCTACCCCCAAAGAAAGAGGTCATCCCACCTGCCCCTAAAGAAAGAGGTCATCCCACCCACCCCCAAAGAAAGAGGTCATCCCACCTCCCCCCAAAGAAAGAGGTCATCCCACCCGCCCCCAAAGAAAGAGGTCATCCCACCCGCCCCCAAAGAAAGATGTCATCCCACCCCTGTCTTATGTGGCTTTTTCACTGCTGCATCTTTAAAATGAAGACTCATGCTGTTCCCCTGACCCCCATCTCCCTGGAAAACCCCTATACACACTTCAAAACCCAGCTGGGGCATTACTTCCTTGAAGAGCACACTGCCCTGGCCTATCTTCTCTCCCCTCTGGGTCTCTGATAACACAGTGCAATCCTTGTCTCAAACCCGACGGAACCCTCGAGGGGCAGAGCTCTTGTCTTTCTCCTCCTGACCCTGCCTTTGGCTCTGAACCTCCCTGGCAAGTGTGTTGTGAAGTGACGCTGCGAGTGTCTAGTTCTCAAAAGAAAGCTAGAAAGAGCTCTGTAAAGGACAGTTGGTGGCAAATGTCACCATGTCTTAGGACATCGAGAAGTTGGTTAAATGCAGATTCCTGGGTCCACCTAGACAGTCTGATGATGCTCTAGGTCCAGGGTGGGGCCCAGGAATCTGTGTTTTCAACAAGCAGCCCAGGGGTTTCTGGTGGGGGTGGTTGACGACCCTCACCATGATGGCAGGGGCGGTGCCCAAGGTTGGAGCTAGGCCTTCACCTGGAACCTGGCTCCTTCGCTTCCATCTGATCAGGAGGTCTCCAGTAAGTGCACAAAAGTCTCTGTAGAAGGAGACCTGGCCACCAGCCCCAAGAGCTGCTGCCCCACAGGGCAGCAAAGGACTGGTCCCAAAGACCCTGGGGTTGGCTCCAGACAAGCTTTCCTGGGATGACACAGATAAACTGGAGCAGTCAGGGTGGCTTCCTGAAGGAGGCAGGTCTAGGGAAGGGAATAGGCTGAGAGGAGAAAACCTGTGTGGGCAAAGGCTAGGAGGTGAGGCCCAACCAAGGACCCTCGGGAGCCCACGACCATGGGCTGGACGTGAGTCCCTGTGGGGGCCCAGGAGTGTCTGGGGTGGTGAGCCGTTGCTTAATAAGGTAACTTGCCGGTTTTCTGAAATCAGGGCAGTTTTGTCTCGCAAGGGTGCTGATGGATTGTGAGGGAGAATTAGACCTGGGAGGCCAGTGTGGGACCAGGATAAGGGGCTGGCACAGTGGAGAGGCCAGGACACAGCCCCCTTGCCCTGGGGAGGGGATCGGGGACAGACACCATGGCGTGAGGGGGCAGGGGGCTCGGGGATCAGCACGATGCAAAGGCATGTCACGGCCAGCTGCCTGGTCCTGGCCCCGTCATTCGACCCCACCACGGCTCAGTTTCCGTGTCTGTCGAATGGGGTGGTGGTATTGCTATAGGGAGTGACTGCTTCCTAAAAGCTATTGGGTTTTTTTGGTTTGGTTTGTTTGTTTGTTTTTTTACATAGCCGCTGTTTGCTCACCTGTATGGGAATCAGATAGTGGCCAGAGGCAAAGGACAAAGGCAGAGGTGGGGAGGGAGGAGAAGCTGCAGGAGGTCGGCAGCAGTGGCTCATTTGCAAATCTGGGGAGCTGGCGCTGGTGGAAGGGTTCTCTGGCCATTCCGTCCTTGAGAGGCTAAGGAGGGCCATCAAAGAAAATTCAGTCGTTTACAGATTCTTTAGAAAGCCGAGAGGGCTCAGCGGTCTGCAAGCCACCAGCTGTCCTCACAGGGACACTTCCTCTGGAGGGAGGCCGGGGGCACACGCTTCGTTCGCAGGATTCTCCTCACCTCTTGCAGGGCCGTCGTGAAGATGAAACAGATTAAATACACGACATGCTCCTAGCAGGGCCAGGCACAGTGTGGGTGCTACGCAGGCCCTGGTTTTCATTCCCATTCTGGCAGGAAGAGATGGGACCAGTGTCAAGTTCAGTGGACTTGCAGGGAAAGAGCACCGTGTACAGGGCAAGGAAGGGGGCTGCCGAATCTGATTTTAGGTCTGGGAGGTAGAGACCTTCCGCTCATTTTGCAGATGCTTAGGGAAGTGAAGTGACCTGTTCCTTTTCCAGCGACGAGGCCCATCCTTTGTCAGTTTCCCCTCCCCAGGGCCTGGTGGGTGACAGTTGCCCCTCTGAGGGCATCACCGGGGTCTTGCATGGCACATTGAATCTTGCACATCTGGTGTGCCTGGGCTGGGGGGAGATGGGGAAAGGCGCTATAGCCAGCAGCACGTGAAGGCTGGGCAGTTGAGGACAGCAGCCAGTCTCTGTTTCAGGGATGGAAGTCCCCAAGGGCTAGGATCAGACAGAACCGATGCCTCTTTCTGCCTGTCTCCAGGTCTTTTGGGTTCCCCTAGGACAGACGAGCTGCTTTAAGGGAAAAGCAGGTGCACTTGGGGGCCTTAGATTGGTTGCCCTTGCCCTCTCCTTCCGCCTTGTGCCTGGCTGGGCTTCCCTGGGCCCCTGCATGACCAGCAGGCAGGCTGGGCCTCCAGCATCATCAGCAAAGGCGACAACCATTTGTGTGGTAGAGCCACTGCAGGAGGTCCACAAATTGCAGGCTCTCAGAGGCGGGCGTGTTCTCCGGGTTCTCCAGGAAACGGGCTGAGATGGAGTTAGGAGGGTAAGAGGTTTTGCAGGGTAATGCCTGTGAAAGGGGAGTGAGGAACGGGACGGGACAGGAAGAGTCTGGCAGGCCACGCAGAGCTGACGATTTCAACGGACTCCACCTGAGCTCCAGCGCAAGACCGATCCCAGGGGAACCTCCATGTTTGTTGAATTCATTGGCACTATAATTGCAAGTGTCGGAAAGCCTTATCCATTTTCCCTTCGAGATGGTGAGAGATCAAGGTTGTGATTGAAAATCAGGCTTGTGGAGTTGAATTTGCATGGATTAAGGAAGGTGCAAAGAATGCCACCCCCAGCAGGCATCTGTAGGGAATCCCATGAGTAAAGCAGGGCTCGGGTCTTGAGGCGTGCTTCTGTCCGTGTAGACCAGTGGAGGCCTCAAGATTCGTCCTCGAGTTGATGTGAACCTGTGTTGGACTCAGCCTCTCTGGCTTCCATCCCCCCTTCCCTGTTAGGGGCCATCCTCCATCAAAGCAGGCAGCCGGTGGTTTAGAGTGTCCCGGATCTTGGGTTCAGATCCTGTCTCTGCCTCCTACCAGCTGCATCCTACCAGTGTGGGCAAATGACTTAACCTCTCTGTGCCTTACTTTCTCCTCTGTGAAGTGGAGATGCGGTTGCATCCATGTCAGCGGGTAGGGATGGCATGCAAGTTTTCATATGCAATGTTTCCTACAGAGCCTGAAATCCAATGAGTGCTCTGAATTAGCACGCATAGCATTCCCACTAGTGTTAGCTTAACCACTGCCAGACCAGGGTGTGGACCTCAAGAGGCTACCACCAGTCCTGACCATGGCACTCTTGTGACACATCCCCTCGGAAGACCTGTCCCCAGCAGCCTCTGGGGACACTCCCTTATCCCCTGCCCCCACCAACTCCAGAGCCTGGGAGCAAATTCTAGTCTGATTTTCCAGTCTGACTCACTGTCCCCTGGCTGCCGAGTGTTCCCTTTAACACACTCACTATCTCCATGGAGCCCCATGGGCCTCTCCAAGGGCGAGATGGAGAGAAACAGATTGTAAGGTGCGTCCCAGCCGCCTGCTCCGCAGTGGCAGCCAGGGCCCTTCTCCAGGGATGCTGTGGGTTGAGGGGCTTGCCAGAGCTGACGACCAGGATATGGAGCTGCAGATATGCACGCCATCCAAAGTGCAGATGCCCGGGCCCATCCAAGGAGCTGCCCCCCAGATCTGAGTCCCCAGGTAGGTCCCAGGCCTCTGCATTTATTAATTAGCTCTTGGGTGGAGCTGGCGTGTGGAGGTGGTGTACGCTTAGGCTGTCTACAGGGGTGGGGGCTGAGTCCTTCTTTGTTCCTTTGATCAGGGCCAAGGCCAGCTCCTTAGGGCACAAGCTCCGAGTGGAAAAAAAGTGATGGCCACACAGGAAAAGGGGCCTGGAGACCCATCTTCCCCTTCCCCAACCCCAGCGGGAGCTGAAGGTCTCACAGACAGAAAAGGAAGTCCCGTTGGGTTTGCACAGTTTATTAAGATAATCAATCAATTTCTTAAGTTATTCCTTTGTTAACCAGACAGCATCTCTGGAGAGAAAATGCACTCTCTGTGTAGATACATAAAAATACATCAGTCATTTTGCCCCTCCTGGATGTGAACGGAATCTCCCCTCCTCACCTCCACAGAGGGAGCTCAAGCCCCAGGGAACCTTCCCCTCCCCTTTTATGCATTACCAGGGGAGTGGCAGGGGCAGCCCCCAACTGTGGAGTGCATTCAGGTCTGAGGGGGGAGGAAGGCTCAGAGGGGCATCTCCCCAGCACCCTGCCACAGTGCTGGCTTCTGGGGTGTTTGTTCAGCGGCCTGCTGGGCTGCCCCAGGCTGGGGGCTCCCCCAGCTCCCCGTGCATCCTGGCTTGTTCCACGGAGCCCTGAGCCAAGTCTTTGTCTGGCTCATGTTCCTCTCACAACATCCCACAGGCAGGGGTGAGCCTGCCGCAGGAAGGAGTAAGGTGCTGTCATTGCGGAATCGATTGCGCACAGGAATGCAGGCTGAGGGCGGCAGCCCGGTCCCCTCAGTGTCTCTTTAAACCGACAGCTGAGCTCCGACTCCCTCGAGTTCAGACCCGGCCTCACACAGGTGGCAGCATTTCCGAGAGCTTCACCGCCTCCACTGGGCACTTGGTTTTGACATCAAGGGTTCTCGTCCTGGAGGTGGTGCGTGGATGGGTGTTAGCTGGGGACGCCCTGCAGGTGAGGCTCCAGAGGCTGAGCACCAACCTTTCCATTTCGACGGGCAGTGCCCCAAATCTTTGACACTGGAGGGCACGGGACACTGGCAAGGCCATGGCTCAAAGTATTTCTAGGCCTTCCCCGCCCCCAGTATCACCACCTCCAGCGCTGGCATCAGCATCCGGCCTTTGCCCAACCTCCTGGCTCAACATCCGCCAGAGGTGGCTCAGCCACAGCTCCAGACCTCTCGGTGCAACCTGCATGTGTGCGAAAAGGCTGTTTTGGAAATACCCCAGGCCAGCAGCAGGGAAGAGAGGTACCCCTCTTCCCTCACACATGGCCTTGGCCACCAGCCTAGGACACATGGGGTGGCAGGGCTCTGGGGGAGTGGCAGCCGTCCCCACCGGCTGAGGCTGGGATGCCTCTGTCCTCACACTGCTCGGGGCTGTTCTCTGCTTCAAGGGCACTCCATGGACCCATTCTTTTCCCCTGACCCTGGGGGTGGCCACCACCTAACAGTGCATGCCCCTACCGCCTTGCCAGCTTAAGTGCTAAAAAAATAGATGCTTTTACTGAGTCCTTGACACCAAAACAAGGAGACCACCACCTAGCCTGTAGGTCAGGGCAGGCAGCGGGGAGCCGCCTCCTTCCACACGGGTCCTTGGTCTGGCAGCCTCCCTTCCCGCCTCCTGCCCGAGTGCCAGGCCGAGCTCATCGTGTCCATCCTCCCGGCTTCTCCCCAGGGCTCCCGGCTCCTCCAGCACCCCGGGCCGGCCCCAGCCCCGTCAGAGCGTGGCAGGGCCCAGGAGGCTGGGGGCAGGGTCCTGGCAAAGCTGCAGCTGCACGCTGGCGGTGAACCAGCGGCTGGGCCGGCCCAGGCTGCAGTGCAGGGTGGTCCGGAAAGTGCTCCTGGCATGCTTGGGGAAGATGATGGTGGTGCTGCGGAAGCGCAGGGCGCGCGGGCGTGGCTCCAGGGTCAGCTGGCTGCGGTAGTTGCGCCACGTGCAGTTGGGTGCTGCCACGATGGTCTCGCTGTAGGCCGTGACGGTGGGTACGGGCGCATAGAAGACCTTGTCCTGGAAATGCTTCTCCGAGGCGTACTTGACCTCAGAGTTGCAGCTGGAAAGGGCAGGAGGGAAGCGGAGTGAACCCAGGATTGGGGGCAGCCCGATTCCCTGCCCTCAGCATGGACACGAAAGGGCCCTGGGCAGATGCTCTGAAGCCTAACGGGTGTGGGCTGCTCTGAAATGTCAAGGTCAAGAAGGTCAAAGAAGGACTGAGGGACTGTCTTGGCTTCACAGAGACTAAAGAGGCGAGACAGCTAAACGCAATGAAGGACCCTGACTGGATCCTGAACTGGGGAGAAAAGTAAGCCAGGAAAGGACCTTATCGGGACGATGGGTGAAACTGAGCCGTGTCGTGTGGGTTAGGTGCTGGCGTCACCGTGTGCACTTCCCTGACGTTGACAACTATGCTGCTGTCATGGAAGAGGATGTCCCTGTTCTTAAGAGACACACTGAAGTATCTGGGGGCTAAAGGGCAGGATGTCACCAATCTCCTCTCAAATAGGGCAAGATATAAACAACCAGTGAATCTGTTTGAGAGGCACATGCAACCTTTTTTTTTTTTTTTGAGACGGAGTCTCGCTCTGTCACCCAGGCTGGAGTGCAGTGGCGCGATCTCGGCTCTCTGCAAGCTCCGCCTCCCAGGTTCACGCCATTCTCTTGCCTCAGCCTCCCGAGTAGCTGGGACTACAGGCGCCCGCCACCATGCCTGGCTAATTTTTTGTAATTTTTAGTAGAGACGGAGTTTCACCGTGTTAGCCAGGATGGTCTCGATCTCCTGACCTCGTGATCCGCCCGCCTCGGCCTCCCAAAGTGCTGGGATTACAGGCATGAGCCACCACGCCCAGCCGCAACCTTTTAAAAAGTTTGAAATTATATCAAAATACGTTTTCCAAGAAGTCCCTTCAACACCCTTGGAGGAGTGACCGACTAGTATCCCCCAGTTCCACGTCCAGAGCTTTAGGAAATCAGACTGGAAGCTCTGGGAAGGAGAGAATCCTCCCCATCTCATTCCCCACTGAACCCCCAGAGGTGATCACAGAAGACTTGTGAAGGGATCAGAGGTCCCGAGGGTCAAGGCATCCATCCTCCACCCTTGCTGGGCTTCTGATGATCTAATTTTGGCTTGCATTTTAAAAACTAGACAATGAAGGCTGTTTGGGGATTGAAAAATAATTTAGAAGTGGACTCGTTTGTCTCCTGGGACCATTGCCTGGCTGGCAGGGGCAGCAGGCAGTGGGTCTCAGACACTTGGCTGGCCCCACTCAACAGGGACGAGTGGATGGAGAGAGCCCCATAGATATGTGGGTAAGACTCACGGATCCCACACTCCATCCTTGGGAAGCCTGAGCCCCAGCAGCTTCAGAGGAGGGCAAATCGATGTGGGATGTTCCCAAGCAGGGGTGCCTTAATTCAATTCGGATGCCACCTAAGATGTCATATGCGTCATATGCATGGGAGGGCACCCAATACACTTACAGTGCAGTAGCTCATGGGTGGCCTCAAGAACCTAAGTTACAGTCACAAAGAACATGGAGCAGCTGGACAACTGTCCCCTAATGCTTGGACAACAGAGTGGAAGGCGGTCCTGAGTTGCCTGAATGGTTTGGTTGTGAATACCTAACAATCTGTCAGGGGCTGGGCATGGTGACTCACACCTGTCATCCCAGCATTCTAGGAGGCTGAGGCAGGAGGATCACTTGAGCCCAGGAGCTGGAGACCAGTCTGGGCAACATAGTGAGACCCCATCTCTACAAAAAATACAAAAATTAGCTGGCCATGGGGGCGCACACCTGCAGTCTCAGCTACTCGGGAGGCTGAGGTAGGAGGATTGCTTAAGCCCAGGAGGTTGAGGCTGCAGTGAGCCATGATCCCACCACTGCACTTCAGCCTGGGTGACACAGTGAGATCCCATCAAAAAAAAAAAAAATCTGGCAGGAGAAGGGAGGTAGAGTTAGGGTGCACAAGTGGTTATGTTCATAATTTTCCATTTTTTCTGAGAGGTTGGATTTAAAATAAAAGCCTTTTGGAGGAGAAGGTAAATGGGGAAATGGGAAACGGCTGAATAGACCTGGGGTGGGGGCGTGGGGTGGATACAGAGGGTCCCTTGGGGTCAGAGTCTCTTAAAATCAGTTTTGTCTGTGGCTAAGATACGGCCAAACTCCCCAGGAAGCAGCACCCAGAGGGGCTGCCTGGAGGGTAGGGAGCCTCCTGAGCCCCCAGCTTGGCCTAGTCCCCACCCCCATCCCACAAGAGAGTCAGGACCAGCACCCAACCCCCCACCCCCTCCTCCCGCGCAGAGCCCAGTGGCCCACTCACCGGATCTCATGCGTGGGTTCCGGGTTCACCTTGATGCTCTCCCCAAAGAACACTGGCAGCATCCGGGGCCTCATCTCCGACGCCGGGGGATTTGGGAGTTGGGAGGGGGGCTGTGGGGAGAGCCAGGGACACGGGGTTATGCAGCCCCTTGTTGCAGTGGCCTCAGCTCCCTGCTGGGCACACAGGACCACCTGACACCCTCTGGCCCTGGCTTGGTCTGGAAGCTGCTTGGTGGGGCCCATCAGGAAGCCGCTTTGTGGGGCCCATCAGGAAGCCCACCCCAGACGCCCTCCATGGGATCCAGGCATTCAGGGATCTGCCCAGCTCTCCACCACCAGCCTGTCCTCCAGCTCCCAGTTCTCAACAAGGGGTGTGGTCATGGCCTCTCACTGCAACCTCAAGGCCACACCCACCCCGGAGCCCGGCTCAGAGCCCTGGAGAACTGGGATCCCTCTGTGCTCTTTGCAGGGCTGAAACCACACTCGGCCTGGAGGAAGGGTTCCCAGCCCTTCTTGGTACCACCCAAGGCTCAGGCAGCCTCCAGAGGGGTAGAGACCCCACCACACCTGTGTCTGTGGCACACCTGCCAGGGAGGAACACACAGGTGGGAGCTGGCCAGGCCTGTCGAGGGGCACAGGAAGCTGATCAGAATAGCAGATGTCTGCAGGAGGGCAGGGAGGGCCTACCCAGCATCCACATCTTCTAGAAATGGCACCACATCTCCCTGAGGACAAGGACTGGATTGGACATGGGCGTGTAACCCACACTGGGCCAATGAGAGCCCTACCCAGGTTCTCCTCCAGAGCTGTGGAGACAGCCCCCACCGTGAGGGCTAAGAATGTAGGGGGGTTGGAAACCAGTGGAAATGGAGCTATGCTGAGGAGAGCAGGAGTCAAAGATGTGAAAGATCAAGTCTTTCCAACATTGTTCAAATGCCTGGATCGAGCCACACCTGAAACTGTCCCTCAGTTGTGAGCACCAGCAAATCCATTTTGAGGCTTCAGACCATTTGAGCTGCCTTTCTGTCACTTGCAGCTGGAAGAATCTTGGCAAGGTGGGGAAAGAGAGTTCTATGGGAACAGAAGCCATCCACAGCCCCTTCAGAAAGAGCCCCATCAGACAGACACAAAGAAAGCACTCTCTGTTCCCCTCCCAAATCCACCCCACAGCTCCACGCTGGGAAGTTCTTTCTCTGGTCTGTTTTAAAGTCTGTCCCAAAATTCCACTCCCTGTGGAAGCAAAGACCATCAGGGGCATGCCCCTGCCCGGTGCTCCTCACAGGAAGTGGCCTAAGGACCCCCACCCCATCCTGCTCCTCACAGAAAGTGGCCTAAGGACCCCCACCCCATCCTGCTCCTCAACAGAAAGTGGCCTAAGGACCCCTACCCCATCCTGCAGTCCACCTCCCCCTCCCTGCAGTCCACCTCCCCCTCCCCACAGCTCAGCCCATTGCTGATTCAGCCCCAAACTGATGCTGAAAACAGACCTCTGGCCCCTGCAGCCTCTCCTCATGCCAACATGGTGACACTTCTGCCCTCCCCCTACCCCACTCTTCCCTCCGGAAGTGTTCCCCGCCAGACTCAGCCTCACAGGCCTTTCCCCTCTTCCACCAACCCAAGAAAACCCCGTCCATCTGTACTCGGGGGTCCTTCAGGGCCAGCCCAGCAAAGTGAGCATCTTGAAGTAGAGATTTCACTCAGGGCAGGGCCAGGAGGCTCTGTTTCTAAAGGCTTTTTTTTTTTTTTTTTTTTTTTTGAGACAGAGTCTCTCTCTGTCACCCAGGCTAGAGTACGGTAGTGCAATCATGGCTCACTGCAGCCTCGAACTTCTGGGTTCAAGCAATCCTTCCACCCCAGCCTCCCACATAGCTGGCACTACAGGTGCATGCCACCATGCCCCAGCCAATTTAAAAAACAATTTTTGCAGAGACAGGATCTCACTATGTTGCCCAGGCTGATCGCAAATTCCTGGGCTCAAGTGATCCTCCTACCCTGGCCTCTCAAAGAGCTGGAACTGCAGGCGTGAGCCACCACGCCTGGCCCCTAAAGCCTTTTAAGGCAGCCCTAGATGTTCTCCTTGAGGTGTGGCTGCAACACTCAAGTCACCGCCAACCCGTTGGGAACACATGGTGAGAGCCAGAAAGAAGCCCTTGCTCTTTGATGCCATTGAGATTGGGGATGTTATGAGGCATCCTCCTGCCTGACTAGCCTGTGCTGGGATAGCAGGGGGCCTGGCAAGGCCACTCCCTAGGGCCTCTGCTGGAACTACACGTGCCCGCTCCAAGGGCTCAGGGAGGTGAAGGGCGGGGCTTTAAATAACCCGCCTATTTTTCAGATAGCTTGTTCATCACTGAGGTTATGAATAATAGACCCAGAGCGTATGAATAGCACAGCTTTGGAGAAAGCATGAGTGCAGATGCGAAGAGATGCTCGCGGCCACAGCAGAACGCCTTTCGTTCAGCTCACCCACTGCGCGCCACTGTGTGCCGGCACTGCGCTCTGTACTGCTGCCATGGTGGCAAACAGAGGCTCTCCTGGCCTCGTCGCAGCTTGCTGCCTGAATCCCCCACTGCTCCCACCAGTGTCCCACCAGTGGACTAAGATTCCAACTGTCAGGAGGGCTGTGGTCGACAGGGCAATGAGGGCACGAGAAGGGTTTGACCACCAGGTAATCAGGGAGTGCTTCCCTGTGCAGTGCCACTCGGGATGTGATCGGTGGGGGGGAAGCAGAGTCCACTGTGGCCCCAGGGCCCACAGGTCCTGGAGTGCCCCCACTGGGCCCCAGGGCCACACAGCCACAAACAGCACCCAGGACACCCGCACGCCCTCAGCCCTGCCTCCCCCTGGCATGCAGGCCATGCCCTGGGACCCTGTTCTAGGGCTTCTAATACAGGGGCCACTAGCCGCACGGGGCTATTCAACTTAAATTCATTACGATTCAGTAGGTTGAAAAACGCCATTCCTCAGTCGCACCCGCCACGCGCTGGCAGCTGTCGCACTGGCCGGGGTAGATCCAGAACACGCTCACTGTCACAGCAAGCACCCTGCACAGGCCACCCTAGGGGGACGCAGGCTGTGGGTGAGGTTCCAGCCGGCGGGCCGGCCCCAGCCCCAAATGACCACTGCCTGCTGTGTGCAGAGGCCCTCAGAGAAGAGGCCTCAAGACGTCCCCATCAATGGCTCTGCTCCTCCCAGAGCCACTCAGGCTGCTGGCTGGGCAGGTCCCGGGTTTGCCCCTGGCTCTGTCTGCCTGTGTGAAAATGGGGAGAGATGGAGGTACCTGGGGTGGAGGCAGGAACCCAAGGGAGGTCACAGTCTGGTCTGAAACCTGCAGACCCTCTCCCTGGGAGGTGGGGCATGGCCCAGTGTGGCCAAGATGAGATGGACCCAGAAGTCCTGGAGAGAAGCAGCGAGGGTCAACGCATGGACACCAAAAACACGGCCAGAGGTGGCTTTCCAAGGACAAGGGCAGTGTGGGTAGAACAGGGTCCCCCCCCAAAGCCCATGTCCACGCAGACCCTGTGGACAGGATCTTATTTGGAATAGAGCCTTTGCAGATGGAATTGAGGCTCCTGAGATGAGGCCATCTCAGAGGAGGGTGGGCCCTAAAGCCAATGACTGGTGTCCCTACAAGAAGCGTGGACACAGGCCGGAGGCAGTGGCTGACGCCTGTAATCCTAGCACTTTGGGAGGCCGAGGTGGGTGGATCACCTGAGGTCAGGAGTTTAAGACTAGCCTGGACAACCTGGTGAAACCCTGTCTCTACTAAAAATACAAAAATTAGCCAGGTATGGTGGTGCACGCCTGTAGTCCCAGCTACTAGGGACGCTGAGGCAGGAGGATCGCTCAAACCCAGGAGGCAGAGGTTGCAGTGAGCCGAGATCGCGCCACTGTACTCCAGCCTGGGCAACAGAGCGGGACTCTGTCTCAAAAAAAAAAAAAAAAGAGCGGACACAGACGCACAGGGACGATGTGGAGGCAGGGATGGCAGGGGCACAACCACAAGCCAAGGAGCACCTGGAGCCACCAGAAGCCAGAGAGGCAGGAAGGAGCCTCCCCTGGAGCCCTCTGAGGCAGTGTGGCCCTGCTCACACCTCGATTGGAACTCTGGCCTCCGGAACTGTGCGAGAATAGAGTTCTGTTTCCTCAGGCCACCCAGTTTGTGGCAGTTTTTTTTACAGTGGCTCTAGGAAGATCACACAAGAGAACCACATGCTAAAAGTCGACAAGCCCGAACCCTGGGGCCTGCGCCGCCCAGCCCTCCGTGAAGGCACCGGGGCTGGCTGAGACCACCCGTGGGTCCCCAGCCTGGCCTCCTCCCATCTTGATCAGGGACTCGGGATGGGAAATCTTGTGAAACCAGTTTATGAGGGGAGTCCTTCCAGGGGAATGGGAGAGAGGGGCTAAGCAGGTGTCAGCCAGGCAAGGCGACGGCACAGCTGTGACCAGCCTGGCCCCATCACACCAGGGGCGCAGGAGTGTGACTGCCTCAGCACTGGTCCCAGCTGGGAGAGCAGGCTGCTGGTCACTGGCTGCCCCACTCCTGGGGGTGGGAGTCACCTCCTGGGGGAAGAAGCTCCCTTTCCCCCAAAGGACAGCTCTCTAGGAAAGGGGACAGCTGCCAGCAGTGGGCAGCCAGGGTTCACGGCCACTGGAGACTGAGGCAGTGGGGCACCGTGCGCAGCGGCCATGACACCTCCCTGACCCCGTCACTGGGACACGGCACTTAGCAGGTTTTGCTTACGCATTTATTTCTAGGTTTGCGGCCCTCTCCCTGCTCTCTGGCCCTACCCAGATCACGATGCCCCCGCGGATGGGGAGGCACGGTCTGCATCCCTTACACCCCAGCGTCTAGTGCGTGGTGATGCTCAGTGCTTTGTTCTTGGCTGAAGAGGGGATAGCTGGCTCCCACGGGGGACAGCAGGTGGTGGGGACCCTATTCCTCCAGACTGGTGCTCGTGCCTGGGCCGCAGAGGGCCAAGCCTATAACCATGGTGACCACATGCACACCGGCCTCGGGCAGAGGGAGTGGAGGGTGGACATCGGGCTGGGCGGGAACTGTGAACTCAGAGCCAAGTCCTGCAGGGACCTAGCTTGATATCTCCTACATCTGTCCCCTCCCCGCCGCCCCCATACCTGCCTGGACAATGAGGATGCAGAGCTTTTTGCACTCTCACTGTGCCGGGCACCATTCTGGGCACTCGCCACATATCCTACTCATCTGATCCTTATAAAAAACCCCAGCACGCAGCTGCTGGCAGCACCCCCATTTTCCACATGTGGAAACCGAGGCCCAGAGTGGCTAAGTCATTTGCCCAAGGCCACACAGCTGGAAGAGGCAGGTCAGGGCTGGAACGCTGCTGGTGCGGCTCCAGGTCCCGGGCCCTCACCCTCGCTCCTCCACTGCCTTTCATGCCCAGGGGCCTGTCTCATCGCTGCCCCCTCAGCTCCAGGCTCCCCCGACACAGGCTCAAGGATTCCCACTCGGGCCTCTGCCTGTTCCTGTCTCGGCCCCTTGTCTGTGACCCGAGGCTGCCTCGGTGTTCCCGCTGTTCCCTGCTGCACTGGCTGCTTCTCGCTTGGGCTGGTGAGAGCCAACTCAGTGTCCTCTCCAAGTCTTAGGGGCATCCTCTGTGGGGACACGGGAGCACCCATCTACTGGCCTTCATCGCGATAACCCCTTTGCGTGTCTGTCACCCCCAGAGAAGCAGCTCCCTAAGGCTGGAGTCCTTATCACCTCTAAGCCCAGGACCTGGCACCTCTCCGCCCCTGCACTATGGGGAGGGGAGACCCCACACCTGCAAAGCAGCCCCTGCCCCAACCCAGAGAGCCCCGAGTATGGGCCCATACCTGTCCTCAAGTTTGGCAGCAGTCTGTGGACAAACATCACCAGGAGCCCCATCCCTGCTAGTCACGGTCACCCCAGAACAAGGGCTGAGGACCACAGGGAGAGGATCGAGGACTGAAGAAGCAGGAGATTCTTCAAAGCCCCCAGCAGCTGGCCTCGAGGTGGCCCCATCTCTCCCTGGCATTGACACGGAGTGAGTGGCCCAAAAGAGAGGCAGCTGCTCCCTTCCTGGGTGTGGCATGCTGAACAACAGCCCCCAAAGCTGTCCACACCCTAACCCCCAGGACCTGGGAATATCTGCAAAAGGGACTTTGCAGATGTGATTAAGAATTCTGAGATGGGATATGGTCCTGGGTCATCCAGGTGGGCCTGATGTCATCACAGCTTTCCAGGGGGTCAGAGTCAGAGAACGGCCAGAAGATGCTGCACTGCCGGCTTTGATGAGGAGGAAGGGGCCACAAGCCAAGGAGCACGGGCCCCTCTAGGAGCCAGAACAGGCACAGGAATGGACTCTTTCTGAGCCTCCAGAAGGAACCAGTCCTGCTGACGCTTATCATTCTGGGACTCCTGACCTCCAGAGCTGGAAGATGATAACAAATTCGTGCCGTTTGAAGCCACTCTGTGTTTGGTAATTGGCTGCAGCAGCCAAGGAGACTGCTAAGCTGTGTGACTTGGGCCAATGACTTCCCGTCTCTGGGCCACCACAGCCTCCACGTCTCTGAAGTGGGCCGTTAGGAGGACCCGCCTCCCAGGCTTCGGCACAGCTGAGTCAGAGCCAGCAGCCACATGGAACAGCGCCCAACCCAGGGGTGGCACTGGGTGCCAGTGGGCCCGCAAGGGGGATCCTCCTTTCCCATGAAGGTCTGGGGTGGAGGTACCTCCCTGGACAGAGGTATAGCTCACACCCTTCTAACCTAAAACAACACTTCTTACTTTCAGAAGCAAGCAAGCATCATTTCAGAACAATCACTTCACAAAAACAAGGCAGTGACAAGACAGGCCCATCCTCATCTTCTATGGCTCACCGTTCAGTCAACACTGACCCCAGCTGCAAGACTCTATATGATTCCATGTTTTTAGAAATAATACACACTCCCCAAAAGATGTTATCTGAAGCTCGGCATTTTCCCAAGTGCGTGCAGGTGTTTGTTTGCTGAGCACCTACTGTGTGCTGGGCCCTGTGGGAGT
Source organism: Homo sapiens (assembly GCF_000001405.40). Taxonomy (NCBI): domain Eukaryota; kingdom Metazoa; phylum Chordata; class Mammalia; order Primates; family Hominidae; genus Homo; species Homo sapiens. The sequence goes on along the minus strand of NC_000012.12, from coordinate 124,304,892 downwards.
GAGATGAGGCACAGGAACCCCCAGGGCCCTTCTCCCGCAAGAGGGGGTGACATGTAGCCACAGGGGAGGAGAGAGGACGACACCAGTGTGGAAGGGGACATAAACATGAGCACTAAGGTTTGGGGAGGTGTTTCTTCTGTCCAGACAAGTGGAAGGGCTGGAGGGAGAGAGAGGCAGCCTGCTGCTGCCGTTACCCACCCACGCGCTGCCAGGAAAGGCTAACTCCTCACCCATCGAGCAGGGAGGGCTTATTTCAGAGGCAAAGCCTTTGTGCTGTGGCAGAGCCCCCGCCCCGGCATCTCTCTTGGGTCAACCCGGAATGAAGACACTGCCAAACCCTCCGGATACCACCACACCTGGAACGTGGGCGCCGACAAAGGCAGCCCCTTTCCGCCCGGTCCCGCTCCCCACCTGGCTGCCAGCAGCAGACAAGGCCTAATTCACAGGCTGGCCCGGGAAGCCAGAGCTCCGGGCACCATTTGCCAAAGGGTCCCGCTGAAAAAACACCTAAAGTCCACCCAAGCTGGAAGCGCTGGGCAGGAGACACCAGAAGCCGTGAAAGCCCAGACCGATATAGGCTGGCGTCCCGTGGGCCTGGGCGGTGAGACGGCTCGGGAAGTCCCCGCCAAGGCCCAGGACACTCCCGCGGAGCTGCAGGGCTGGACACCAAGGGAAGATGGTGGCAGCCACCAGTTCATCCTGAGGCTCGCAGCTTCGTCTTTCTGGCTGCAGGGCTATTCGAACATCGAAACGGTCGTGGCGCCCTGTGGACTCCAGCCAGCCTGGGGAGTGGGCAAGGGAAGTGCCTCTCGCGGCCAAGAAGGCAGACTGCGGCCCTGAAGTCCGACTTTCCAGCCACGCGGGAGCGAGATACTGCCGAAGACTGGGTCACACACAGTCCCACGGGGGCTGGCAAGGCAGGGGAGGGCCAGGGAAGGGGTCAGGCACATGCACACGGGGACCTGTCATTGCTCACCTGCCCTGGCCATGCGGCCACCTTGGGCACGGGAAGCCCCCAGACAGGCCCGCTCCCCACCCCCACCCCCAGCCGGTCTGTGAGGCTGCAGCGCCCTCCCACAGGCCCGGGCTCCTGTTCTGGTCTAGACAGAATCCGGTGAGATGCCCTCGTCTGCCCTCGGTTTGCTCATCTGTGAAACGAGGCTGTGCCATCGGCAAGGCCCACATCCTGGGGCTGGGGGACCATCAGGGATGCCCAAGACACAGGCTGGTGGTTTCCTGGGGGGCTCAGCATCCGCCTGGAAGCTCTGGGATGTTGGGACAGGGGAGAACAAGTGCTTCTCGGGCACACAGGAGGGTCACCCAGATGCCATGCTTCCCTCCCAGCTTAGGAAAACAGGGATGGCCCAGGCCCAGGTTCCCAGCTCCTTCCAGGGTCTGGGGCAAGCCTGCTGTGGCCTGGGGAGGCTGGGCTTACTCCCAGGCTTCTGGGCAGCAGGACAGTGTGGGGGGCAGGACGGGCCCTGGAGGGTGTTGGGTCCTGTGGACACTCGCCAAGGGCCCACCAGGCCCCACCCGCTTCACCCAGGAGCCTTCCCCGGGAGCCGCTGGGGTGGGGATGAACACTCGCTGGCTGGAAGTCAAAGTACACAGGGGCTCCTCGGAGCTCCCCACCTTCCTGGCTGCTGCACAGGCCATAGCCCACAGGCCGGCGAGGAAAGATAGCCGCTCTGTTGTCGAGAGCTCAGTGCCTCACAGTGACAGCCTGCCAGACCTGGAGTCTGGGCCCGGCTGGGCAGGGACTCACAGGGAGGCACAGCCTGGGCGACACAGCGCCATCCACAGATACTATGGCGCAGTTCGCTGAACCATGAGCTTTCACCCAGGAGCCAACTAGCGGCCCATCAGTGCAGGAGTGGGAGGCAGGAGGAGGTACCCAGAGCCCCCCCTCCCCCGTTGCTGCTCCTGGAGACAGCAGGATAGCCAGGGAGCCCCACACGGGCCGCGGGAGAGGCGTCCTTATGAAAGCCACATGGAGCCTTGCAACAGCTACCCCTGACCTCGGCCCCTGACCTCGGCCCCTGACCTCGGCCCTCTGACCTCGGCCCCTGACCTCGGCCCCTGACCTCAGCCCCTGACCTCGGCCCCCTGACCTCGGCCCCTGACCTCCCTGGCGGTGAGAACCCCTGCTGCTGTCAGAACTTGATCGTCTGGGATATACACTGGGAATCTGAGACCAAAGCGCACGGGCTGGGCTAAGGTTAATCTTGACCATCACCCATGGGGAAGATGAACCAAGGAGGGGCATTTAAGCACCAAGAATTCCCACCCTTCTGATGACAGCCTTGGCTATTGGCGAATCCTGGGGCAGGGGGCCGGGGCAGGGGTGGGTCTTTCTCGATCTCCCCCAACGTGGCACTATGGGGCACCTGAATGTGATTATCGAAAGGACACAGTCTGCTTGGGGGGGATCCCAGGAGACCCCGAGTGGGTCAGGCCATATGGAGAGCCATGAACTATCAAGGGCCCAGCAAGGAACCCACGAGCCCAGGATCTGACACCCAAGGCAGAGAAACGGTGAACAAACTCGAACGTCGCAGCTCGGAGGCAGTGCTCCAGCTGGGCTCCCTCCTGAGATGGGCAGGCCTGGTGCACCCAAGTCAGCAAGATGGGTGTGGCCTGCCTTGTGTCCCCCACAAAGATAAGTTCAAGTCCTAAACCCTGGTACCTGCAACTGTCACCTTATTTGGAAAGAGGGTCTTTGCACATGTGATCAAGTTAAGATGAGGTCAGATTAGATTAGGGTGGACCCTGATCCAAGGACTGGTGTCTTTCTAAGAAGAGGGAAATCTGGACATGGGGACACACACAGAGACAAGGCCACATAAAGACAGAGGCAGAGACTGGCGTGATGCGGCCAGCAGCTAGGAGAGGCAGGTGGGACGGACCCCCTTACAGCCTCCAGAGGAGCGTGCCCCCGCCGTCAGCTCGATTTCAGACTTCTTGGCCTCCGGAACTCTGAGAGGATGAATTTCTTCTGTGTTAAGCCACCCAGTCTGTGGCACTTTGTCACGGCAGCTCTGGGAAGTGAGTGCAGGGACCCACAGCTCTGCCAGCCAATAACAGAGTGGGGGCCGTCAACCTAGGGCACAAGAATCACTTTGCACAGGCTGCGGGGCTTGGGGCAGGGTCTCCCACTTCCCCCCAGACACTCAGAACACTGTCCTTTCTCAACCACTCACAACTGCCAGGCGGCCTCCCAGATAGGGGACACCCATCTCTGTACACAAAAAAATGGCGAACCCAGACCCTGCCCTTATAAAGGCCGGATTTGCTGCAAGGTGGACAAATATCCCCTCTGGATTCCTGTGCATCCTAAGATACAGATGGCACACCAGGAGTGTCCACAGTCCATGTACCGTGCCCCGCAGGGAGGCCGAGCACTGGAGGGCAGACAGGACAGACCACACCTGCCCCCAGGAAAGCTGTCTCCGGGAAAGCTGCCCCCAGTCTGTCTGGCAGCATTTTCCCCATGCAGGTGGCTCCCTTGTTTCCAGAGCACCTGGAAGGCCGTGAGCCTATTTGTCTTCTTTTCACACTAAAGCTGCAGATATAGCTGAGTTTCTCAGCTGGGTAAGCCTGCCCCGGAGACCGGGGCTGTCAGACACTTTGCTGAATTTCCACTGGAGGCCAGTTCACCCGGGATCGAGCAGACGCGGCTGGAAGGAGGCGCAGGGCTTCTGGCTTTCCCTCCTCTCCCTCCTCACAGCCTCCCTTTCTGCAAACAGGCTTCTCCCTCCCACCTTGTCCTGACATACCTGGCTGTCTTCCACCTTAGCTTGCTCAGACACCTTCACAGGAACACACCTGTAAGCCTGCCAGGGGGCCATGGGGACCGATCCCTGTTTTCCTGAGTCCATCTGTTCAGCCATCTGTTCATCCATTCATCCTCCATCCATCCATCTATCCATCCATCAATCCATCCATCCTTCCATCCATCCATCCATCCATCCATCCACCCTTCTGCCCATCCATCCATCCTTCTATTTGCCCATCTATTCATCCATCCATCCATCCACCCATTCTTCTGTCCATCCATCCATCCACCCATTCTTCTGTCCATCCATCCATCCATCCATCCATCCATCCATCCATCCGTCAATCCATCCATCCATCCATCCATCCATCCATCCATCCATCCATGCATCCATCCACCCTTCTGCCCATCCATCCATCCTTCTATCTATTTGCCCATCGATCCATCCTTCTATCTATTTGCCCATCGATCCATCCATCCATCCATCCATCCACCCATTCTTCTGTCCATCCATCCATCCATCCATCTATCTATCCATCCATCCATCCATCCATCCTTCCCAACCCCAGCACTACCTCCCTAGCTCCCTTCCCTCTCCTCTCTCATACTCAGTTTCACCATCACAGACAAGAAGCAGAAATGAGAAAATCCAAGAGTCCCAAGGGTCCCAGCCAAGGTCCAAAGGGATGGCTGAGACCTCAGGCGGCCTCCAAGAGCTGGGCCCCCAGGGGAGTTCTTAGGGATGGCTTCTCTTGCAATGTGGGTCCAGGGATCCAGCACGTCTTCCTTAGGGAAGCTCTCACGTACACTCTTCAGAAATCCACCCACTGCATAAACAAGACTGAGGGAGGCTGGATGGAGGGAAGGAGCCCTGAAGGTGACAGAGCCCAGGCCACCAGCTGTGGGTGCAGTCCAGGGCCAGAGGCCCCGTCTCTGCATCTGGGAGGCAGCAACAGCTCAGATCTGTCACCACCTGCCATTGCCCCATAACAGGCTGAGTCCTTTGCTTGCCACAGGGGGGCTGTTCATTTGAACATGAACCCCAGAGAACACAATGTAAGATCCCAAATGCCACTTTCAGCCTCCCTGAGTGCAGTAAGATGGCACAGGGCTACTTCTCCGAACTGCCCATATTCACTTAGGGAGATAGATCTGCCTCAAAGCCATCCTCATTCCTCCACGATGCCAACCCCTAAATGCCCACAGCTCTGCCGGGCAGGGCGGGGAGGAGGAGAAGAGCAATGGGTGTTTGCTCAATCTGCAGTGACAGTCCAGGCCCTGGGAGCTCAAAGGCAGCAGAGGCAGCAGCTGTGTTACTCACCCACCCCGCTTTAAATATCTGTGAGCTGACAAATGCCCATCAATCAGAGTGGATAAAGAAACTGTGGTATATATATACGCCATGGAATGCTACTCAGCCATAAAAAGGAATGAAATCATGGCATTTGAAGCAACCTGGATGGAATTGGAGACCATTATTCTAAGTGAAGTAACTCAGGAATGGAAAACCAAACACTGTATTTCTCATTTATAAGTGGGAGCTCAGCTATGAGGATGCAAAGGCATAAGAATGACACAATGGACTTTGGGGACTCAGGGGAAAGGGTGGGAAGAGGGTGAGGGATAAGAGATGACAAATTGGGTTCAGTGTGTACTGCTTGGGTGGTGGGTGCACCAAAATCCCACAAATCGCCACTAAAGAATTGACTCATGTCACCAAATACCACCTGTTCCCCCAAAACCTATGGAAAGAAAACATTAAAAAATAAATTTAAAAAAACTGTGGGCTGAATGCAGCTGACAGACAATCTCCTCTGCCACCAGGCCCAGTGGGCAGGCTCTGCTGTCCTGGGCCATGCAGGAGACAGGTCCCTGCCCGCATGGAGACACGCCCTACACTGATGCAAAATGGCCACATTCTGCGTCCCGCACGGGCACCCTCCTCACTCAAGTCTCTCATTTGAGTTTCTAATTTGGGGAGTGTGGAATGGAAGCTCATGATGGCTTTTTAAAAATAAAAATAGAACAGTCACAAGTAGTTTTTAAAAGACCAAATGGAATTTTAACTTTTGGCCTCAGCTTCACCTAGAAGTCACTGACCTGGCCTCTCCCGGCCCTCCGGTGGTCCCTGCCTCTTTGTGGCTCCTCAAGGCATTTGGTTACATGCATAAGTTCTTTAGTGGTGATTTCTGAGATTTTTGTGCACCCATCACCCGAACAGGCCATGCCTAGCTTGCTTGTGCCTCAGGACCTTTGCACATGCCATTGTCTCGGACTGAGCACATCTCAGCCCTAGAACTGTAAAGTTCGTACCCTGAGTGTGTGTGGGTTTCTATTAACCACCACCTCCCTGTCTACCTGCCTAAAGCTCACCTCTCACCCAGCTTCTGGCCTTAAGGACACTTCTCCATCCACCTGCTGCTGCCACACATAGTTCAGCTGGTGGCTGTGTCTCTTCCGCTAGGATGCCAGTTCATGAGGGCAGGGACCGTCAGCATCTTGTTCACTGCTGTGTCCTCCATGGCCCCAAACAGAGCGTGACACACAGTAGGTGCTCAGTAAGTACTGGGGGGACCAATGCCTGATTCCCAGCTCTTCGTCTGGCCTGGGAGTGATCGGGAATGTTCCCACCTTTGCTCCAAGAGTGAGCACAAAAAGCCCATGGTGAGTGGGGAGGGGGTTCATTCATATCCAGCCTGGCCCCCAGGGCCTTTGATGTCTTGGGGAGTGATCTTACAGCCAGCCGCTTCCCAGATACCCTGCCTTAGTGGGTGGGGGGCGTCCAGGAGGCAAGTCCAGCTTATTCAAACAAAGTGGGGGGGCCTCTTTAATGAAGTGAAGCGTAGGCAGGTTTAACATGCACGTCCGTCCAGCCTCCTAAAGTAGGTGACAAGGTGGTGAGGACCTCAGTGGCTTAGATTTGAGGGCGGGACTGCAGTCCATCCCAGCAGCTGAGGCATATGCCACCAACTTTTATCAGAAAGGTGGTGTCGTTCACTGGATAGTGGAACAAAGACACCCACCCTGCCAAACGCGGTCTGAACCTGAGGCCCACATGGAAACCCGGCACCGCTCACCCCATCCTCTTCCTCGGGTGTTGGAAACCCTCAGCCGCGAGGCGCAGCACAGGTTTCCGCCTCTTTGTCCTGAGACAGTATGGGGTGCCGATATTTGCACCTAAAAAGCACTCTCCCTGAGTCGTCAGTGAGCAGGGTGCGGTTAAACACCGCTCAGCAAAGTTTAGCGGGAGTTAACGGGGAGGTGGGGCGCCCTGTGGGGTGGGCGATGGGTGGGTGGGCATGGCCACAGCGGCAAGCCCCAAAGCTGAGAAGAGTGGGCGCCAGGCAATCCTTTCTCCCTTTTATTGAAAGCAGCCCTTCAAACCTGGTAGGTACACAGGCATTTTGTTTTCCAATAAAAAAAAAATCACAGGTAGTTAATTAGCTGCACAGTGAAAAGGGGGATAATATGAGGTTGAAGGGCAGACTCTGCAGTCAGACTCTCTGGGTCTAGCCCAGCACAGCCGCTTCCTGGCTGGGCAACTTTGGGCAGGTTGCTAACCTCCTCTGTGCCTTGGCTTCCGCCTCTGGAAAATGGGGCTAATTGGAGTGTAGGCTTCATGGGAATATAGTGAAAATTAAATGAATTGGTGTAAATAAAGAGCTTAGGACAGTTATCCTGGCACACGGTATGAGCTATCTAAATGCCAAGTATCATAACCCATGAGGAAACAGCCCCGGGCTTTGCTTTTAAGCCAAATTAGAAGATCAGGGCAACACAGTTTCATACCTGGCATCTAGTGAGCAGGAAGGGGAAAAAATAAAGTCAAGTAGAAGAGCCAAGACAAGTAAGCCAGCCATGCTATTCTTGCGGCAGCCACGGGCTGGCCCGGATGGCAGAGAACGCTTCCAGAAAACCCTCTGTAAGGAGGCTTCTGGGTCATGGAAGGAACCAAGGAGAAGGCGGATTCCAGGTCGTTTTTCTCCAAGCCCCACTGTGCAAGGCACCACGGGGATTCAGTCCCAAAGTGTGCAGCTCAAATGGGCGACAGTGCCAAGTCCCAGAGGCTCTGGCAGGAAAGCTGGCCCCCTTTAGACAGCAAGATCAGGTTCACTTCAAACAGCCCTGGTCACCTCTATCAACTCCTGGAAGTCCTCACTGCCCCTTCCACCCGCCAGGCTCCCATAAAGAGACCAAAGTTCAAATTTGCTGCATGATTTGGTCTAAGATAGTGACTCCCAGACTTTGCTGAACAGTACAATCACCCAGGGAGACTGAAACCCTCCTGATGCCGAGCTGCACCCCCTATCAATTCAGTGAGACTATCTGGGCGGTGAGTGTGGGTGGGTTTTAAAGATTCTCCAAGTGATTCCAATGGGCGACCAAGTTTGGGACCCACCAGGCTAAGAAACAAGCAAGGCACGAATGAAGGTCATATCCTGAGGCTTGAGGCCGGGGAGCCGCTCCTTTCCGCTGTGGGGAGGAGGATTTTCAGCGGCGGGGAGGCCTTTTTTGCCCTGTGAGTGCCAGGCAAGAATCCCCGGGGCCCCAGGAAAGGGGAGTGGAGCCAGCACACACGCCCCAGCAGTAAAGCTGTTAAGGTGGGCAGGGCGCAGCCAGAGAGCGGGCAGGGATGGGCAATCACTCATTTCAACTTGTCATTTCCTCAGGCTGCAAAGGCGCCCGCTCGGCCCATATGCTTCCCCGCCTGCCGGGGGGTGCCCAGTCTCAGGCAAGGCGCCAAGCTGGGTCCCCACCGGAGTCCACCCCCAGGCTGGACTTAGTCTGGCAGGAGACAAACTCCTGAGTTTCCTGACCCGAGGTTCCAGCCTCCCCCTCCCGCCTAAGCTCCACGTCAACATGCCTTAACATCCCGGGAAGGAAGGAATCCTGTCTGGGTTTGGTTATTTAAAAAAAAGAAAAGAAAAGAAAAGAAGAGAAGAGAAGAGAAGAGAAGAGAAGAGAAGAGAAGAGAAGAAGAGAGAGAGAGAGAGAAAGAAAGAAAGAAAGAAAGAAAGAAAGAAAGAAAGAAAGAAAGAAAGAAAAGGCTTTCACATTGGCAGCGCCCGGACAGTAAACAGGGCACCCGGAGCAGCAGAGGGGCCGGGTCCAGATGTCTGCAACATGCTGGGCCTCTGGGCGCAAGCCCACCTAGCCAACAGCCAACTTCTTTGGGAATTTCGGACCGTCCTTTACCCCGCCCCATGAGCCCCCCATTATTACTGACAATAGGAAGAATCACTCTGGAGGGAGGCCCACCGCCAGGGAGCCGTCTCCAGGTCCGGGGTCAGCCTGGATCACCTCCCCCTACACACCCTGGTCCCCACCTGAGAAGCGTGGCTGTCACTGGCCACCTTCGTGGTTGCGGGGCAGGTAGAGGAGGAGGCACGTCCTGCTGCTGCAGTGGCGCGCGTCTCTGGGGGCAGCCCTCACCCACCCGCCCACGCGGTCCCCCGTTTGGGAGAGAGAGCGCCTCCTTACCGCTCTGGCCTCGCTGGGTCCCGGGGGCTCCGAGGAGGCGCCGGCGCCCCCCGCGCGCGCGTCGAGGATGCCGGGCGCCAGGGAGTAGAAGGGCGGGCTGGGGCTGGGGCTGGGGGGCAGCCCGGAGTCGGGGCTGTCCAGCAAGCCCTCCCGGCCCTGCTCCTTCAGGCTGTCCTCCATGCCCTGCAGATGCAGGTGGCCCACCATGTCTGGGGGGCGCGGGGCGCGGGCCCCCCGCTCCTCCGGGGGCTTCTCCACCGCGCTCCGGGGCCCGGGGCAGGCGGCGGCGGGGCGAGAGCTGCGCGCCCGGGGACCTGCGGGCACCGCGAGAGGCGGCGATCAGGCCCGGCGCCCCCCGCGCCCCGGATCCCCGCGGGCCTGCAGCCTGCTCGCCGCCGTGGGCCGCGCTCCTGCCAGCGCCGCCGCCCTCCGCCCTCCGCCCTCCGCGGCTCCCGCCCGCCGGGCCCAGCCTCGCCTCTGCGCTGCGCTGCGATCCCGCAGGCCGGCCCAGCCCCGAGGCGCACGTTGCCGCCCGGCCCTCTCCGCACCTCCCCGGCCCGCGCCTCCTTTTCTAGGCGCCTCCTCCTCCCCCTTCCTCTCCCCGCCCCGGCCTGCGCGGTGGGCAACAGCCCCGGCCCGGCGCCTCCGCCGAGGCCCTCCCGCTCCTGGGCACTGCGCGCCCAGCCAGCAGCTGGAGTCCCACGAGGCGCGTGTGTCCCCCACTCCCGGAACAAGCACCACACTGGCGCACCGAGGGTGCCTTGTGGGGTCCCCAAGTCATCCCAAGACATACGAGTAATCATCATCATCCTATTTCGTGGTGCTCTTGGAGGTTTTCTCCATCTCATTTGAAGTCCCAATAAAAGCAGCTTGAGAAACTTTATTTTAGAGTTTTCTTTTTCTCTGTAACTTACAATCGATGGGGAGGAGGGCCACCACAGCCCTAGTACTGGCGTCTCGGTTACCCGCACACCCAGGGCCAGCTCTTTGGGCCTTAAGGGTGGAAAGCATTGGGTGGAACCTGTGGGTGGGGGCGGCGGGGGCGATGAGCAGCACTTCCGGGAATCCCCCGGCATCTGGCTGTTCCTGCATTTTTTCCAGGCAGGTCCTCGCTCATGAACAAGGGTCCTGCCGGTCTTTCCCTTCTTTTCCTTCCTCCCAAGAGAGAAGAACACGTGTTTCCCTTCCTTACTGTTTTCTTATCAGATGCCTGGCAAAGGATGTCTGCATTTCCAGCGCCCAGCCACACAGACGCCCCCCACCCCACTCCTGAGGATCCATCCTTCCATTCTGCAAGCGGGGCAGCTGGGGGTGTCCACGGACTGCTTTGAAAAGCAGGAATGTGGGAGAGGCTAATAGGGCGAAGAGAACAGAGGTAGACTCCAGGAGGGGTGAAAGTGTGCCCAGACACACTCACTTCCATTCAGCTTACAGCAGAAAGCCCAAGATCAGGGGCGGGAAGCCGGGTGTCAGAATCCGCTCTTTGGACACCCCCAAACTGAGGGCAGCACTTTGAAGATGTTCTCAGGCTCCCATTCCGCACCCAGCCTTGGCCGGACCTCAGAACGGGCAGGCGTAAGACAGCAGGCCCCTGCCCTGTGGAGGGCCCAGTCTGATGAGGGAGCCTGTCAATGCACCAGGAAGCTAAGGCTGTGAGTCTAAGGGAAGGAACTTAATGAGGTGCTGCAACCAAGAATAGTCAAAGGGACAACTTAAGGCTTTGGAGTGTTCAGGGAAGGCTTCTTGGAGGAGGCGATTTTCAAAGATAAGATCTGAATAGCCAAGCAGTGAGAATTAGCGCACCATGTGGAGGGAACAGCAGGGCGCAGGCCCTGCAGCAGCAGGAGTAAGGTGCATGCCGGACACTGACAGAGGGTGGGGCCGCTTCCTGAGAGCCCACAGGGTGACAGGCATGCACCTGTCACCAGGTGAATTTACAGCCCATTTCCATGTCGCCCAGGAAAGAACGCTGGAAGTCTGCTGCCCAAACAGACCCAACTAACCAGAGGTTTGAATATTTGGAACATTCTGGGAAAAAAACAATGGGACTACGGATTCCATTTGCTTCAATTCTTAGGCAAGCCAGGCCCTCTTCAGCCCTTGGGCCACTTGACCAGAATGACTGGCTGAACTACTGTCACTGACTAGGACGAAAGCGGTGGGGGGAGGGGGCATTCTTTCTGGAACACAGACACATGGAAATTCACATTTCCCAAATGCTCACCCACCCAGACCCAGTAGTCTTCTGCTTCCCTGGAGAAAGTCTTCGGCAAGAACTAATTTCTTCTTATCTCAGGGACTAATGACCCCTTGGCCACAATAGCTACCCAGGGCAGGGCAGGATGCGGGCAAGGTGGAGTCTCAGAATTGCAGGGTTCCTCTGTCTTTATTTGAAATGTTGATATTTTGAGGCCTGGTGCGGTGGCTCACGCCTGTAATCCCAGCACTTTGGGAAGCTGAGGCGGGTGGATCCCCTGAGGTCAGGAGTTTAAGACCAGCCTGGCCAACATGGTGAAATTCTGTCTCTACTAAAAATAACAAAAAAATTAGCCGGGCGTGGTGGCGGGCGCCTGTAATCCCAACTACTCAGGAGGCTGAGGCAGGAGAATTGCTTGAACTCAGGAGGTGGAGGTTGCAGTGAGCTGAGGTCATGCCACTGCACTCCAGCCTGGGCAACAGAGCAAGACTCTGTCTCAAAATAAGATAAAATGTTGATGTTTTGTTCATCTTGAACTGTTTGCATCCATTTTGACTTTTAAAACATTGCAGCGAAATACCATTTGTGGTGATTTCTGTGTTTGGGCGATGTCCTGAAAGTCCCTTGCCCCACTCTACTAATCCTGGCCCCCTTGTGCCATTCATCTTGATCTAGAAGCCCGCTTATCAAGAGTGCCTTCATGACTATGCCCACCTGGGTTCTGGAAGTTTCCCCTGAAACAGGCTGCCCTGTGTGGATAACCGTCAGAGATATGTGCACACCAGACAGCAGGCAGAACATGAGTGCACTACAAAGGTCAAAGCCCCAGAGAGCAGCCCACACTGATGGCCCCAGTGACCATGACCTCTGACCTATTCAGATCCGCTGCTGTGGGCTGGGGACCGCCCCTCAATTGAAAGCCGGTACTGTGGAAGCTTCTATTTCTCACAGCACCAGATGGTCTGCAAATGTCAAAGAGGGGAGGAAAAGACGAAATTTCCATAAATTCATCTGAGCCAGGGGCTAGCCAGTGGGCAGGGCAGGAGGCTCTTGTGGCCAGTCTCAGAAGGAAAAGGGACTTGAAATGTGAGGCCTGAGGAGCAGAAAAGGGGGTCTTTCAAGATCGGGGTGTCTGCTCCAGGCCCAGCGCTGTAGGAAGGGCAGAGGGAAGAAGGTACTAGGTCTACGGAGGCCCTTATGCTGTGCTAAGGGATTGGGGCTTTATCTGCCAGGGATGGGAGAATCTGCAGAGGTTTTGAAGCAGGTAAAGAATGATCTGATCCAAATCGCTTCCAAAGTTCCTCACATATACACACATATGCACATAAACAAAGTTGGATGAAAGAAAGGAGAGTTTGGAGGCAGAGAAAAATTGGGCAGAGAAAGTAGATATTTAATAGAAAAGAGGTATTGGGGTATCCCTGACAAGGGGTCGTAAAGAGCGGGTCCCGTGTTGGAGAGAAGGGGAGAAGGGTGTATGCATATGTATGCACCATACACCCCTGGGAAGGAAGACCTTCCTCCACAAGCTTCTGAAGTCACTGGCTTTTCAGAGCACATGTTGGGGAAGAAAGAAAAGTGACCTGGGGTAACCCCAAGCCCCAGCCCAGGGCTCCCCAAGCACTCCCCATATCAGGGGGATTTTCCCAGAATGCTTTGTGTGGGGGAAGCTCAACTCTGCGAGGAAGGCCAGAGGGAAGGGTGTTGAGGAAAAAAAAAAAGGCTTTTTCACGGAGAGCCATTTGCCACTTGTTCCAAGCAGCATTGAAGGAAGGCTCCTAGAAGTAGGGCTGCGCATTCCTGGGCAGCTTACAGAGCTCTGCACACGCACCATCGTGCACTTGAACCCTGGCTGCATATTATTTCCATTTTGAAATAAAGCAGGCCAGGAACGGTGGCTCATGCCTGTAATCCCAGCACTTTGGGAGGCCAAGGTGCGTGGATCAACTGAGGTCAGGAGTTTGAGACCAGCCTGACCAACATGGTGAAACCCCGTCTCTACTAAAAATACTTAAAAATTAGCCAGGTGTGGTGGTGCACACCTGTAATCCCAGCTACACAGGAGGCTGAGGCAGGAGAATCCCTTGAACCTGGGAGGCAGAGGCTGCAGTGAGCCAAGATCATGCCACTGCACTCCAGCCTGGGCAATAGAGTGAGACTCCAACTCAAAAAAATAAATTAATAAAATAAAAGATAAATCATAAATAAATAAAGCAGATGGAGCCATGGAGACTCAGAGAGGTTAAGTGACTGCCTGAGGTCACACAGCCTATCCTAAGTAGAAAGCCAAACTGGAGGCTGCTAGGGTGGATGTGGGGGAAGGCTGTCAGTGGGTCCCAGTGGACCGTGACATGGAGGCAGGAGGACTGAGGTCGTCATGCCTGACAACTGCAAGGCTTTTCTGTGACCTGCAGAGAGAGCCCTGAAACAAGGCCATCTGAGCGCATTGGAGGCCGCTCGCCTTCCAAGGAGGCTTACAGACAAGGAAGGGGTCTCCTTGCCATGTGCACGCTCGGCTGCCTGGGTTTGAACCCTGGCCCTACCATGTCCCGGCTGTGTGATCTGGGCAATTGGCCTGCCCTTTCTGTGCCTCAGTGTCCCCATCCATAAAGCAGGGATGATAATAAAGGTAGTGAATGAAGATTAAATATAAGCATATTAGGGGTATGCTTCCAGGCACGCCAGGCACAAGCCTCAGCATGGTGCCAGGGAAATTTTCGCAGGCTCAGCTGGGCCCTGCTCTCATCACCACACCTCATGCCTCTCTGTGTGAAATCACCAAGATAATCAATACATTTAGACACACACACACTTATGCATGCACATAAACACATATGCACATACACACAAGCACACATATGCACACACATATACATGTACACACATAAACATGTATATACACATAAACACAAATATACACACATACACACAGATGCATACACAATACACATGTGTACACACAAGCACACACATAACACAAATACATATATACACATACACATGTATGCACATACACACATGTACCTACATATACACAGGTAAACACATATGCACACATATACACAAACACACAAATACACACATACACATATGCACACACATATGCAAATGCACATACATGGACACACAAATATACACACTAACACATGCACATACATACATATACACACATGTACCCACACACGTATACACGCATGTCTACACATCTACACACATACACACACACATATGCATATACACTTTTGAGAAGAAGAAAAGACGAGAGAACTGCGGTGTCAGCGAAATCTTTGTCTTTCCTAGGGAGAGCCCCGGGCTCTTGCCTATTTTTAGGGAATGCAGAAGTAACACTGAACATCCCTGAGGGTTTGAAAGTAGCCACAGAAGAAGTTGAAGTGGAGGAGTTCAAAGGGGCGGCGAGAACAGAGGCAAGAAGAGTGGCTTCTTGATCACACGCTCCTTACAGGCCCTGTCTGAGCTGTCCAGCCGGGCATGTGGTCAAATGTTTCAGAGTGAAGGTCCCGGTGACTGTACAACCGTGAGACCTGGGACTCTGCATCCTCAGCAGGCCAGGTCCTAGTGCCTGGCCCAGGGATGCCTCCCTGCCCCGGGGAGTCGCATGTTCCCCGGTGGCCTGTCTCACCCGAGGGACTTTTCCGCAGTGCCCTTGCTCAGTCCCCAGCTGTACCACAGATGTCCACGCCTGGACAGAGCTCCAGCAGTGACTCACCTCTTCATTTTTAGCCCGTGTCCTCTCGGAGCCTGCAGCCCGCCTTTGCTGGGCAGCTGTCTGGGGGTCAGGGCCCATGCCCTGGGTGTCCACTCATAAAACCAGCTCTTGACCACCTGCCCTACTAAGACAGGGAAGCGGGGACAAAATGAATTCAAAGTGCCTTTGACCTGGGCATACGTTCTGCTGCCATTTGTATGTGCGTGTCCAGGACAGCCTCCAGATTCCCAGTGCTTTCAGTGAGTAATGAAAGCTGTTCTAACGGTCTGCCACCCAGCGTCCTGGCTTGGCTTTCCCGCAGCCCCTCCCGTTCCCACTCCACAGTGGGGCTGCTGGACTCACCTCACAGCTCCGGGCAAAGACGCCTACGGCTGAGAGGCTTCTTCCCGGCTGGAAACTTGCCGCTTCACACCTTCCGGCTGTAAGGAGCTTTTAGCTGAAAAGGCCTTTTCTGCCAGCTTCTCCCAAGCTTGAGTAAACAAAAAACCTATTTATGTCTTCAGAGCACTTAATTAAGCCAGGGCAGGGATAAAATCAGAGACTGAGTGTAGTGAAAACACACTCCGTAAAGTCAGAAGAAGGTCGCTCCCGGCCAGGCTTGGCCAAGAGCCAGCTGTGTGTTCTTGGGGGAAGCTGGGTCCCCCTGAATTTTTGCAAGAATAATGTAATGAAAACCCAAGTACCATTTGGGTTTGTTGGGTGTTGACATATCGGATCTCTCTCTCTCTCTCTCTCTCTCTCTCTCTCTCTCTCTCGTATGTGTGTGTGTACTGTTTATTTTGTTTTGTGTTTTGCTAAACTATGTAAAAATTGGTGGTAAACATCATGCCCCTTTGCCCCAAAACTCTTCAACGGCACCTCCTAAGAAGAAAGATGATATGGAACCACAATACCGCGATCATACTGAGGGAATTTAACGTTGATACAATTATATAACCTATATTCCATATCAAAATGTCCCCAATTTTCCCAACAATGTCCTTTAAAGCTGTTTTCTTTCTCAACCCAGGGCTCAAACACACGTTGCATTTCACTTGATCTTAGCCAAAAGGCAGAGAAGCGATCACACACATTGCATTTCGTTGTCACTATTAGGAGACAATTCTTCATGAGTCTCCCGTGTTTATTCCCATCTTGCAAACAGAGGCCTTGGCCGCCCTTCATTCTGGGCTATCATTTCAATAACGTTTGTAGGGAGAACAGTTTTGAAAGGTAGAGATAGCGTCTCTCTTCAAATCAAAGGATAGGCATGCTTCCTGTCCACTGTAATAAAAATAATGGTTCCCTCTGGAGAAAAGTTCAGGCAGGCTTATTACCCACTGTGAAAGATTCGGGTTCCCTACACTCTGGATTTCTCCCCTGTCGTGCAAACAGCTGCATGTGCAAGGGTCACCTGGGCCCCTTCTAGTGGCCCTGTGGAAACCAGAGCTGGGGAACTGGCTCAAGAACATGCTGACCCCCTGGCTTCTGTGATTATTGTGAGTAATAACATCCTTTGTCTCTGACCCAGGAGTCTTGTGTCTTCTGCTTGAGTCTGTGAGACTGTGGCACAGCCATGTCTTCCCTGGCCAGCAGGGTGAAATCCCAGTTCTGTGTAGTAACATCTCTTTAATTCTTCGACCCTAACAGACCCCAAGCCTATTTTGCCTTTCCTGACATGGCTAGTTTTAACGAGTTTGGGCCAGTTGTAGAGCATCCCATGATCTGGATTTGTCTGATTGCTGTCTCAGGATTCGATGTAGGATAAACAATTTTGCAGGAATTTTTCAGGGTCCATGTTGCGCCATCAACTTCAGGAGGCACATCCCGTCAGCTTGTCCCACTGTTGGTCATGCTAGGGATGATCACTGGGTGGAGGTGGTATCCACCTCATTTCTTCGTGCTCAAGGTAGCTTTCCCTTTGTGATTTATCAGGAAGCTCTGGGGAGATATTTTGACATCTTGGGGATATCCTGCTCCCTGACAAGGCTTAAACTCCACAAACCCCAGCTGATGCATTGGTAAAGAGCTTTGTGCTAGACGATAGCCCCAGATACTATGACTATTATGTTTTCCTTTTGCAACAGAGAACGCATAGTCTGCAGAGACTAAACTATTTGCAATCTTGCCTTGTATAGAAAAAGTTGGCCGACCCCTGCAATAGTGGGTAGCGGGTGGTATAGGGTGAGTAGCGGGTGGTATAGGGTGAGTCTAGAGTTACCTTCAAGAAATCCCCTTCAATACACCCACCTTTCTACACCACTTTCTTTATCGTTTTTCAGCTTTTTAGGGGTTCACAATTCTCTTGCTCCCAAGTTGTAGAATGCTTAAAGTGAAACACATATACCTTTCTGGATAACACAATAGTGCGTGACACTCGTGGAAATGGCGCCCGTGCACAGCAGATGAAAAGTGTGAGCACTGCCCCCTCTGCATGCCTCTCACTCGGCGAATCTGTGCAAAGCAAATGTTTTGAGATCTTCTAAATGTGGCACACCATCCAGATTGCTTTCCAGTTATTTTGTCTGACTAGAAACTGTGATGTCACATAAATTGGTGACTGTGTCTGCCTGAATCCATAATGCCAAAACATCATTTGTTGATTTAGCAGGTTTGGGGATAAACAAGTTGTTATATTGAAAAAAAAAAAAAAAAAAAAAAAAAAAGGAGGGCTCCAAAAAGTGCTGTGGTTTTTCAAGAGCCATCATGGCAAAAACAAAACAAAACTCATTAATGGAACAGTCGTTTTGAACTACAGCTGAGTAAATTACCAGAAGGACATCTGTGCACATTAAAAGTAATATAGGATGTTCTGATGCTCACTTGAGTCATGCAAAAAAATGTTTAAAAATTTAAAAAAGTATATATAGCATGAAGTTCAGCCAGGTAAGAGCCAAGTGGCTGAAAGGCATTCAGGAGAGAGAGTGAGTCCTTCCCAGCTGATGAAAATGCAGAGATGGCAAGGAGGAAGCACAGTTTCCAGGGGCCCACTGGCCCCCGAAATGCCACAGGGTGAGTACGCCAGAGAGCGTGGCAAACGCACACCATTTCCATTCATTCCTCAAGGAAGACGCAAGTCCAGGCAAATATTCTGGTTGTGTGGTTTTTCAGCTGAAAGTGAAGACAAAGGGCATTGAGCAGGAATTAATGCAAGGCTCCAGGCTCCTGGCACGCTGCCCGGAGCTCCAGAAAGGGCAGAGTCTGGGGACCAGGCCCAGCCGGAGGGCAGGGTCCTGGAGTGGCCAGGGCTCAGTGATGCTCCTGGTGCAGTCCTGAGATGCTAAAGGAGGGGAGGGGAAGGGGGCTGTCTGTCATCCCTTCAATCAGCAGTGATGAGTAAGCACCTACTGTGTGCCGGTCAATGGGGGACAGAGCCAGGGACTAGTCATACTTGGTCCTCATTCTTGGGGGACATCCAGTCTGGGGTGGGGATTGGGGGAAGAAAATAATTAAATGAGGTAATTTCAGAGAGTTATAAATACTATAAAAATAAAATGGGTGATGGGGCAGAGAAAGACCCGTGGAGCGGCTTTCCACGGCAGAGGCCGGGCCACAAATATCCTTCAGAAGTGGCTTTTGAACCGAGAGCCTGGTGGGGAAAAGGGGCCGGCTCTGCAAAGAGCCTGAGAAAGGGTGTCCTGGCAGAGAAACAGAGGTGCAAAGGCCCTGAGGCTTCCTCTGTTCCTGCAAAGGCTCTGAGGCTAGCACACTCTGGAGGCATCTGTGTCCCAGGAAGAAGGTGAAGAGAGGCTTGGGGAGATGGGTGGGGAAAAAGAAGCACAGAAAGGCAAGAGAAATGGGTATGGGAGGGCGAGGAGACCAACCGTGGAGAACCAGAGGGAACTGAGGAAGAGAGTTCATGGAGGGCACCAGGGAAGAACTCCCAGACACATCCTTGTGTGTCTGGACAAAGGGGGGTGCAGGCGCATGGGGAGCAGCCCGCAAGGCCTCTGCTTCTCAGTGGTTCCTGCTCGTCTCCACATGCCTGGGCCTGGTGTCTTTGCTAGCTTTGTGTGTGCTTAGTTCTTATGTCCCCAATTGGATTATCAACTCCTCAAAGGCAGAAAGCACGCCTTATGCTTTTTTTCTTTCTGGACGGCACATCACACCATGCTTTTGCACATGGGGGATCATTAACTATATTGTCTGGATAAGTAGATGGATGGACGGATGGATGGATGGATGGATGGATGGATGGATGGATGGATGGATGGATGAATGGGTGGACTGAAGGATGAATGGACGGATAGATGGATGGATGGATGGAAGGATGGATGGATGGACATGGATGCTCATGTAACTTGACATTTCTGACACTCAGGCTGTTCTGAACCAAGGAAGACCAACTTGGTCAACAGAATCTAGGAGGTTTAGTAAGAAAAAGGATTATTGCTATGTAGGGAAAAACATGAGTGCCTGTGTGTTTTTTATTTTTTTATTTTTATGAAATGTCTGTGTTGTCCCCCTTCCCCAAATTTATATGTTGAAATCTCAATGACTAATATGATGGTCTTAGGAGGTAGGGCCTTTGGAAGCTGATTAGGTCATGAGGGTGGAGCCCCCATGAATGGGATTAGTGCCCTTATGAGACATGAGAGCTTCCTGTCACTCTCTACTTTGCATCATATGTGGATACAGTGAGAAGGAGGCTGCCTACAAGCCAAGAAGCAAGTCCTCACCAAGCACTAGCTCTGCCAGCACCTTGATCTTGGGCATCCCCACCCCCAGAAATATGAGAAATACATGTTTGTTGTTTAAGCCACTCAGTCTATTGTCATTTGTTCCAGCAGCCTGAACTGCCTTAGCCAGGTATATCAATGTAGAGATGAACTAGAACAGGGAGGTGATACCAAAGAGAGAAAGAAAAAGTAGCAAATGTGGCAAGATCACTAATGTTCACTGGTTTTCAAGTTCTTCTCTTCCTCCAGGAAACCACACTGTACTAAATTCCCCAGGCTTCTGTGTGGTTAGGTGCGGCCATGTGATTGAATTCTGAACACTACAATGTGAGTGGAATGGATGTGCACTACTACCAGACCCATAGAAACCACCCTCGCATTCCTTCTTCATCCACTGGCTGAATAAAGAGGACTCCGAGGGTATCAAGGAGGGTGGAGCCACAAGATGGAGGGAGCCTGGGTGCGTGAATGACTGTGTGGAGCAGAACCCTCGGGCTGACAGCTGAGCCTTAAGCCACTGAGATGCAGGGGTTGTTTGTTACAGTAGCTGCTGTCACTTATCCTGACCAATATAGAAGAGATAAAGAAGGTGAGAAGAAGGGGCTCTTTCTTCATGCAGAAGATTCTAGAAGAAGGGGACCTCAGCTCAGTGGAGTCTAGATGCCAACTGCTGGCAACAGGACAGGGACATGAAAGAATTCTCTCAGTGACATCAGTCTGGTAGACAAATCCATTAATGGAAGAACAGGAGGGCTTTATTTTTTCCAAGGGTTATAGGTACCAGAAAAAGGGCACCTGAAGCCAAGCTACTTGACATGGAGTCATAGCTCACATATTGTTAAAAGGAGAGAGAAAAAAGAGGTTTCGTTGGAACTTCATCTTGAAAAATAAATCTAAAATGATAAAAATGCAATAAGCTAATTTTATCTTAATTTAACAAGGCTTGGGAACTCTGCTGTAATTCTTAGAGCAGAAAAATGACAATGATTTTTTTTCTTTTACTTTCCGTATTTTTTCCCAGCAAGACTTTCTAAGGGCACAATTGACATTCTTCCCTTCACATTTGACTTTTTTTTGCAGCTCTTTGGTTCAGAATTAATCTTTTTTTTTTTTAAATGTTCAAGGGCTTAATCATCATTTCCATGAGCTTCTTTTAATCCTTTGAAATTCAAATCATTATCTTTCATGAGTTCAGACCCAGGCCAGCTTTAATATTGCCGGGTGAATTTTGGATCATGGTCATGCCCCATCACCAACTTCACACACAGACGGGGTCCGAAGTGTGTCCCTTTCTTTGTTCCCTCAAGGACATGCCAAGGGGGACCTCTGGAATCGCCACTTCCTGCCCAAGGGACTTAAAGAAGCAGTGTCTTGCAAGGGGAACCCGTCCATGGAACTCAAATGGCCAACTTGATTTTGGAGTAATTTGCTGACAGGAGTCGAGGTCAGAGTCGCTGACTGCACTTTCTTCTGGAAGGTTCCCAGGCTGCTGTTTACCCTGATTCCTGGCCATTCCTCATATTTCCTACAACTGTTTTTCTAGCCTACTTAGTTTGGTGACATTCATGGGGAAAATATCACAGCGGGCAGGAAGTTTTTGCTCAAAACTCAAACAAAGAGAAGGAAAGCAAGAGCAAAGGGAAAGAAGATTGAAAAAAAAAAAGACTTTGAGAAATACTGAGCGCTCCCGTTAAGCAAATAATTTCCCAAGGTTTCTTAACATACAAGGAAACGCGATCACTGCAAAAATAATCCAAGTTGAGGAAAATACCCGTTTCAGATTTATTTTCTGTACTTGTGCTGGACTCAGTGCACAATGAGGTTCCTGGTATCTGCTGATGTCCGGGCCCCAGGGGAGCCCCTGCTTGAGAGAATTCTGGACACCTAGGAGTGTCTTATCATTGTTTCCCTCTCCTGGGCTCAAGAAGTAGGGTGCTGGGTTTGTTTTTTTTCTGTTTCTTTCCCTGTGCAGGCTTCTAATCAAATGGGAAGTAGAATATGAGGGAATGTCTTTCTTGGAACCAGTGGCTGGATTCTTGTCACCTGTTAGGGCTCGGCCCAAAGTCACCTCCTCAGGGAAGCCTTCCCTGATCTTCCCATATAATTACCCCTCCCCCTTCCCCAGTCACTCTGTATTTTCTCACCCTGTTGATGGTCTTCACAGAATGAATCACCACCAAAAATTAGAGGGTTCATTTCTTTTTTGTGTCTTCTACCTTGGCAGGCAACTCCACGGTGGATGAGATTTTACCTGTGTTATTCACCAACCCGTTCCCAGTACCTGGAAGAATGTTGGACACATAGTAGGAGTTCAGTAAGTATTTGTTGAGTTAAACAGAATCCTTAATCTAAAAGCATTTAAGAAGAAATAATAGAAAATGCCATTGCATTCCAGAAAGAGTGGTCTCTAACTCCTGGGAGTTTCTTTATGGAAAAAGTTACATGCTTTGATTTTTTTTTTCCTATAGGTGATTCAATGAATGTACCTCTTATTTAAAGCACAGCATGAACTACTCAGGATCCTGGGGAAGAATACAATGAGGGAATTGTGTCAAGTCAGTCCTTGGCACGCTGTCTGATACACTGGGAGTGCTCAATGAATATTGGCATTTAATAATAATAACTCACACCGAGCTTATCATTTTCATACATGCTGCTATGAATCTATGACTTCCATTTCCAGGCCTTGTGGGTTTTTATTTGTTTGTTTGTTTGTTTTTGACAGAGTCTTGCCCTGTCGCCAGGCTGGAGTGCGGTGGCTCGATCTCAGCTCACTGCAACTTCTGCCTCCCGAGTTCAAGCGATTCCCCTGCTTCAGCTTCCTGAGTAGCTGGGATTACAGGTGCACGCCACCATGCCCGGCTAATTTTTTGCATTTTAGTAGAGATGGAGTTTCACCGTGTTGACCAGGATGGTCTCAATCTCGTGATCCACCCGCCTCGGCCTCCCAAAGTGCCGGAATTATAGAGATAAGCCGCTGCACCTGGCCCCTTCTGGTTTTTTAAGACGTTGTTTGATCTCTGTTACAATTCATCTTGTTCTGCTCTGCCAAAAATATTTCATGGTTTACCAGACTGTTCTCCCCAGCTTTGTATCATTTTTTAATGTGATCAGCCTAGGTTTTGAAGGCCTTGTGAAAAATCATTAATGAAAACACTGAACTGAGTGAAACAAGGGTAGAGCCCTGTGACATACCATTAGAGACCTTTCAGCAGGTTGGCATCAGCCACATGAAATCAGCCCTTCTTGGTTCCTCACTGTAATGGTTATGAAACCATTTAATCATGCTCTTACCCAGCTCACATTTCTCTATCTTATTTATGGGAAACAGAGGCAAAGTTTTTGATAATGCAAGCTGAACTTCAGATATCCTTATACTACAAAATTCCTCTCTGTATCACTCGTGTAACCCTATCAAATATATAAAAGGCATTTGTCAGGTGTGACTTGTTCTATGTGAACTCATAGCAGCTTTCAGAGACCACTTTTATTTTCTACATTTGAAAATGATTCTGTTAGTAACAGTGTTAGTCAGCTTCAGCTAAGTTCTGCCACAGTAACATACAGCCCCTGGCTCTCAGTGGCTTATAACAACAAAAGCTTATTGCTAACCCCACAAGTCCATTGCAGGCTGGCTGAAGTTTTTCTGCATATCAATCTTCATTCTAGGGACCCAGGCTAAAGGAGCAGTCCCTCTTGGAGTCATGTCAGTCTTGTGGTAGGGAGAAAAGAGAAGCGGAGGACCTCATGGTAGCTCTTGGGGATTCTGCCCAGAAGTGAAGCATGTTTCTTTTGTTCATACCTATTGGCCAAAACAAGTCACATGGTGAAGCCTGCTATCAACGGAGCAAGGACATACAGAAGTGTGGGATGCAGCCCCAGGGAAGGGCAGTGGCTATTTGGAACCATAATACAACCCCCCAGCTACATATTACTATGTACTTGAAGAGCAGAATCCACCTCCTACCTCTTTAGAAAATTGGGGTATTTTCCCAATACTATAGTGTCTGGAGTTATCAAAGCAGCAACAGCTCACTCATCTCATCTATCAGCATTCTGACAACTCTGGAATATAATTTGGATATTTTTGGGGTCACCCACCCCTGCAAGTGCCCGGTAGGTCAGGGTCTCCCCATAAATATCCAGATTATACCCTAGAGTTGTCAGAATGCTGATAGATGAGACAATTGAACTGCTGTTAGTTTGATAACTCCAGACACTGTAGTATTGGGAAAATATCCCAATTTTCTAAAGAGGTAGGAGGTGGAGTCCACTGTTCATGTATGTCATAACATATAGCTGGTAGGTTGTATTGTTGTTCAAAATAGCCACTGGCCTCTCCCTACAGATCGCCATCTAACATACTATTTATTACTTGGAAAAGTGACTTAGCCTCCCTTGCCTCAGTTTCCTTGTCTGTAAAATGGGGCTCATAACAGCATCTACCAAATAGGGTTGTTGTAAAAACTGAGTGAGTTCGTATGTGGGAAGCATGTCAAGCAGTGGTTGGCACAAAGTGAGTGCTGTCGCAGTGTTAGCTGTGGTGATTGTCATCGCCGTCATCATCATACGTGCATCCACTAGAGGGGCATCGATGGCGATTGTAACTTGGGCAGTGGAGGGAGACCAGAGCTGGTTAGGGTGCTACCCACCCAGCCCCCAGAGCAGACAGACCCCCAGGACACTGACTGCCAATCACATCACGTTTTCTCGACCTGAAAAATAACCAGCTGTGCAAACAATGCGCGCTTCCTTCCAGGGCTGCTGGGAAACCACTGAGGGGCGGTGCCCTGGTGAGCTTCCCCAGCCCTTGTCAGTCCTCCTTGGGGAGAAGGTCCAAGACTGGAATGCCCCAGAACCCATTGGCTGGTGAGGGAGAAGCTCCTGGCCTCTTCTTTGGCTGGTGAGGGAGAAGCTCTTGGCTCCCACAGGCCGGCAGCTGTGGGGAGAGCAACATTCCAGCAAAAGGCAGAGCAGGCAGGCTCAGGCTGGGGACCCACGCCGGCTGCCCGGGACCCACGCTGGCTGCCTCAGGACTCATGCCGGCTGCCCGGGACCCACACTGGCTGCCCTGGGATCCACGCTGACAGGACTCACACTGGCTGCCCGGGGCCCCTTCCTGTGCTCAGCCGAGACCCACGCTGGCTGTCCCAGGACCCACGCTGGCTGGACTCATGCTGGCTGCCCGGGACCCACGCTGGCTGCCTGGGCCCCTTCCCGTGCCCCGTTGGGCTCCTCTCAACCCATGTTTTACCCCGTTTCTGCAGAGAGCAGCTCCCCGCAGGTGCCATGGGATGGCTCTCACCTTAGTGCACACCCCGCACCTCTTGCTTCCTCCCCCAGGGTTTTGCGGATGCTGCGGTGTGTGTTGTACCTGCAAGAACCTGCTTGGACCCCCTGCCTGGGAAACCCAGGAGTGTGAGGGCAGGGCTGACATATACAGAGCCCCCCTCCCCGCCCTGTGACCAATGGGGGGCAGCGGCTGATAGACAATGCTTCCCTTTTCATCTGCGGGGGAACACTTCTGCGGCTGCTTTCAGGAGACTCCTGGGCAGCTCCCGCTGGATGCTGCACCAGCCCCTAAGGATCTGTTCATGGGCGCCCCCTCCTTCACTTCCCAGCCCCAGCCCTGCTCCTGGGCCCGATTCCCACACACGGCCTCTCACCAGCCTTCAGCTACAGCTCTGCTTGAGGGGCGAGCCCAGGCTGATACTGGTTTTCTCCCACTGTTCCTAATCTACCCCCATCTCTTATGCACGAACGTGTGTGCACGCCAATGCACATGAGTGCATTTACACACGCGCTCACACACGCGTGCACACGCGCACACACATGCACACACGCATGCACACACACACACATGCACACACACACAGGTTTGTGCTCCTCTCAGCCTCCAAACATAAACCAAACCACATCTGCAGGGAGACGATTTTCCGAGCGACAACCACAATTTAGCAAATGGAGCACAACCAGCTCCCCGCGGGCAAGGGCTGCATCTGCCATCGGCTGTGCTGTGCCCTGATGAGGACCAAGGTGGCGGGTGTGTGACCACTGAGACAGAGAGGTTTCACAGGGATGGGAGGGGTGCAGTCTGTTGGATGAGCCGTAGATTCGAGACCCTAAATTGCTGTATTTTCCTTCTCCTGGTGGAATGAATGCAGCCTCAGACAGATGCTGCCCCGCAGCTGTTTGTGGCAGGGGGCCCCGTGGCAGGCCAGTGACTTTGAAACGGGGGATTGGAATGGAGTCTGACAAAGGGGCCACTGTCTTTGAGGGAACTTGACTGAGCCCAGCACAGCCCGAGCAGCGGGAGTTTGCACAGCTGCGGCTGGAAGCAAACATGTACTTTTAGCTGACCTGGGCCCGTGGCTTTGGGCATTAAACCTGACACTTTCCAGATGTGCGGGGCCCTCCCTTTGGCACCGTGCACAAACACTCTGTCCCCAGGTACACACACACTCACACACACACTCAGGCACTGGCAGCGCAGCTCTGTAAATGCGGCATTGTGCTGCAGACCCAGGGCCCCTCGACAGATTCCACACCCAGACCCGAAGGGGAGGCCCCGGGCTGGGCTGGAAATTTATGAGCTGGATTTCAAAATAGTTCAAGTTCAAAGTCAGCTCAACAGCAGCTGCCTCCCTGACCACCATCATTCTTCATGCCTGGCTCCAGGTTGGGTGGTAAGGGGATGCTGAACATGCCTTCCAGAAGGTTCTTTTCTACCCATATTAGCATGGACCCCGAGAGCTCCAGCACCAGCGAGAGAGAGGCTCAGCAGGAGTTTGGGGAGCCAGGAGGGTACCCCTAATTGGCCACTCTCCCTCAGCATTGTTTGCACAAAGCCCCTGGGGCCCTGAGTCTAGGGGCAAGCCACAGTGTGGCCCACGGCTGCTCCGGGGTCTCCAAGGGCCTTACAGGCCACACTTGCCTGGCTCAGGCCCCTCCCTCCAGCTCCGTGCTCTGAAAACTGCCCTGCTCAGCAGTCCTAGCTGGAGGGTGGGAGGAAACAGATGTGCCAGGGCCCTGTGCTGACGGAGGCCACGTGACCGCAGGTTGGCGGGGACACTTGTATGGTCTCTTCCTCCCCAGTGAAGAAGAGGAGGAGGAGGGGGGTGGAGAGGAGGAGGCAGAAGAGGAGGAAGAGGGAAGGAAAAGAGGAGGAAGAGGAGGAAGAGGAGGAGGAGGAAGAGGAAAAGGAGAGAGGGGAGAGGGGGAGGAGAAAGAGGAAGAGGAGGAGGAGAAGGAAGGAGAGGGGGAGAAGGAGGAGGAAGAGGAAGGAGAGGAGGATGAGGGAAGGAAAAGTGGAGGAAGAAGAGGAGGAGGAAGAGGAGGAGGAGAGAGGGGAGAAGGGGAGAAGGGGAGGAGAAAGAGGAGGAAGGGGGCGGAGATCGGGACTGTAGGGGCAGCTTGGGCAGGAGGTGGCTTTCCCTGCTGGGTAAGTCCCCAGGGCCAACAGCAGGAGAAGCCCGACGGGGAGGGTGTGGCTTCCCTGCTGGGCTCGGGTACAGGAGAGGCTGTCCTCCCTACCTTGCTTGTGTGTGGCAGGTCCTGGGTTGTGGAGGCAGCCCAGGAAAGCCGTTAGCCAGGGACAGCACCGACTCACAGGCTGCTTATCCTCCTGGGACGAACCTGAGGATCCTGGAGATGCTCGCCAGCTCCCAGGATCTGGAAAGGACACTGGGAGGCTCAGTAACACCAGAACCCACACCTGGCAACCCCCTTTATCTTCCTTCCTCAAACACTTAACTAAGTCCCTCTGTGGGCTCCGGGTGTAGAATCTACCATTTCTTGTTATCTTCTTCATTCTTATTGGGGTGCAATTTTCACAGGTAAAGGGCACACACTGTGAAGGTGCAGCTTGGTACGTTTTTACAAATATGCCCCTACGTGACCACCACCCAGGTAAAAGCACAGGACACCGCCCACGCCCCAAGGGCTCCCTCGCTCCCCCTCCCAGGTGGCGACCCCCAGAGCATCCATTATGTTGACTTTCATCATCACTGATGATTTGTGCCTAAAGACGAACTAAGCTTCATCTTTTTCACCTAAACAAAGATGTAGAATAACTGGATCAACTGTAGATGCACCTTACAACGTGGGCTCTTTGTGCCCAGCTTCTTTTTTGGCCAACATAATACTCTTGAAATCCACCCGTGTTGCTGAGTGTGTTGGTAGTTTGTTCTTTTACTTGCTGAATGATATTCTTTTGTATGAATATACCATCATATGCTTTGTCCATTCTTTAGCTTGTGGTCATTTGGCTTATTTCCAGTTTGGGGTTATGAATAAAACTGCAACGGATATTCTTGTATTCTACATGTCTAAGAAACTATTTCTAATCCAAGTACCTTGAAGTATCTATCCCATCTAGCTAGCTATTTATCTATCATGTATCTTGATCTATCTATGTATCTATCATTTATCTTGATCTATCATCTGCCTATCTTGATCTATCATCTCTTGATCTATCATCTGTCTTGATCTATCTATCTTGATCTATCTACCATCTATGTATGTATGTATGTATCTATCTAATCTATCTATCTATCTATCTATCTATCTATCTATCTATCTATCTATGTGTTTGTCCGCCCATCTATCTATCTATCCATCCATCTGTTTGTCCATCCATCCACCCATCCATCCATCCATCCATCCATCCCTCCCTAGCACCTGCCAATCTCTGTATAACTGGAGGTCACTCATACTCGGAACAAGGTAACTCCTCTTTGGCTGCCCTTTCTTCTTTGTCTTTACCACTAAATGTTTTCAGGCCCACCCTGGACAAGGTCCACGCTAACCACATCACACGCATCATCTCATTGAACCTTGCCATCAGCCCGAGGGCAGGGATGATTTCTATAGAGGAGGAGAGAGGCTGAGTGAGGTGGGGTGACAGGCCTGAGGTTCCTGTGCTCACCAGCAGCGAAGGTGACATTAGAACCCAGGTGTCTCTCCTGCTGGAGCTTGGGCTCCACCTCTGGCACTGGTGGTGCGTGGCTGGACTGAGTGATGTCTCCCCTCTGCCAGCGCTTTCCATTCACAAGGACTTTCACAGCCACTGTGTGGGTTCCTCTTGTGGCTGTGACAAACTATCACAAACTTAGTGACTTTATTCTATTTTATTTTTTTGAGACAGGCTTGCTCTGTCATGCAGGTTGGAGTGCAATGGCATGATCCCAGCTCACTGCAACCTCTGCCTCCCGGGTTCCAGCGATTCTCCTGCCTCAGCCTCCCAAGTAGCTGGGATTACAGGTGTGCAATACCGCTCCTGGTTAATTTTTGTATTTTTAGTGGAGACGGGGTTTCACCATGTTGGCCAGGCTGGTCTCGAACTCCTGATCTCAGGTGACCCGCCCGTCTCGGCCTCCAAAGTACTGGGATTACAAGAGTAAGCCACTGCACCCGGCCCAAACTTAGTGACTTTAAAAACACACACATTTGTCATCTTCCAGCACTGTAGCTCTGACACGGGTCTCACAGGGCTAAGACCAAGGTGTCAGCAGGGCTGGTTCCTTCTGGAGGCTCTGGGGGGAATCATCTCCTTAACTTTCCAGCTCTGGTGCCCACCCACCAGCCCCAGGCTCACGGCTGAGTCCTTCTCATGCTACCCTCTCTAGATCTGCCCTCCATGGCCACATCTTCCTTTGGCTCTCTCTACTTCTGCCTCTCTCTCTCTCTCACTTTTAAGGACATTGTGATGACACTGAGCCCACCCAGATAATCTAGGACAACATCTCCATCTCAGGGTCATTGATGAGCAACTTTAATTCCCCTCTGCCACGTAACCCAACATATTTGCAAGTTCCTGGGATGAAGGTGGGGATGCCTTTTGGAGAGGGCCATTATTCTGCCTAACACATGCATTTTTCAGATCTGCTGCAAGCCTGCTTGGGTAGATGCAAGCTCAGAGACGTTAAGCTTGCAAGTGGCTGAGCCAGGACTGGAATTGAGGTCATCCAGATCCAGGTTTTCCCACCACTTACGATGCCTCCCTGGGTGATGGATAAGGCCCAGTCCCGTACTACCATTCATAGAAATATGATGCGGCCATAGTTTGAAATATGAACTCCTTTCCCTGGTTTTCTGCTAGTACAACTTCAGGGAAGGGTTGTTCCAGCAGAAATACAGAGAAGAACAAAAGATATTAATTTTTGTCTCTTGAGCATCAAAAGTTGGGATTTGGGCCTAAATGGGAGATTGGATATTCCCAGGGCCAATACAGCCCTCTCTCTACTCTTGCCAAGAGAGAATGGAAATTCCTCAGAGAAGGGGATCACAGAGGCAATTAGCCAGGACATCAGAGAGGGGCTGCTCCCCACCTCCTGTACTCCATCTCAGGCTCGGAACACCATGCTGAGATGAGGTGGTCCCGGGACTTGAGAACCAAGAAGACCAGAGCCTTGTTTTCTAGAAGTTTCCTCATACCAGCTTGCACAGGATCAGAAACACTCTGAGGAGTGGGGCAGTAGGTCCGTATTCTTTCCCATGGGTGCCCTGTGGCCCCAGAGTTTGGCGTGAGAGTATCTGAGGGTCCCTGGGGAGTACCCGCCCTCCCCTCCCCCAGAAGGGCCTGGCAGTCCTGAGGTACAAGGACTTGAAGTGAAGACTAGGAAAGAAAGGGGCCCCTTAAACTGTGGGACCAGCGACCCAGTCCACACAGGAAATTTGGAAATGTCAGCAAATGTCGGAGGGCTTCCCTGCTCAATATCCCCAAAGACCTTGTAGATCTCAAACCCAACCCCACTAAGGAATGGAAGGAGATACCATAAACTGCCCCCAGAACATTCTGATTTTAACAAAATGACCCTATATTGGCTGAGGTTCTGTTCTGCCAAGAGGTGGATTGGGGGCTTCGCACAGAAATTGAGTTAGAGAAAAATGAATTTATTTTGGAGAGCGGCATGTCTGAGCTTGTGGACCAGAAGTTGTGACCTGTCTCAGAAAATATAGAATTCACTGGGTCCTGAAGCACTGAGCCACACTGGAGCTCAGGGGTCTTTGAGGAGAGGCAGTTGTGTTAGGTGATGACAATGGCTCTGAATCTTTGTCCCTGTCCCAGACCCAAGATCTCTGCTTTAGAACCTTGCAGCACTTTCTTATCCGGACTCTGGGCCCACCCATGTGCCTTGCTTTGGCCAATAGAACTGAGGTAGATATGGTGGTGTAGCAGTTCCCAGCTAGGCCTCAAGGGGCCTTCCAGGTTTCCTGTTGCTCTTGTGGGCCTCTGTCATCACCATGGGAACTTGCCCAGGCTAGTCCTTGTCACTCCTGCTGAGGTCAGCCTAGATCAGTCAACAGTCAGCTGGCCCCCAGACACATGAGTGAGCCCAGCCAGACAGTCAAGCCACTAAACTGGCCCCTCACTGATTCCATAAGTGTGTGCAATGAACTGAGGTCTTACGACCATTACGTGGCATTATTGTGGCAATGGAAAACTGATACAAAGGTGTTAGGGAAAGCTTCTTGCAGGACAGGATGAAGCTTCCCTGAGATCACTTTGGGGCAAGATTTTGCCCAAGAAATTAATAATCAAATATTCTGAACATTAAAATGATTTGTTCCGATTTAATTTTTTGTCTTCCTGTCTTCGTCTGTTTTGTGTTGCAATATAGAATACCACAGACTGGGTGATTTTTTTAAATTTTATTTTATTTTTTGAGACGGAGTCTCGCTCTGTCGCCAGGCTAGAGTTCAGTGGCACGATCTCGGCTCGCTGCAAGCTCCGCCTCCCGGGCTCACGCCATTCTCCTGCCTCAGCCTCCAGAGTAGCTAGGACTACAGGCGTCCACCACCAGGCCCGGAGAATTTTTTGTATTTTTAGTGGAGACGGGGTTTCACCATGTTAGCCAGGATGGTCTCGATCTCCTGACCTCGTGATCCACCCGCCTCGGCCTCCCAAAGTGCTGGGATTACAGGCATGAGTCACTGCGCCCGGCCCAGACTGGGTGATTTATAATGAAGGGGAATTTATTGTCTTATGGTTCTGGAGGCTAGGAAGTCCAATATCAAGGTGCCAGCATCTGGTGAGAGCCTTCTTGCTGTGTCATAACATGGTAGAAGGCACTACATGGTGGGAGGGCAAAGAGGGAGAGAAAGAGAGGTAGTGGAGGGTGGGAAGAAAGAAAGAGAGAGAGAAAGAGGTAGAGGGAGAAGGCTGTCTCCTGTAACTCCTTGTAAGGGCACTAATCCCATTCACAAGGGCTCTACCCCCATGACCTAATTCTCAAAGGCCCCACCTCCTAATGCCATCACATTGGTGACTGAAGTTTCAGCATACGAATTTTGGGAGAACACATTCAGTCCATTGCAGTCATGGTGAAAAACAGTGTCTGAATCCTTCAAAATAATGATCAAAGAGGTTCTTTATTTAATTGAGAAGGGCTAACCCTTTCATCTCCACTATCCGTCAGGAATGGGTGAGGTGGGCCCCCTCCAACGCCATTTGCAGCCTTACCAGCCTCCCCATCAGCTGAGCGCTGGGCAGGTAGGACACCAGGCTGCAAAGGCCCCTGATGCTGAGTCCTGGGACACCATTCACTTTATTCTACAGTGAGCCCTGGTCCAGGCTAGTCTGCCTCCTCCCAAGGGGGATGATGTCCTGGAGGCTCTGGGTAACCCATGCCAGCTTCCCTGCCCCTCTGGGCCACTCTGCAGATCGGGCCCAATTTCCACTGCCCCAGCCAGCTCACGGATCCTCAGGATGAATTGCCACATTCTTCTCAGCAGACAGCCCCTTACATGCTCCACCTGTCTGCTTCCCACCGGAGCTCTGAATCCCCCTTTTGTGGAGCTGGTGGGGAGAGTGAGACATTTGGAGCTCTTGAACGATATTCTCTCAGCCCTGCCCGAGGACAAGGGCACCCCAGCATGTTGACTTGGTGTCTCCCAGGAAGGAAATGAGCAAAAAAAAGCCCTGAGCCGTGGCTCTCAGACTCGGGGAGTCTCGTTCCAGGCTCATTCTGGGAGAAGACTCAGATACACGGTTTTGTGATGCTGCTGGCAGCCTGCACATACATCATTTGAGGGTGAGCTTTTGTGCCTGGGGTGTTTGAGAAACACAGCCCTATTACGTGCTGAAGGACGTGACAGTGAGGTGAACTCCCGTGAGTTAATACACACACACACATGCACACATACACAGGAACACACACAGGGACAAATGACAGGCAAATAAGGGCTCTGGAGTGGATTAAATGGTGTCCCCTAAAGATATACTCAAGTCCTAGCTTCAGGTACCCACGAATGTGACTTAACTTGGAAAGAGGATTTTTGCAGATGTGATGAAGTGAAGAGGAGGTCGTACTGGGTTAGGT
Organism: Homo sapiens; assembly: GCF_000001405.40. Taxonomy (NCBI): domain Eukaryota; kingdom Metazoa; phylum Chordata; class Mammalia; order Primates; family Hominidae; genus Homo; species Homo sapiens. The sequence goes on along the minus strand of NC_000012.12, from coordinate 124,271,732 downwards.
GGGCCCTGATCAAGGACTGTCCTTACAAGAAGAGGAGAGTGTAATCCCAGCACTTTGGGACCCCAAGGCAGGTGGATCACTTGAGTTCAGGAGTTTGAGACCAGCCTGGGCAACGTGGTGCAACCCTGTCTCTACAAAAAATACAAAAATTAGCCAGGTGTGGTGGTACATGCCTATAGTCCCAGCTACTTGGGAGGCTGAGGCAGGAGGATCGTTTGAGTCCAGGGATGCAGAGGTTGCAGTGAGCAGAGATCCTACCATTGCACACCAGCCTGGGCAAAACAGCAAGATCCTGTCAAAAAAAAAAGGAAGAAGAAGAAGAAGATGAAGAGGAGAGAATACAGACACACGAGGGACACCACATGAAGACAGAGGCAGAGATTGGAGTGGCGCAGCTACCAGCCAAGCAACGGCAGAGATTGCCAGCAACCACCGGAAGCTGGGCTAGAGGCCCGGGACAGATTATTCCGTAGAGAACTTCGGAGGGAGTGTGGCCCTGTGGACCCCTCAATTTCAGCCTCTGGCTTCCAGAACTGTGAGACAATGAACTTCTGTTGCTTCAGGCCTCCTTGTCATGGTGATTTGTCCCAACAACCTTAGCAAGTCCTGTGAAAAGGACCAGGAAAAGCAGGAAAAGAAAGAGACCTCCGTCTCTCGTAGCCTTCCCCTCCTTTCAGGCTAACAATTTTGCATGTTGTGAATGCTCTATTTGCTGGGGCACTTCTTTATCTACTTAAATATTTGCCAGGTGGTGAGGGGCCTGGGCTTACACTGGTGCTGGGATGGGACTGTTTCACTCGGAGTTGACATCAAAGTCATTGCAACGCCCCTCTAAGGCCCTGCAAGGCCCAGCTCCACCCTCGTCCTTCACTCTGACCCAGGCAGTGCTCTCTCCTCCGCCCAACCTGCCCTAGCCACCCAGGCCCTCCTGCTAGTCCTGGGATACACCAAGCTCGCTCCTGCCCCAGGCTTTACACTCATCTTCTCCCTGCCGGGACACTTTCCCCCAGATCTCTGCATGTCTTGTTTCCTCACTTCTCTCAAGTCTCTGCACATCTCAGGAAGGACTATGGCCCACTCTATCTGCATTTCAACTCATCTCCCCCACCCTCACTTGGCCTGCCTGCCCACCTTGTTCTTCTCTGTTTGATCCCATGCAACTTCTACCTTCTAGCAGATTCTATAATTGACTTATTTACTGTGTTTGCTACTGACTGTCTGTTTACCCTGTCAGCACATAAACTCCCCAAGGGCAGGGTTTTGTTTTGTTTTTTTTTTCCCAGAGTTTCGCTCTTGTCGCCCAGGCTGGAGTGCACTGGCATGATCTTGGCTCACTGCAACCTCCGCCTCCCAGGTTCAAGCGATTCTCCTGCCTCAGCCTCCAGAGTAGCAGGAATGACAGGTGCCCACCACCACGTCTGGCTGATTTTTGTATTTTTAGTAGAGATGGGGTTTCACCACGTTGGCCAGGCTGGTCTTGAACTCCAGGGCAGGGATCTTTGTCTGTCCTGCCCACTACTCTATCCCCAGCACCTAGAATAGTACTTGGCACACAGAAAGTGCTCAGTGAATACGTGTTGAATGTGGAGTGAATGACAAAGCATGTTTCCCCCTCCAAAGCCTCACACTCTGGTGGTAAAGCCTGAGTGTGTACAGAAAGATGTATAGCCTGGTGTAGGTGCTAGAATTCAGACATGCGCACATGAGATGGAGAAACCAAGGGAGGAACATGGTTAGCTGGGGCCACACTGCATCTGGAAGGAGAAATTCAGCACGTTCTGGGCATGGGGCTGGAGGAGAAAGATGCATTCCAAGGTCTGGGGATCTCACCTTGATTTCAGATCTCAGGCCCCCAGACCAAAGATTCCCAGTGGCCATGACTCAGGGAGTCTACCTGAGACTAGAAAGGTGGCTTCCTCTTTGGAGAGAGTCAAAGTTCCTGGGCCAAATTCCTTTATCTGTCAATGGGAACAATAACTAAAATACCTAAGACAGGTATGAAGATGAAAAGAGAAGGAATCGAAACGCTCGGTTACATTCCTGACACATGGGAGGAGCGGTGGGTCTAGGATCTGTGTGGATGAGGGTTAGGGGCAGCTGTCAGGAAAAGGGACCGAGGGACTCATCTGCAAGTTGGGTTTGCATAAGGGATGAGCTTCCTGTGGCTACTGTTCCAAATTCCCATAAACGTAGTGGCTTAAAGCCGCTAAGCCACACATTTATTCTCTCATCATTCGGGAGGTCAGAAGTGGGAAATGGGCCTAAAATCCAGGCGCCGCGGGGCTGTGTTCCTGGTGGAGGCTTTTGGGGAACATCCATTCCTTGACTTTTCCAGCTTCCAGAGGCTGCCTGTGTTCCTTGGCTCTTGGCCCCTTCCTCTGTCTTCAAAGCCAGCAGCATGGCATTCCCCAGGCTCTCTCTGACTCAGACCCTCCTGTCTCCCACTGTCACTTCTAAGGATGTTTGTGATGACATCGGGCCACCCCAGATACTCCAGGAGAATCTTCCCATCTGAGGATCCTTGGCTTACTCCCATCCGCAGTGTCCCCTTTGCCATGGAAGGTAACATAGACTCAGGGTCTGGGATTAGAACATGGACATCTGCAGGGGCTGTTCCATAGCAAGCCCACTATTGTTAGTTAGATTGACTGGGGTGGTTTGGGAGAGGAGGGTATTAGTGGGGATGACGGGAGCTGATATGGTTTGGCTCTGTGTCCCCACCCAAATCTCATCTAAAATTGTAATCCCCATGTGTCAAGGGAGGGATCTGGTAGAATGTGATTGGATCATGAGGACAGTTTCCTCCATACTGTTCTTGTGATACTGAGTGAGTTCTCATGAGATCTGATGGTTTAAAAGTGTTTGGCAGTTCCCCCTCCCTCTCTCCTGCCACCTTGTGAAGAAGGTGCCTGCTTCCCCTTCACCTCCCGCCATGATTGTAAGTATCCTGAGGCCTCCACAGCCATGCAGAACTGTGAGTCAATCAAATCTCTTTGCTTTGTAAATTACCACTACCCAGTCTCAGGTAGTGTCTTTATAGCAATGTGAGAACGGACTAATACAGGAGCCATTACCAAGGAAAGCTCTCCATAAGTGTTTGCCATTGTTGCTATTGATATTATCACTGGATGACTCAAAGAGATCTGAACTAACCCTCCACCGCAGGACAGAGCCACAGACACACCATTGGAAGAAATATCAACAAAGACATGCACCAACATAATACACAAATTAGGGCGGCCCTCTGAAGATGTTTACAAGGGGAAAAGTATTAGAAGTTCCTTTAGAGGAGAAACATCCTGCCATGAAGGTGAAAATGTGGACCCTGAGTTAAGATGGGGGCTTGGGAGGACCTTCAGGACTTTCTCATGAGAGTTTTTGCTGAAACAGGTAAAATAAAGCTTGGTCTTGCCCAACACATTAGGAAAGGCCAGGTTTCAACTCTTCTCTCGTCTGGGGTCATAGGAGGCTCCTGTCCCATCCCCAGAAGCTTGACTTCCCAACTGTCAGGGCCTCCACTTGGCTTCGGAAACTCAATCCAGTGTCTTAGGAAGCAATATGATGGGTAACGATTTAAGGAAAGCTGAGCTCTTGCTTGTCAGATTCTATTTAGAACAAATTATTTCTGTTTCTCTGGGATAAGCTATATAGGCTGCGCTTCACCTGTACCATTCCTGGGACCCTGGTGCCCAGAGGGGCTGGGCTACAGCAACAATCCCAGGAACTCCATGAGAATAGAATTGGATTTAGGGCCCATCCTACTCCAGTACAACCTCACCTTAACTGATCACACCTGCACACTCTATTTCCAAACATGGTCACAGTCTGAGGTTTAGGGTAGACTTGAATTTGAGTCAAGGAGACTCTTAATCCATCACAGTGACCTTTTAGGTACTCTCTAGCTCTCCCATCTCTGGGCCATAAATACACATTTTAAATTCCAGGTTAGCTTTTCCCCACATGAAAATCTTCTCCTCACCTTTAACTGGTAGGTGGGTCTCAATTGATTGAGAACCAATATAACTGGTCACATAGGGTAATGAATCTACCCCCAAAATATCAGAACCTGCATCCTAAAGACAAAAAACAAATGCTTTCTAGGCTATTTTAAATTATGAGTTTCTGTCATAGCCTAGTTAGTAAAAGGCTGGAGTCTCTTTTTTATTAATCAAAGTTAAACGTACTTTTGCTAGGGTTAGAGTTGGGGTTAGGGTTAGGGTTGGGGTTGGGGTTAGGGTTAGGGGTTAGGATTAGGGTTAGGGGTTAGGATTAGGGTTGGGGTTAAGGTTAGTGTTAGGGGTAGGGTTAAGGGTAGGGCTAGTGGTATGGTTAGGCTCAGGGTTAGGGTTGGGGTTAGGATTAGGGTCAGTGTTAGAATTAGGGTTAGCTTTTACCTTTGCCTTGTCCCCAGGAGAATCCATTAGACGAATTTACTCGAGAGAAATGAACACCTATGTCCACACAAAGATCTGTGCATGAATGCTCATAGAAGCTTTCTTTGCAACAGCTTGAACCTGGAAACAGCCGAAATATCCATCAACAGATGAGTGGATAAACATACCGTGGTGTAATTGTACTAAGAAGTGCAGTGAACAGTAATGATGAACTGAGTGTTGATATACCCAACAGCGTGGGGCGCCTCACGTGTCCGACGATGATGAAGGGAACCAGACACAAAAGGGAACCCGCTGTGATTCTATTTATGGGAAATTCTACAAAGGTCCGCATAGTGGTTACACCTGGAGGGATGATTTAGAAGAGGCAGGCAACGATGGACGGTTCTAAATCTCGATTAGGGTGTTATTTACCCAGGCGTATACTTTTCTCAAATCCCCATAAGTTGTACACATAAAATCTGCGCATTTCATGGATCTGTGTGCAAATGACACCTCCATTCTTGAAAAGCACTTTCGAGATTTATTTTCGAGGACACCGCCAAGACACAACTGTTCTCTCGGGGAGCTCCTTCTCGCTGCTGTTGTGTGTGTTCACAGCAGCCTCCCACCTGGAGCAGGGGAAGCCCCGAGCGGCTGGACCCACACCTGCAGCAAAGCCAATGACCACCCCCACTTCCCGCCTCCTGGTCCCCACTCTTACTCCATGGCTTTTGGGATGCTATGGACAGACGGAGAAGCAGGAGGTTCTGGACTGAAATCCTGAGCAAGTTCCCAATGTCCTGAGACCCTCAGGGCCGCATGGTCCCTCCACACCCGGCAGTGGAATCCAGGATCCTCAGAGGCACCGTGTCTCACCTGTGTTCCCAACACTCCACCCTCACCACGATGTTCTGTAAGAGGATGGACACAGAGGCGGTGCGTCTTAAAATCCTTCTGGCTCCTAACATTTGGTGAGTTCCAACCAACAGCCTGAGCTATTCAATCACACTTTCACTTCTTTTGGCTCTTTGGTGAAATCCAAATAAGACCTGTATTTCAGTTAATAATATTGAGCCATGTCAATTTCCTGATTTGGACAATGGGCAGTGGGCAGGAAAGGTGCTGTCACTGGCGGGAGCTGGGGTAAGGGAACTCTGCTATTTTTGTGACTTCCTGTGAGTTTTAAACTATTTTAAAATGAAATGAGAAAGCAAACAGCAGCAACGAACTCTCTGGGCCCCTGCGATGTAGGTTGCCTAAGGTAGGAATATTTTATTAGTGTGTGTGTTTGCAGGTTTGTTTGTCTGTGTAGGAGGGTACAGTTCTCTGTGTCTTCTTCAGTGGGAAAGTTCCAGTATTACTGGTAGACAGGCCACACAGTGCAGTGGTTACATGCCTGGGCTCCTAGACTGCCTGGTTTTGAACCTCATATCTATGACTTACTCTCTGTGTGTTGTTGGGCAAGTTACCTAACCGTTCTGTCCTCGGTTTCCTTATCTCTAAAATGGGTGTCATTTTCCATGCCTGCCTCCTTGGGCCACTGTGGGGACAAATTGATTTCCAATATGTGTAAGCCCCAGAACAGTGTCTGATGCTTGGCCAGGGTGCCATAAATGGTGCGGCTTGTCACCTGTGAAGAGGTGCTTGCTCTGAGTCTGTCCCCTGGGGCCGAGGGTCTCCCAAGACTGTCTGATGCTCCATGTCATTCAGACCCTCGGGCATGTTTACAAGGAGACTGTCTTCGGCGTCTGGTGTCCCAACACTGTGACTAAAGCACCTACGGAATCATCCAGAACCCAGCCCAGGAGGCCTGGATGAGAAAGCACCCTCCCATGTTTATGACATCAGGAAACCCCAGGGCAGCACACAGGTGACCAAACAGCCACCAGCAGGTACCAGCCTCTCAGGAGCCACCGAGCCCTCCTCGCTAGCTTGAGGAGCATCCACACTCTCTCCCCATGCAAGTACACCAGTCCTGTATTTCTTAAAATAAAAATTATTTTGTTTTCAAGTGAGCTGGGAACACAGGGGTCACCACTGCAGAGTCAGGGTGGGGATGTCTGCTCTGGGCTGCTCTGAGGAAGTGAGTGTGGCCCCTTTCACAGAATCCAAGCCCCTGTCCCACCTTTGGAGGAAAGCCCCCACTCAGAGCCCAGAGCGGAGCACACCTTCGTTTCCAGACCCTGCTCTTGCTGGGCATTGGGTCATACACTAGTCTCCAGTGGAGGACCTGCTGTTCCCTGGGCTGTCGGGCCACACTCTGGCCTTGTGCCCTTTGAGCTGGGGCTGGGCCTGCACCCAGGGTGCAGCATGCAGGGGGTTAAGGGAGGCAACAGTAGAGAGAATGGACTGGAGGGGGTGGTACTGAAGTGAAGAGAGTTGGTTAGAGGCTACTGCACTAGTCCTAGCAATAACTGATAAAGGCCTGACCCAAGACGACAGAGCAAGAATAAAAAGGAGGAAGGCCGGGCACGGCGGGATCACGCCTGTAATCCCAGCAGCTTGGGAGGCCGAGGCAGGTGGATCACCTGAGGTCAGGAGTTCAAGACCAGCCTGGCCAAGATGGTGAAACCCCGTCTCTACTGAAAATACAAAAATCAGCTGGGCATGGTGGGGGGCACCTGAAATCCCAGCTACTCGGGAGGCTAAGACAGAGAATTGCTTGAACCCGAGAGGTGGAGGTTGCAGTGAGCCGAGATTTCACCACTGCACTCCAGGCTGGGCAACACAGTGAGACTCTGTCTGAAAAAAAAAGGAGGAAGTGGATGGGAGATGTACTTGGGTAAGATTGTGGATACATGTTGGCAACTGACCCCATGTGGTGTGGTGGGGAGAAGCAGGGGCTGAGATCTGGAGCCAGGGAACTGGGCGAATGGGGAGGCACAGGCAGAGGAAGATATGCAAGGCTTCAAGAAACAAGAGCATGAGCTTGGCTTGGAAATCCGAAGCTTAGGGGACCAGACGACTTCCAGGTGGAGGGGCCTGGCATGCTCCTGGCAATGACACTGGGCAGTTCCCAAACTTGCCCGATGTCAAGAATCACCCAAGGAGCTGATGAGAAACACAGTCCCCCGGGCCCCTCCCAAGGCCAACTGAGTTAGAATCTCCAGGGATGGAGCTGGAAGTCCATGGCTGATCAAGCACCCCCGTGATGCCCAGTGGAACAAGCTTAGTGTCACTGACATGGTGGAGTTAGGAAGACCAGGTTTACCTTGCAGTGCCATTCACCTAGCACTTATTTCAACATCAGCAACCTCTGAGAACTTGCTAGAGATACAGATTCTCAGGCCCCACCAAGGCCTGTCGGGGCGGGGGCAGGATCTGTGTTTGCACAGGCCCTCTGGGAATTCTGATGCACACTCATGTGTAAGAACCCCTGCCACATTTGATCTTCGGTAAGTCAGTCTCCCCGAGGACCGTTGGGAAGACGAAAGAAAGCTTCTAGAAGGAAGGGCTTTTTGCTCAGTGAGGCACCAGGCAAATTAGCTTTGGAGTCACTTCAGTCTCCACGCAGCCAGGGCCAGCCCTATGGGAGGTCAGCCCCAGAAATGGCTGAGATCGCAAAGAGGGCAAGTTTAGAGGTCAGAAGAGGAGAGCCGTGTCCCGAAAGACAACGGCAAGAAGCTTCTGGAAGGAGATGAAGAATATGGCAGGACCACAAAGGGGCCAGGGAGGGGCCCCTGAGGCAAGCCCCTGGTCCCCCTGAGTGGACCCCACTGCATGGAAGAAACTTCCTTATGGGCTGAGAAACAGGGAACCAGAGTGGGGGGTGGGGTCTCTTCCTGGTCATGGAGACCAGGAGAATTCGAGGGGCCAGGGGACGGGGACACCAGGCGCAGGGAGACGCCGGTGGGTATGGGGCAGCGATCCCCAGGGATAGGCGAGGCTCTGAAATTGTCCTCTACACAGCTGTGGGTTTCACAAAGGTGGGGCCTAGGTGGCGGGGGCATCTCTGTATCTTTATCACCTGGAGCTTTACCGCCTGACATGAGGCGAATGCTTGACAAACGTTTGTTGAGTGAATGAGTGACCAAGTGAAGAGCTGAAGGAATTAGGACATGGAGAGAGAAGGGCAGGAGAGAACTTGAGGTGCAAGAGAATACATCTTCAGACTGGGCGCAGTGGCACACACCTGCAATCCCACCCAGCGCTTTGGGAGGCCAAGGTGGGAGGATCACTTGAGGCCAGGGGTTCAAGACCAGCCTGGGCAACATGGTGAAAACCTGTCTCTACCAAAAATACAAAAATTAGCTGGACGTGGTGGCGTGCACCTGTAATCCCAGCTACGAGGCACAAGAATCACTTGAACCTGGGACGCGGAGGTTGCAATGAGCTGAGATTGTACCACTGCACTCCAGCCTGGGTAACAGAGTGAGACTCTGTCAAAAAAAAAAAAAAAAGAAAGAAAGAAAGAGAGAAAGAGAGAGAGAGAAAGAAAGAAAGGAAAGAAAGAAAGAGAGAGAGAGAAAGAGAGAGAGAGAGAAAGAAAAGAAAGAAAGAAAAAGAAAGGAAAGAAAGAGAGAGAAAGAAAGAGAGAGAGAGAGAAAGAAAGAAAAGAAAGAAAGAAAGGAAGAAAGAAAAGAAAGAAAGAAAGAAAGAAAGAAAGAAAGAAAGAAAGAAAGAAAGAAAGAAAGAAAGAAAATACATCTCCAGAGAGAAGCTCTTTCTAAGGCGTGCTGCTCGGCCATGGCACTGTGGCCCCACTTTAGAGACAGGGAAACCAAGGCACAGAGAGGTCGAGCTTGTCACCCAAGGCCACACAGCTGGCTAAAGATGGAATGGAATTGCACCAGCAGCCTGGCCATGGCCTGCTCACCTAACCGATGGGGTGAGGAAGGGGATATTTGGAGGCTGGAGAGAGATTCTGAGGTGGAGGAGGGAAAGGAAGACAGAGCCAGGCAGTCACACCAGTAGAGCAGGAGGCAGCAACTTCTGCGAGGGGCTAAAGGGAGTGGCCTCCACTCTTGGGAGAGTCTCTCAACTTGGCCTCCAGGGAGCAGAGGCCCAGTGTGGTCAGCTGAGGGGCCAGGCCTGGTTCGCGGCTGCTGAGCCAGGGTGCCTGAAAACTTCTGGTGTTTTCTTTTAGACCCAAGCCAGGCAGGGAGGAAGTTGGGGCCCTCTGGAGACACCTGAGCCAAGTAGGTGGACACCAACCAAACTCCACGCACCCCTAGCAGAGCAGCAGCCGCTGTGGCCCCAGGGTCATTCTGGGAGCCTTGTTGTGAACCAGTTCTGCTCGGTCTGGGGCAGCACATGCCCCCCGGGCCCGGTGAGGGGTGTGTGAGGGACAGAGGTCCTCTCTGCTCCGCGTTCCTCTGCCTGGAAGGCAGGCCAGGCGTGAGTGAGGTCTCCCTGGCCCCCAGGGCCCAGCTCAGCTGACCACACAGGCCTGTGTTCTGCCCCGGAGCCAGCGGACCCCCAGGAGAGAAATGCATGGCTCGGGGCCGGCCTGGGGATCCCACTGCCTGATCCCCAGGCCAGCTCCGTTCTGACGGAATCCCCCCAGGAAAAGCAGTACTCCCAGAGAGAGTTATGCCTTTGCCTCTGAGAACAGCAAAGCCCATTATCAACCCAGATATGGCTCATACTCCCTTCATAAGCCGAGAGGGAACCACACACTTTCCAGGAAACACCTGCTCTGGGCTGACTGTGTCCCCCCAAAAGATATGTTCAAATCCTCACCCTGGGACCTGTGGACAGTACCTTGTAGAAAGAGGGTCTCTGCAGATGAGATCAAGTTCAGCTGAGGTCAGGAGAGGGAACCTAATCCAAGATGACTGATGTCCTTGTAAGAAGAGGAGAGGCCAGGCGCGGTGGCTCACACCTGTAATCCCAGCACTTTGGGAGGCCGAGGCAGGCGGATCATGAGGTCAGGAGATCGAGACCATCCTGGCCAACATGGTGAAACCCCGTCTCTACTGAAAATACAAAAATTAGCTGAGCGTGGTGGTGGGCGCCTGTAATCCCAGCTACTCGGGAGGCTGAGGCAGGAGAATCACTTGAACCCGGGAGGCAGAGGTTACAGTGAGACGACATTGTGCCACTGCACTCTAGCCTGGTGACAGAGTAAGACTCCGTCTCAAAAAAAAAAAAAGAAGAGGAGAGATCACACAGGGAAGCCAGTGCAACTGCGGAGGCAGAGATCAGGGCGACATGGCCACAAGCCCAGGAATGTCCCAGAACGCTGGCACCACCAGGAGCTGGAAAGGCAGAGGACTCTCCCCAGGGTCTCAGAGGGCCCTGCCTACACCTCGACTTCAGACTCCTGGCCTCCAGAACCGTGAGAGAATAAGTCACTGTTGCTTTAAGCCACCCAGTTTGAGGCACCTGTTACAGCAGCCACGGGAAATTAGTGCAGCGTCTGAGATACTTTGTGATGACCCCTCATCCCCGTGGACAGGCAGCTATGACAGGGGAGAATCCCAGTCACTGAAGTTAACGGTCCATCGTGGAGGGCCACTGTCTCCAGACTCCATGGAAAAGCAAAACTCAGGGCACTAGAGTCCTGCCCACTGTAAAATCCTGCATTATTCCACCTGCACGTAATCGGAGCCCCAGCCCTTAGAAAGGGGGATTTCCACATGCTGAGGGGAGGAAAGCCACTTTTTCTTTCTTTCTTTCTTTTCTTTCTTTTGAGAAGAATCCTCACTCTGTCGCCCAGGCTGGAGTGCAGTGGCGCAGGCCCACTGCAACCTCCGCCTCCCAGGTTCAAGTGATTCTCCTGCCTCAGCCTCCCAAGTAGCTGGGATTACAGGCACCCACCACCACGCCCGGCTAATTTTTGTATTTTTAGTAGAGACGGGGTTTCACCATGTTGCCCAGGCTGGTCTCAAACTCCTGACCTCAAGTGATCTGCCCGCCTCAGCCTTCCAAAGTGCTGGGGTTACAGGCATAAGCCACCACACCTGGTCTCTTTTTTCCCATTTTTAAAAATTGTAGTAAAATATAAGTGACATAAAATGTGCCTTTTAATCCATTTTTAAGTGTACGATTCAGTGGCATTAAGAACATTCACAATGCTGTGCAACCATCACCACTATTTCCAGAACTTTTTCATCATTCCAAACGGAAACTCTGTCACCATGAAACTCCATCTCCGCTGGGTTCTGCTTTCTGGGTTCTGTATTGTCTCTATGGATTTATGTATTCTGGGTGTTTCATAGAAATGGAACAATACAATATGTGTCTGGGTTCTCTCCCTAAGCATGATGCTGTCAAGGTTCATCCATGTTGTAGCATGTGTGAGAACCTCGTTCCTTTTTATGGCTGAATAATATTCAATTGTGTGGCTGGACCACAGCTCATCCATTCAATCATCGATGGATGCATGAGTTATTTCCACTTTTTGGCTACCATGAAAGGAAAGCCACTTTGACAACTGTATTGCTTAACACTTCAGCATTCTCGAATCCCCAGAGGGTGTGTGTGGTTGAACGGTGAACAGGAAGGATGAACTTATTTCTTATCTCCAGAGAAAGCTCCGGCTTCGTGAATAAGCACAATATGCCTGGGGCAGGAAGAGGGCAAGCAGCTCGGGGAATTAGGACTGAGCGGTGAGGACAGATGGTAAGAAAAAATAAGATATGACGGCCGTGGCAGGCGGCCGGGGAGGGGCGGGGGGCAGTTAGGGCCTGGGGCTGCGTCAGGGATATTTAGATTCCGAATTCCAAGTGCCTGGAATGGTTTCTGAATAGAAGTTCCTTGGAAAGAGAGAGAGAGAAAAAAATCTTTGAGTTAAAGACTTGTGAAAAAATATAAAGTTCACTGTCAGAGCTAAGGACTCAGACATGTGCTGGGTGGAGGGAGAGAGAGAGAGGGATGAAGATCAGATTTTCAAGTGGGTTTCAGCCTATGTCTTCTGCATCTATCAAGGCTGAATTATTTGGGGCAAAGTGATTTTATCAATACAGAATGATCCATCTGACGCCTTTTCCTTCAAAGTCTCCGTCTTCTGAAAAGCTGAATGCTTCATTGGCTTTACTGATTGATGACGTATTCACTTATCTCCCTCAGTATCTGTCCGTCTTGTTTTCCCTTCTGCAGCGGCCAGACGCATTTTTTTGTCCCTCCCTGTATTTCGGTGTCACCTCATTTTAGGCATGTTCCTTCTATAAGGCACGTAGTTGGATGTTGGATTTTCCCATTTGTGCTAGAGTTCATCTTTGTGCCGTTTAATCCATTTTTATTTATTTTCCTAACTAATCCGCTAAGTGTTCCTTCTCTCATCTTGTTTTCTGTTGTGTTTTAGTTCTCTTTGCAATCTCCGCTATTTAGTACTCTCTATATGTGGAAACTATTTTCTTCCTTTTCCCTCTAAGGATGTCAAATGGTTTTTTGTCGAACACGAGGCTTTAAGTACGAAACATTCAAGCCTCTCTGTCATGATCAAGGTCAGGAATGAAATCGTATCTGTGTAAAGTGAGATCAATGACATTGAACTATCTCCCATTCCTCTGCTGCCTGTTCCGTGTGTGTGTGTGTGTGTGTGTGTGTGTGTGTGTGTGTGTGTGTGCGCGCGCAAGCTGTGAATTTCTAATACCGTTTTCATCTTTAAAACAGGACGAGATTTTCTTTCCATCACAATGTTTGGTGTATTGTTTTTGTTGGCAGTCATACTTTCTCCAGTTACAAAGACACTGTCGTGAATGTCATTCATTCATTCTGTGTTCATCGGTTTCTCTTTCCTCCTGCAACCTGGGCAGAGCCTTAGTCTTGCTCTCTGCTCTCACGCACTTGGTTTTCTTCTGCGTCCAAACATCACTTCATCTCATAGCATTAGTTTCCTTATGACTTCCTCATCCCTTACCCAGCGCGCTCTCTCTCTCTCTTTTTTTCTTGCTCCCTCCCCTTTCAACTCTCTCCTTCTCTCTCTCTCTTTTGGGTTTTTTTTTTTTTTTTTTGAGACAGAGTCTTGCTCTTGTCACACAGGCTGGAGTGCAATGGTGCGATCTCGGCTGACTGCAACCTCCGCCCTCGGGTTCAAGCGATTCTCCTGCCTCAACCTCCCGAGTAGCTGGGAATACAGGCGCCCGCCATCACGCCCAGCTAATTTTTTTTTATTTTTAGTAGAGACAGGGTTTCCCCATGTTGGCCAGGCTGGTCTTGAATGCCTGACCTCAAGTGATCTGCCCACCTCCGCCTCCCAAAGTGCTGGGATTACAGGCGTGAGCCACCGCGCCTGGCCCTTCTCTCTCTCTTTTTTTAATGTCACTTTAGCTTTTTCTCTTATCCTCTTATTCTTCATCTCTTCTCACACAGGCAGCTGTCTTGGGAGTGATGCTGGAGTTTGGATCATATTCCATGCGCCCGTGGCTCCAAATGCCCATCATTCCTCAGTACTGGGCAAAGGTTGTTCAGCCTCAGGTGAAGTGAGACAAAGAAGGACGTCAAGAGGTTTTGCTGGGTTTGATGGGTTTCATCTGGGACGGGTTACAATGCATTTTGTGTAATCATCTCTTTTCATTAAGTGGCAGGCATTGTAGATACAGTTCAGTCATTCTTTTTTATGGCATGTTTAGTTGGCAAAATAAAATGTTAGTAAAAGTTGGTGACTCTTTTTTTTGTCCTTTACATTAAAAAACAAACAAGCAAACAAACCAAAAAAAAAAAAAAAAAGCTATCCTTAAGTCCAGACTATTAAATTTGCAGCAGAGAGGAGGAATTGGTCCAAGGCAGGAGATAAGGAAGACATTGAGGATTCTGCAAAAAGAGTGTAGGCGAGGCTGGGCACAGAGGCTCACACCTGCAATCCCAGCACTCTGGGAGGCCGAGGTGAGTGGATCACCTGAGGTCAGGAGTTTGATACCAGCCTGGCCAACATGGCGAAACCTGGTCTCTACTAAACATACAAAAATTAGCTGGACATGGTGATGCATGCCTGTAATCCCAGCTACTCAGGAGGCTGAGGCAGGAGAATCTCTTGAACCCAGGAGGCAGAGGTTGCAGTGAGCTGAAATCTTGCCACTGCACTCCAGCCTGGGCAACAGAGTGAGACTCCCTCTCAAAAAAGAAAAAAAAAAGAAAAAAAAAAGAAAAGGAAAAGAAAAAAGAAAAAAGAGTGCAGGTGAGAGAATGAAGGGCTGGACCCAGAGAGGATGGGAACAGAAGAGAAAGAACAGATCCAAAGATAGTGATTCTGCCTTCAGAACAAGACTCGGTGACCTACTAAAGGAGGAATCTGGGAAGGAGGAAAAAGAAGAAAGCATAGCTACAGTTTTCCAGCCTGGGCCACAAGGGGACTGTGGTGTCAAGACCTAGACGCTTTTGGGGTGGGAAGACTCTGAGGTACATTTGGGACTCACAGGCTGTGAGGAGGCTGCAGGGGATGGGATCTGATCGCTGTGCTGGGAAACAGACCCGGTTCTCGGGGGAAGATCAGAGCGGCAGCAAAGGTGTGGAGTTGACATTCTGGGCGTGTTGTGACTGAGGCCACGAGATGAGAGCCTCCATGATTGAGGTCTCACTAGCTCATTCTCCCTGCAGGCTCCGGTGGAAGGTATCCTGCTTGAACAGGAGGGATTTCCTCTTACAGACTCACTCCAGTGGCCTCTCGTAAGGGACAAACATGTCCCACAGTCAGTGCCATTCACAGGTCCAACTTTCTAATCGTGTGCCTCTTGGACACTTGGAGGCTGTGGTCTATGCCAACAGGTTGAGCTAACTCCACCTTGAGCCCACTGACAATTAGATGAATGTTCCAGAAGGACTTACCCCTGACATTCCTGAGCTTGTGGATTAAGTATCTGGGATTTTCTCCCGCTAAGATCCTTGGACACTGAAGCAGCCCAAATAAATGTTCCACACAGTGGAGCATCATCAGCCACAAAGGGAATGAAGCCCTGATCCGTGCTATGATGATGAACCTTGGAAACATGATGCTGAGTGAGTGAAAGAAGCCAGACATAAAGGGCCATGTAGCATATGCACCATATGACTCTGTTTATATGAAATGTCCAGAACAGGTAAATCCTACAGACGAAGACAGATGGGTGGTTACCTGGGGAGGGGGATGGGAGATGAAGAGTGAGGATTGCTTGAGCCTGGGAGGACAGATAGGTGGTTACCTGGGGAGGGGGATGGGAGATGAAGAGTGAGGATTGCTGGAGCCTGAGAGGTCGAGACTGCAGTGAGTGGTGATCGTGCCACTGCACTCCAGCCTGGGCAACAGAGCAAGACCCTGTCTCAAAAAAACAAAGAAACAAAAAACAACCAGCGAGCAAGGCAGCCCACATCTGGGAAAAGCACTTTCCTGTCGGCGGGAACAGTAAGAGGTCCCGAGGGCAGGAAGGAGCTTGCTGTGTTCAGGATTTGCAGGGCAGCCCTTGTGGCTGGGGCAGTGGGACACCGGACATTCCTTTTTGCCAAGTCTGGGGTGTGGCCTGGGTGTCCCAATATAGCCAGGGCTGACACCCACAGCTTTAAAGGGTCTCCCCATTCCAGCCTCTTGTATGTTTTCCACAAACTTCATTCACACCAAGAAAAAGCCAAGATGAAACTGAATAAACACCCACTCCATCATGACTTAAGGTGGTGGGGAGCAGTTGTCCTTTTTTTTGTGCCACTGACCCCTTTGACAGTTTGATGAAGCCTGTGGACCCCTCTTCAGAATAATGTCTTTAAACGTGTAGCATAAAATACCTAGGTTTGCAGAAAGAAAACCCACTGAACTAAAACAGTTATCACAATATTAAACAGGTTTCTAATATCATAATGCCATGGGCTTTTTTTTAATTATTAAAAGAAATTTTTTTAGAGACAGGGTTTTGCTCTGTGGCCCAGGCTAGAGTGCAGTGGCACAATCATACCCACTGCAGCCTCGACCTCCTGGGCTCAAGTGATCCTCCCTCCTCAACCTCCCAAGTAGCTGGGACTATAAGTGCGCACTACCATGACCAGGTAATTTTTAAATTTTTTATAGAGACGGAATCTCTGTATGTTACCCAGGCAGGTCTCAGACTCCTGGCCTCAAGTGATCCTCCCACCTTGGCCTCCCAAAGTGCTAGGATTATAGGCATGAGCCACCACGCCTGGCCTCACACGGGCTTCTTTATACATGCATTCAAGAACACACTCTATTGTCAGGCCTGGAACTTTTGTAACTTTGAAGAAGCAAGAAGAGTAAATGATAGTTTGACGTAGTTGCAACAGCTGTAACATGACATGAAAATATCTCTGATTTTCTTTTAAATGAGGAATGAAGTCCCAGTTTCCGTTAATTATCATGGTTTGTTGCCTGCATTTGTAGTAGAAGGGAACGCATTAGAGCCTGGCGAAAATGAAGATAGAGGATTTTCCCCTCATCTGAGTTCTTAGCCCCCAGGTTTCGAGTCCCCATGCAAGGTATCCGGCCTTTCACCTTCCTGGGGTGCCTCCAAACTGCTGAAGTAGGGTCCCCTCCCTCCTCCTCCCTCCCTGACCAGCCCCTGCAGACCAGCTTCCAAGGACAGCTGCCAGCCTCAGTATCCCTCCTCTTTCAGCTCCAACAGCTGCCCCGCCCTTCTCTGGGGCTCTCTCTGCCAACACCTCGGCAACCGTCTCCCTAATTGCTTCCTCTCTTAGTCTAGGGAGTGGATGGTCTTTTCCTCTCGCCTGTAATTGCTTGCACACTTGAGCTTTTTCAGGCTGGAGTGGAAAATGAGCAAGCACCGGGCTCCATCTGCACCGCTCCCTTCTTTAAGTCTGACATGTGCGGACGCAGGAGGCTGATGGCAGCTTCTGTGGACTTTTCAGGTCAAAAATGGTTCCGAAAAGGCCTTCATTCCTTAGTGTGTGGCACCTGAGGTTGTAAAGGAGCAATGGCAACAGTGACAACAGTAATAACTCTGAGGCTGAGTGCTTTGCAAACCTTACTTCACTGAACCCTCACGACACCTGGAGGAGCTTGGTGCTGCTACCGTGCCCATGTCACAGGTGCAGCCACTGAGGGGCTGGAGGCTAAAGGACCTGCCCCAGGCCACATGGCTGATGAGGACGGAGCCCAGTGTCAGCACAGCTTTGCCTGCGGCTGCAGTTCAGGCTCCTGGCTCCCGTCCGAGTCTTTCTCATCTGCTCCCCGGGTGTCTTTGCTCCCTTGCAGCCTGCTTCCGGATCCCTGAGGCCACCAAGCCCATCAGGAGATGTGACAGGATTCAGCGTCCTGTCCCTCCCTCATAGGAAAGAGCAAATGTGGCAGTCCCCAATCTGGGCACCCCCCACGCCCACCTGAACTCACAGGAGGAGGACAAGAGGCCACGTGGAGGCCAGTCCCATCCACAGCCACAGCCCAAGCCCAGACCCCATGAAATCTGGGCTACCGCGTGGCCCTGTTAGGTCCACAACCTTCCTGGATTCTGGACTCATCTTGGGGTCCATCCAGAGCCAGACTTGGCTGAGAAGCTCCCAGGGGCCAACGTGGAAGACAAGGGTCCTCGTTGTTTCAGCCCCCATTGCTTGCTCCCCGTCTTCCAAGGTGAGGCGCAAATGTTATCATCCCAAGAACACGTTCACCAATGTACTGTCCTCTTGTCAAACGAGGCCCCACTTGACCATTCTGTTATTTGTTTTTTCAATTGGGATGAAATTCACATAACAAAATTGGCCATTTAAAGGTGAACAATTCAGTGGCATTTACAATGTTGTGCAACCGCCACCTCTGTCTAGGTTCAGAACATTTTCCACCCCAAAGAAAACCCCGTAGCTGCCAGCAGCCACTCCCCTTTCCCTCTTCCCCCAGCCCCTGCAACCACATCTGCTCTCCACGAATTTGCCTATTCTGGACATTTTGTATACATGGAATCAGGCAATACAGGGTCCTTTGCATTGGACTTCTTCCACTTAGCACGATGTTTCTGACGTCCATCCACCGTGTAGCAGGCATCAATCCTTCACTCCTTTTCTTTTTAGAGACAGTCTCGCTCTGTCACCCAGGCTAGAGTGCAGTGGTGTGATCATAGCTCACTGCAGCCTTGAACTCCTAGGTTCAGGTGATCCTCCTGCCTCAGCCTCCTAAGTAGCTAGGACTACAGGTACATGCCACCATGCCTGGCGTATTTGTTTATTTTTATTTTTATTTTGTAGAGATCATGTCTCAATATGTTGCCCAGGCTGGTCTCAAACTCCTGGCCTTAAGCGATCCACCCCCCTCGGCCTCCCAAAGTGCTGGGATCACAGGCATGTGCCACCACACCCAGCCTCATTCCTTTTTCATTGCAGAATAATACTCCACTAAAGAGACAGACCACAATTTGCGTTTCCATTCTTCAGCAGATGGACTGTATTCACCTTCAGGCTGCTGTGAATGGTGCTGCTTGGATGTGTTTTTGCTTGTTTGAGTCCTTCATTTTCAATTCTCTTGGGCATAAACCTAGCAGTGGAAACGCTGGGCCCAGTGGTAACTCAACGTCATCCTGTTATTCATTGTCCACTCATCTTATGGTCACTTTCTTACCCATGTCTCCAAAAGCCAACCAAGCAACGCAGAAACCTTGTAAAAAAGGCTGCATAAGGGAACAACAAATCTGGGCAAAAATGTCGATTTCAAGAAGTTGGTGAAAGCAGTGTTGGAAAATGGCCTGATTTCCACTGGAAGCCACCGGCAAAGGTGGGTCAATGAGGGAGAATGGTTGACAATTGAGGAGAAAATTGATAAGGTGCTGCTGCTGCGGTGGCCTCAGGAGCCCACCAGGGGATACGTGTCGTCCTGGGCCACTTCCTCAGAAGGGAACTGCTTTAAGGCCTGGCCATGGGAGTTGCCAAAAGAAAGGACATTCTCTTACGGTACTTCATAATTTTGCCAGAAAAATGACACCTCCCAAAACCTTGTTGAGTTATTCTTTTGTGAATTTTAAGGCTTAGTACATTATTGCAATTGTCATCTGATAAATGTTTATAACCTTGTTTCATTTTTCAACATAAAATCTCAGGCAAAACCTTCCTCCCCAACTGTTCTCCATTAAACTTGGCCCCTAGTTTAGGTGAATTCATCTGAAGAAACTTTTTTTTTTTGAGACGGAGTTTCACTCTTGTTGCCCAGGCTGGAGTGCAGTGGCGTGACCTCGGCTCACTGCAACCTCTGCCTCCCAGGTTCAAGCGATCCTCCCATCTCAGCCTCCCAAGTAGCTGGGACTACAAGCGAATGCCACCACATCTGGCTAATTTTTGTATTTTTTGTAGAGATGGGGTTTCACCATGTTGCCCAAGCTGGTCTCTAACTCCTGAGTTCAAGCGATCCACCTGCCTCACCCTCCCAAAGTGCTAGGATTACAGGTGTGAATCGCCGTGCCCAGCCTGAAACAACTTTTTAATTTACAGCAATTTTCTTTAGCTAATATGAACCTGCTGCTATAAAAAGCTAAATTTTCTGAGCACTTTTTATGTGTCAGGCACTATTCCAAGTGCTTTATACCTGTCACTCATTTAAACCTCAGAGCAGTCCTATGATATAGGTACTATTTATTTTATTTTATTTTATTTTTGGTAGAAATAGGATCTTACTATATTGCCCAGGCCAGTCTCAAACTCCTGGGCTCAAGCAATCCTCCTGCCTCAGCCTCCTGAGTAGCTAGGGCTATAGGTGCGTGCCACCATGCCTGGCATATTTGTTTCTGTTTTATTTTTTTGGTAGAGACAGTGTCTCACCATGTTGCCCAGGCTGGTCTCAAATCCTGGTCTCAAGTGATCCTCCCGCCTCAGCCTCCCAAAGTGCTGGGATTACAGGCGTGAGCCACGATACCTGGCCCTAGGACGTAGGTACAATTTTTACACCCATTTTACGGATAAGGAGACAAAGGCACAAAATGATCACACAGTTTGAAAGTAGCAGGGCTGGGATTCCAACCTAAGCAGCCTCTGTTCTTAACCACTAGACCCTCTGCACATAGTAACTTCTCAGCAAACGGTACCATGTCTCTATTATTGTATATTTCATGTTTGTTACTGTGTATTTATGTTTCACGTGTTGCTGTGGATCCCACCACCGCCTCCCTGCAGCTATTCTGTGAGTTCCTCACAAACAGGGTTGCCAGAGAATGCAGGACACTCAATTAACTTTGAATTTCAGATAAACAATAAATACTTTTTTTTTTTTTGAGATGGAGTTTCGCTCTTGTTGCCCAGGCTGGAGTGCAGTGGCGTGACCTCGGCTCACTGCAACCTCTGCCTCCTGGGTTCAAGCGATTCCCCTGCCTCACTCAGCCTCCAGAGTAGCTGGAATTACAGGCACCCACCACCATACCTGTCTAATTTTTTGTATTTTTAGTAGAGACGGGGTTTCACCACAATTGGCCAGGCTAGTCTCGAACTCCTGACCTCAGGTGATCCACCCGCCTCGGCCTCCCAAAGTGCTGGGATTACAGGCGTGAGCCACCGGCCTCAACGAATACATTTTATTATGCGTATGTCTCTACTGATGGGGAAGTGGGATTTTTTTTCCAGGGTGGAGCCGTTACGAGTAAAGGCATAAGCCTTTGTGTGATGAGCTTTCATTTCTTTTGGGGAAATACCCAGCAGTGGGATTGCTGGGTTACATCACTTTGCACCCCAAACAGCAACAAGTAAATGTTCCGTTGCGGCTGCTCCCATCCTTGGTGACATTTCATATTGTGGGTCTTTTTAACTTTGTTCTCCTGTCTACCAGGAACAATGTGGAGGAAGAAACAGAGGACAAAAACGGGCTGCTAAGTTAGGGAAAATAAAAACACGCTGCATTCATAAGTCCACTCCAGGGGTGAAGGGTTTGCGGAAAGAAACAGCTAGAAGTCGGTTTTATGTTGTTCAGGGAATTCGATTCCCCTGGCAGGTAAACTCTGGAATGGGCCTTGAGCGAGATGCACTGAGCATCTGCCTGGTGCTGCCCCGCCTTTTACAGAAAGAGGATGCAGAGAAAAATGGTGCCCACTCCTTCAGCAGGCCAGAGACTGCGGTGTGGGCTGCTTGCTACCTGCCCATCCTGCGGCCAGCCACACCCTCCCCAGTTGTAGGGTCCGCTCTGTTCCCTTCCAACAATGATAAAGCGGGTGTTTCTGGAGCACTCAGAGTAGCCAGGTGCTTGGCTGAGGGCTTGCTCTGGGAGTTCCCCTTCATCCTTGTTCATTTCATGAGACAGCTACTATCATTTCCCCCGACCCCGTGCAGATTCGGGAATGGAGGCTTGTCGTGTTCAGGGAATATGCAAATTTACCCTTGGCCAAGGTTATCCTCCGGGCCGAACCTCGCACCTAAGCAGTCTGTCTCCTCTCTTTGTCATTTCTATATTCTGCACTGTCAGTCTCCCCTTTTCTTTCTCAGGGATCCCTGCCTCTTGTACGTCCTAGGGGCACAGAGCTTAGGCTGATGTGAACGTCCTGTCATGATCAAGCACTTGCCTGTGTTTCTCTCAGCCACCTGAGAAGACAACCCAGGTTCTCGGGTTCTGTGCCTGTGCCAGTGAGGCCTTAGAGGGTGGAGAACTCCAGGATCACACACCTGGCAGACAGATCACCAAATTGGATTTCTGGTAGGACAGGCCGGCACTCAGGTGTTCCCTAATGAGACGAAGCAGTTTCACAGGGGAACCGTGGCATTCCTGGACGTCACCCTCGCTGGCACAAGAAAGCCAGGTAAAGGTGAGACGGGCTTCCTGCCTCGGTCTGCCGTCGGCTGCGGGGTGCCTGCATCCTCCACTGACCCTCTCAGCTTTCTTCATGCACATTAGTGGGGCCTGATTTCCTGTTTTTGGAAACCTTCCAGAACCCTCCTAAGCTGGGCCATTAAGTAACAAGACACACACCACCTTAATTTGCTCTCCAACGACACTCAATTACATACACACATTCTTTTTTCCCCTCCCTCAGGTGTCTTAGCTGCTAAGGCAATAATTTATTCCACAGTAGCCTAGTTTTGTTGTTTTTAAAGGCCAGCCCACTATGGGGTATTTATTCACTGGTTCACCATGAAACTTTTAAAAAGAGAACTGGAAAGCATTTGTGGGAGGGAAAAAGGCTGGGGGCAGAGTAAATCGTTGAGTTCCCTGCCCCACGCCCCCATCCCACCCCCTCCTTCATTCCCTAGGCCATTAAATATATAAAAGCACTAAAGACTGCGTGTTTCGGGGCAGTCTTTCTCAGTTATGGGCCCAGGGCCAAGGGGTATGCTACACATTTTCCCATATAAATTAATACGTTATAATGGGCAACATGAGACGGGCGTGGGGTCACAGTGGCTGAGCGCTCTGGTTCCTCTATACGGCGTCTGTAATTTAAAATTTTACAAAGGGTTTGAGCAAATTCTCAGTTCACAAGGGCTGGAATGTGGCAGGAGCTACTCAAACCGCAGGCAAAACGGCATATTGGCAGCTGGAATATTGAGAAAGAAAAGTTGGCACCAGTTTTGCAATCTTGTGATCTTTCATTAGAGTTTTTTTAAAAATAAGAACTTTAGATGATCAAAAAGATTTAGGGAGTAATACAGCAAAGAGCCACACACTCTCCACTAGGTTAAGAAAGAAAAGGTCACCAGACAAAACAATAGAAGCCCCAGTCCCCCTCCAAAAGTTACAGTTACCCCGAATTTGCTGTTAATTATTCACGTGCATTTTTTGAAACGTGTTTACATAGGCATGAAAATCTCCCCAAACACCACGTATTATATGTTTTCAGCTGTATCTTACTGTATCTACTCTTGTACAGCTTGCTTCTTTCACTCAATATTACAATTTATTTTCTTTTTTTCTTTTTTTTTTTGAGTTGGAGTCTTGCTATGTCTCCCAGGCTGGAGTGCAGTGGCACAATCTTGGCTCACTGCAACCTCTGCCTCTCGGGTTCAAGCAATTCTCCTGCCTCAGCCTCCAGAGTAGCTAGGATTATAGGCGCCCACCACCACACCCTGCTAATTTTTGCATTTTTAATAGAGAGGGGGTTTCACCATGTTGGCCAGGCTGGTCTCCAACTCCTGACCTCAGGTGATCCACCCACTTCAGCCTCCCAAAGTGCTGGGATTACAGGTGTGAGCCACCACACCCGGCCTTAATATTACAATTTCTAACTTCATTCACGCTGACACACACCGCAGTAGTCCATCCACTTTCACTACGGTGTAATGTCCCCTTGTATGAATATTTATTTGTCTATACTCCTGTTGATGGCTACTTAGGTTGTTTCCTGTTTCCATCATGAACAATGCTGCAGGAATACTCTTGTCCACGTCTCCTTGTTTCTCAAGGGTTGTATTTTTCAAAATGAGAGTTGTAGCCATTAATAAGTATTGAAATCAATTTGGTGAGCCATGCCCAGCATTAAAAATAATAGGAAAAAACAGTATTAGAAATGCATCACACATAGTAAGTAATATGTCATGGCACTTTTGCTTCAGAGGTGTGGTGTCTGCATGCATAGGTGCCGGCAGGATTGGGATATAGATGTTCTTCCTGTGGGTCATGATCTGAAGAGTTTGAGAGACATGGCTCTGGGGGATATATTTAGGAGAGAGACTGCAGGCTTACAGAGTGTGCACAGCCTAAGCTTTGCTGGATGCTGCCAAAATGCTTTTCAAATGGTTATACCATTTACACTCAACTTTCATTAAATTTTTGTAGCTCCTTCTTAGGGCTTTAAAGCACAAAGCTTGCTAATGAGAGCTAAGACCTATCTTATTGCCCTGTGGAAGGCTAGACATGAAAATCACAGCATATTAGACAGCTTCAGAGAGCACAGAGATCAATCTCTGCAGCCATTAACGAACCACATTTCCTTGACATTAAAGCTCCCCAGGATAAGCAGATCTGTATCCCGAGAGGGAGTTCCTCTTCTGGGCATGCTGTCTCTCAGGAGGAAGGCAGCAAGTCAGGGAAACAGGATGACAATGACCTTTGCTCTCCCTGTCACCAGCCCCTTTTTATCTCCACATATCTAAAAACTCCAAGAGAGACAGTCTGAAGGTTCAGCCCAAGCAACTCAATCCTCTGTTTAACAACAAGACAACAAAACTCTTTGCAGAAATATAACAGAGTCCAA
Source organism: Homo sapiens (assembly GCF_000001405.40). NCBI lineage: Eukaryota > Metazoa > Chordata > Mammalia > Primates > Hominidae > Homo > Homo sapiens. The sequence continues at coordinate 124,247,392 of NC_000012.12, read as the reverse complement.
AGTCTTCACAAATAACTTTCATAAGACCCAAGATGCAATCCAAAATTATTTGACATACAACCAGGTACATGGGGCCCATGTTCTTTTCTTTTCAAGAAAAAAGTCTTTTCTTTTCTTTTCAAGAGAAAAGACAATTTGTGTAGACCAACCTTGAAATGATCCAGACTTTGGAATTATCAGATGAGGATTTTAAAGCAGCTATTATTATTGCATTCAGTATTATAAAGGAAAATATACTCACAATGAATAAACAGATGGGAAATCTCAGCAGAGAAACAGAAACTATAAAAAAGAGTCAAATAGAAATTCTGGAACTGAAACATACAATCTAAGAAACAAAACTATGGATGTCAGCCTGTTCTCTTAACCGCAAGCAAGTAAATCAAGTTCCCTGTTAGATTAGCTTTACCCTAGCCTTTACAGAATGACTTGTCCTCTAGGGAACATAGGTCTAAGTATTTTGCACAAACTATTTTCCTCTGCTGCAATTCCTCCTTTTATAACCCATTTTTATCCTGGGGGAACTCTAACACAGTTTCATTTCCCCTTCCTGAAGCTTCCCTAGCAGCTTTACTCTTCTCTTAGGCAGAGCACTTGCTCCCTTCCCCGTTTCTGTAACAGACATCTATTGTTTCTGCCCGCTCAATATTTATTCCCATATTTTCCTTTTAGGGGGAATCACTGCTCTTCTTTTTGTTTTGTTTTTTTTTTTTTTTTTTTTGAGATGGAGTCTTGCTCTGTCACCCAGGCTGGAGTGCAGTGGCGCAATCTTGGCTCACTGCCAGCTCCGCCTCCCAGGTTCATGCCATTTTCCTGCTTCAGCCTCCTTAGTAGCTGGGACTACAGGTGCCCACCACCACACCCGGCTAATTTTTCGTATTTTTAGTAGAGACGGGGTTTCACCATGTTAGTCAGGATGGTCTCGATCTCCTGACCTTGTGATCTGCCCGCCTCAGTCTCCCAAAGGGCTGGGATTCCAGGCGTGAGCCACCGCACCTGACCGAATCACTGCTTTTCTATATTCAATCCATCTGACTTGAGAGGGGCTGATTCTTCCCTCCTGGCATCATGAATGGGTCCGTGAACCAAACCTGGCCATTCAGTACATTTCCAACCCATGGCCATATAACTGGGTCACTAAATAGGGGCATGGGTCACTAAACAGGGGCATGACCAAAGCCAAGCCAATGTGAGCACTCCATAAGACTTTGGTTGGTATTTTGGGCAAAAGATTCTACTGCTGGTTTTCTAAATGAGTACAATATAAGCCAGAAGCAGCTGGTAGCCACCTTATCACCTAAGAAGGACACCAAAGTCAGGCAAAGCAGAACTAAGGGGTGGAGAGGGGTCAATTCCTGATAACAGTGTTTGAGCACCCACGTCCAGCCACGCCCGAAGCCATCTGCCCTTGGATTTTTCAGTTAAGTGAGTCAGTAAATGTCATTTTCTGTCTCAGTAGGTTTGAGCTGGATTTCTATCACATATTGCTGAAAAGTCCCCATCTCATCTAATTCTCCCAGGCCTAATCACATTCTAGTGAAGAACAGGATGGTAAAGTCCTAAGGGTGGGGACTATTCTGATCAACATTTGCATTGCCGCACCCAGAACACAGCAAGACAGGCAGGAGGAGGTTCTTGATTGCGTTTGCCAAATGAATGAGCAAATTCAATGCATCTTGGAAAACTCAACTTTTTCATTTTCTTATGGTCTGGATATAATGCATTATTTGCACTACTTTATTCAGGTCTCATGAGGTGTCATTGTCCCTGTTTTGCGGCTGGTGACACTGAAGCTACTGGCTGTTTAGTGACTCACCTGAAGTCTTGGAGCTAGTAAATTACAGAGCTGAGATGGTGAGGCTGCGGGAGCTTATCCAGACAACCACTTTCTTGGCTATCAAGACCACTGCTGCCGGGCGCAGTGGCTCACGCCTGTAATCCCAGCACTTTGGGAGGCCGAGGAAGTCGGATCACGAGGTCAGGAGATCAAGACCATCCTGGCTAACACGGTGAAACCCTGTCTCTACTAAAAATACAAAAAATTAGCCAGGCGTAGTGGCAGGTGCCTGTAGTCCCAGCTACTCGGGAGGCTGAGGCAGGAGAATGGCGTGAACCTGGGAGGCGGAGCTTGCAGTGAGCCGAGATCACGCCACTGCACTCCAGCCTGGGCGACAGAGCGAGACTGTCTCAAAAAAAACAAAAAAAAAAGACCACTGCCTCACACCCCACTTGATTGGGGTGAGGAAGGGTGGTGGTGTTATTTTTTTTTAAGTGTTGAAGGAACAAAAACAAAAATTCACAAGTAGGGACCTAATTAAACTAAAGAGCTTCTGCACAGCAAAACAAACTATCAACAGAGTGAACAGACAACCTACAGAATGGGAGAAAATATTCACAAACTATGCATCCAATAAAGGTCTAATATCTAGAATACAAGGAACTTAAACAATTCAACAAACAAGAAACAACCCCATCAAAAATGGGCAAAAGGGCTGGGTGTGGCGGCTCATGCCTGTCATCCCAGCACTTTGGGAGGCCAAGGCGGGTGGATTACCTGAGGTCAGGAGTTCGAGACCAGCCTGGCAAACATGGTGAAATCCCATCTCTACTAAAAATACAAAAATTAGCCGGGCGTGGTGGTGCACACCTGTAATCCCAGCTACTCAGGAAGCTGAGGCAGGAGAATCACTTGAACCCAGGAGGCGGAGGTTGCAGTGAGCTGAGATTGCACCATTGCACTCCAGCCTGGGTGACAAGAGTAAAACTGTCTCAAAAAAAAAAAACAAAAAACAAAAAACAAATGAGCAAAAGTCATGAACAGACACTACTCAAAAGAAGACATACATGCAGCCAACAAATATAGGAAAAAATGCTCAACATCACTAATCACTAAAGAAATGCAAATCAAAACCAAAATGAGATATCATCTCACACCAGTCAGAACGGTTATTATCAAAAAGTCAAAAAACAACAGTTGCTGGCAAGGCTGCAGAGAAAAGGGAGCACTTACACACTATTGGTGGGAACATAAATTAGTTCAGCCACTACGGAAAGCAGTGTGGAGATTCTTGAGGAACTTAGATCTACCATTCGATCCAGTGATTCTGCTATGGAGTATATACCCAAAGGAAAATAAATTGTTCTACCAATTCATCCCAGCACTATTCACTACAGCAAAGAACATGAATCAACCTAGATACCCATCATTGGTGGACTAGATAAAGATGTGGTACATACACACCATGGAATACTACGCAGCCATAAAAAAGAACAAGATCATGTTCTTTGCAGCAACATGGAGGCAGCTGGAGGCCATTATCCTAAGTGAACTAACACAGGAACAGAAAACCATGTTGGGTGTTTTCACTTATAAGTGAGAGCTAAACGGCGAGTGCACATGGACACAAAGATGGGAACAATAGACACTGGGGTTACTAGACAGAGGAGGGTGGCAGGGGGATGTGGGTTGAAAAACTACCCTTCGGGCACTATGCTTACTACCTGGGTGACGGGATCATTTGCACCCTAAACCTCAGCGACATGCAATTTACTCACGTAACAAACCTGCACATGTACCCGCTGGACCTAAAATAAAAGCTGAGAGTGAAAAAGGTGACGAAGGAAACAATAAGGAGAATGTGAGTGAAACACCCAGTTTGGAGGAGAGTAAAGAAAGACTTATTCCTTGGAAAGAGGAATGCAGGCATGCGTGGTAAGGAAACGCGGGTTCATTTGTTTATTAGTTTACATCTCCCTGACAAAATTACAAACAAACAAAATAGGAAAGCGAGTCTTAGAAGAATATATAAAATGCATCCCAAAGAACCAAAAAGGAGTGCGTTTTTAACCACTCGTCATTGGAAATCGACAGCATCATAACTCCTGTGTTAGTCTCCCAGGACCACCGTAACAAAGTACCATACACGGAGCAGCTTAAGCAACAGAAATTTATTATCTCACAGCTCTGGAGGCTCCACATCTGAGATCCACGTGTCAGCGGGGCCATGCTCCCTCACAGGGTGCCAGGGAAGGGTCTGTTCCACACCTCTCTCCAGCTCCTGGTACTTCCTCGGCTGGTGACAGCAGAATTCAGTCTTCCCTCAGGGTCTCCCTGTGTGTGCGCCTCTGTTCCACTTTCTCCCTTTTATAATGAAACTGATCATACCAGACTAGGGGCCCCGCTACTCCAGTATGATCTTAACTAATGACATCTGCAACAACCTCGTTTCCAACCGAGGTCACATTCCGAGGCGCTGGGGATTAGCACTTTGAGGTATGAATGGGCAGGAGTGCAATTCAATCCATAACCCTCCTCTTCACTATGGAATGATATAGCATCAACTTTAAAAAATGATTCCAACTTATCCTTGTTGGGTACCAGTGGGTGATAGAAATCGAGATGAATTTATTGCTGGTAATTTTTGTAGACTCAGTGCCCAGTTCCCAAGTTCCTATTCTCTGTACTATTGCCCTATGTGTGTGCAAACATACTCACACATGCACGTGCACCCACATGCACGTGCACCCACATGCACGCGCACCCATGTGCACGTGCACCCACATGCATAAATGCACAAGTGCACACAGGTGCATGCACATTCAGGCCCATGCAAAGGTGAAATTTCCACCGAGCTACATATAGGGTTAAATCAAGGGGAAGAAAGCAGAACTTGGAAAAACCGACTGTGGGTGTTAAGCAATCCCCCAGCTGTTTGAAAAAGAGTCTGAGGATTTCAGGGAGCCCAGAGTTGGGCCAGCTCCCCAGCCCTCTGGGCAGCCCCCAGGCTCTGCACCCTGCCCTTCCACTTTGCTCCAAGTCTCTCAAGAGCCCAGTGTGGTTGGCGGATGTCTGGGGCAAAGACACAGATGTCATTATTTTGAGCCCCTCCTCAACCCTGCTGCCCCCTGAATGGCCAGACCATAGGTCAAAACCAGGGGTGCAGCTGATGGACCACAGCAGCAAAGATGCTCCATTTCCCTCAAAAAAACACCCCATTGTTTCTGCAGAGCAGCAAAGCCAACCAGGGACTCACCAGGTCCTGGCTGGGGAAGAGAGATCTCAGCTGTTACAGGCGTTGAAGTCAGGAAACAGGACCCCAGGTAAGCTTTGAAGAGATGGGCGGATAGTTCTAGACTTTTTCAAAATTTTGCTTCAGCAGAGAACATTCCTTTTTAACTCATGCGTTTCTAGTTGGTGAAGTAGGCTGGAGCTTTTGCCAAACATAAACTCCAACGCTTCAAGGTGTAAACTTCTAGAGACGAGGGATTCCGGGATTTTTCTTTTGTTGTCTGCAATGTTCTTGTAATTTGCATTTGTCTTTGTTTTGACCAGGCAGAGGAAAATAATGTATGCTCACAGTACCCCTTACGGCGGATCGAGTCGCGGCTCCCTGCCGTCCGTCCCTGCTGCTCTCACCGAAGTGCCTGTAGCGTAGCCTCACCTGCCAGGACTGTCGGCCTTGCTGCAGTGCACAAACAGAGCGTTTTTTTATGGAAATGGGGCACCTTTGCCACTCTGGTCCATCAAGGGCACCTGTGGGCTTCAGTCACATGCTCACCCCTTCTGGTGACTTGGCAGTGCCCACTATGAGAGTGGACAGTGTTTTTTTCCCTTCCCCATTGAAGGGCTCAGCCCAAGGCTTGCCTTAGCTAATGGGATGAGAATGGAGCGAGAGCCACTTCCGATGGCCTTCGTCCCCCTGTCTTCTGACATTCCTGAGGCCATCACTGTCCATTTGGCCTGAGCCTCAGTGGACTTCGGCCCCTCAATGGACATCAGGCCCACAGTGTGCATGACTTCAGGTGGCTCCAGCTGTCAGCCACCAAGTCACTCTGGCTGAGGCCAAGTGGAGCAGAGATGAGGCTGTCCCCACCTAGCCCTACCAAAACAAACGTCAGCAAATAAACATTGCCCTTGTGAAGTGAGGGGATCACTTGTTACAGAGCCCTGGGGACTGCGGCAGCCTGGCTTCTCTCTGGGCTTCCATGATGCTCACTGTCCTTGGTTATCTCCTACCTCACGGACTCGTCCTCCTTCATCTCTTCGGTGGGATCCTCCAGCCCTGAGTACCCCTCAAATGTGCTGGACCCCAAGTCTAACGTCACTTCTTTTTCTACCTCACCTGCCTCTTCTTTTGGGATTTCATTGCTCTCTTGGCTCAAAGTACCATCTATGTACACATTCGGTGCAGACTTCTCACCCAAGCTTCCTAGACATCTCCACTGGAGCTCACAGTTCCCCTGAGTCTGAGCATTAACTCATTGCCTTCCTTCTAAGCCCTTTCTTCCTTCTAAATTCTCAGTCCACCTGTCCTGTGCTAGATGTGCCTTCCTCTCTGTCACATCCTGCATGGAATTGATTGTCAAGTGATAATTACGGTATTGCCCTAAAATTGCTTGAATCTGTTCCACCCACTGATTTAGGCTCCTATCATCTCTCAACAGCAGCTGCTGTAGTCCTCACTGCTCCAATAACAATCTCAAAACTAAAGTGGCTTAACACAGGGAAAATGTGTTTCCCATTCATGCTGACATAGGATGGTCTTCCATATGGTGGTTCAGGGGCCCAGGCTTCTTCCATGTTGTGTCTCCATCCCAGCATCCTTCACTGGATCCTCTGTGTCCAGCTGGGAGACAGAGAAGAGCTTGGAGTTTCTCTCAGGAGCTTTTAGGGCCCAGACCTGGAAGTGGCCATATCACTCTGGCTAATGATCCATTGGCTGGAACTAATCACATGACCCTGCCTAGAGGCAAGGGGTGCTGGGAAATGTAGTCTGTTGGGGGGAGTGGGGAGGAGCCCAGGAAGGAGAGGAACAGGGGATTTAGAGGCCACTGGCAGTCTCCGTTAACCAACTTCCCTGCTCCACAGAGTGACTCATGTTCAATGCCAGGATGGACAGGACACCCTTCTGCTTAGAATCCTGAAGTGGCTCCCTTATCACTTGCCATGCACTGACCCAGGTCCTTAAAATGGCATCCAAGTCCCTTTCTACTCATTTCCTGCCACTTCTTGTCTCTGTTTTATGGGCCAGCAATACCCATACCGCCCAACAAACCTTTGTGTGTGTGCCTTTCATCCTCTCTTCCCCCACACTTACTATGGCTACACTCCGACCTGCCCTAGGGACTCAGCCCTGCTCCTGATGGTCTCTACTACGTGACTAACCCTCACTCCTGGTGCCCCCAGCTCAATCACTGTACCTTGGGTCTTGTCTTAGGTGCTGATCATGATTCTGTCCCTCTCTCCACACTGAGAGCTCCTGCAAGGCAAGAATGATGTTTATTTCTCCCATGTTTCCTTGTTGAGCGCTCAGCACATAAAAAATACTTTTAAAATGTTGATGGACTGAATGGATGGGTGAGCTGCTTTGTCTCTTGCAGAAGGAAAGTTGTGCCAGCCTGTCCAATCAGGGTGCCTGCTGGACCCAGGCTCCCTGGCTAGGGCCATGGCGGCATAGCTCCTGCCGAGGGCAAGATCTGACAACATGCTCATGAGAAGGGATTAGCAGTCCAGGAGATTCTGTCGCCATAATCTGATTCTCAGGATTTCAGATAAGGAATACAGAGAGAGTTGGCTCATCATAACTGAAGCGGAAACCTGGACACGGAGAAGGCAGAGAGTGCTGGGACCATCAGGCGCGGGGCTGTGAGAAGCTTTGTGTGAACATTATGAGTACAAGAAACAGTGGGGAAAAGAAAAAGTCATCAGAGAAGGGGGTGAGGTGGGTGAAGCTGTACAAGGATGGAGTGGCAGAGGCCAGGACAGAGAGTGGCCAGCCCCCCATGCTGGCATGGGACAGATGACCCAGCGTTGCTGAGATCACAAGACACTGATTGCTAGAGCCTGCATTGGTTGTCAGCATCTCCCAGGTCCCCAACTCCCGCACAGGCCCGGGATGCCTGGAGTCCCCTGTTCCCGGGTCCTGTGAGAGTCATCTCACTTTGATTTTCCAACGCAACATTTGGTAGGACAGTTGTTGGTTGGGAAACTTCTTTCACTTCTAGATGGCTCATGGATCTGGGTCTGGAGATGCTGGGATCTGCTGACGGGCCCTGAAATCTTTCTTCCTCCTTCCCTTTCAGAAACAACTCTCAAGAAACCAACTTGCTTGGCTCAGTCTCCCCGAAATCCTGTGGCCTGCAGCCTTTGGAACTGGGTTTATTTATTCATTTGAATTGGATCCTGGCATTTCTTTGTGTTTGTTCTCTCCATAAAGACCTTTTTATTTGGGTCCTGGAGAGCTGTTTACTGCTTAGCTCATGTGACATGAAGATTGTGAGGACCTGGAGGCCTTAACTCCTGTTACTCCCCAGCGAACTCTGCCCTCCAGGGAAACAGGTGGGGCTCCATCCAGATAAGAACAGCCTTTCCAAACAGGAACGACCTCACTCCCCAAACGCAAAGAGCTTAGAGATTAAAAATGCAGGCAACCTCCTACCCACTCATCCCAGGAAGGTGCAGAGTCCTAGGGACCCACTGGGAGAGGGCTGGATTGCTGTAATTAAAAGTACTTTTAAATGAGCATTTTGAAGTTTTCTTGTTCTTGGTTTAAAAAAATTAAAAAGCTAAGAAGGCTGAAACTGGGTAAAGGGGCTTTAGGCGTGGTGAGATGAAGATCCCGGTGAATTTTGGAGAGTGCTGTCAGTCCCGGGCTGTGGGCAGAGGCTGGCTTGACCAGGGGTCCTGAAAGGAGTGGACGGGTCAAAAGCAGACAAAGGAAACGTGGGTCACTCGCATGAGTTGCAAAGGGAAGGAGAGAAATCGAACAGTCCGTCATCAGACAAGTCCAAGGAAAGAGATGTTTTACTTCAAGAACTGGGAAGAACCAAGCATCTTTGAAGATGGAAGGGTTTTGTAGGGAAAGAGGGGAAGATGTTTTGGAGGAGGGTTGAGAAAGCAAGCAAAACTTGGAGGTAAATGAAAAAGGGTCAGACTCAAGAGCGGATGGAAGGGTGGGAGTAGAGATGAAAAATAATATTTGATTTATTGACTGAAGGGTTTTGATGCCGTGGGCAGGGCAGCGAGCGTTTTGCAGGTAATACTCCTCATAGCATCCCCCTGACATAGACAATACTATAGTACCCATTTTCCAGGCTCTCTCACCTGTTACAGGCATTCTCCTCTCCTCGAGGAGAACGAGGCTTACAGAGGTGGGACCTGTCTGTGGCCACACTGGGCAGATGCAGAATAGGATCTCATGAGGTGTCCATCAGAGGAGAACAGCTCATCCTCTGAGGGTGGAGGAAGGATGTCCTGGAGTGGCAATGTCCAATAGAAATAGAATTTGAGGCCAGGCACGGTGGCTCACGCCTGTAATCCCAGCCCTTTGGGAGGCCGAGCCAGGCAGATCCCCTGAGGTCAGGAGTTCGAGATCAGCCTGGCCAACATGGTGAAACCCTGTCTCTGCTAAAAATTAGCTGGGCGTGATAGCACACGCATGTAGTCCCAGCTACTCGGGAGCCTGAGGCAGGAGAATCGCTTGAACCCAGGGGCCGGAGGTTGCAGTGAGCTGAGGTTGCACCACTGCACTCCAGCCTGGGCGGCAGATCGAGACTCCATCTCAAAAAAAAAAAAAGGCCAGGCCCAGTGGCTCACACCTGTGATCCCAGCACTTTGGGAGGCCGAGGCGGGTGGATCACCTGAGGTCAGGAGTTTGAGACCAGCAAGGCTAACGTGGCGAAACTCCGTCTCTGCTAAAAATATAAAAATTACTCGGGAGGCCGAGGCAGGAGAATCGCTTGAACCCGGGAGGCAGAGGTTGCAGTGAGCCGAGATGGTGCCATTGCACGCCAGCCTGGGCGACAGAGCAAGACTCCATCTCAAAAAAAAGAAATGGAATTTGAGCCACAAGTGCAAACTGTGTGTGTATTTTGAATTTCCTAGTGGCCACACTAACAAGGGTGAAAAGAAACAGGTGAACAGGTGAAATTAATTTTCATAATGTAATTTACTTAGCCCAGTATATCTGAAATATTATCATTTCAACACGTGATCAGTATATACAAATTATTAAGGTGATATTTTGCATGATTTTTCCATACTAAGCCTTTGGAATTCGGTGTGTATTTCACATGTGTGGCGTATCTCCATGTGATCCATCTCCACCCGAAGGGAGAAAGCACTCAGTAGCCCCACAGGGCTGGTGGCTGCCATATTGGTAGGCAGAGAACTAGAGAATGACTCCTTCAGGAACTACTAAGCCATATCTTGGGGTCATAAAATGAGGAATCTTCAGGTTGGCTTCAGGCCCAAGACTTGTTACATATTTTTTAAAATAAACTTTTTAATTTGAAATAATTTTAGATTTACAAAACCATTGTATTCTTATGTATCTCAAACTCTAGAATCTTCCTGCGGCAGCTCAGGGTACATCAGCTGGTCCACAGAGTCTGGCATATTCAGGGCATAGGACTTTTGGGGTTTTGAGAAGTCAGACCAAGGCTGACCCAATTACTTGGGTGATCAGAGTCAGAATTCCCCAGAAATTACTCAGGGTATTGAGACTCTGTGGAATGTTCCAGAGTCCATGATAACAGAGGGAGCTGTAAAATATCTAAGTTATGATTCGGTTTTCTAATTACACCCAACTTCCTCTCTGGGTGAGCAACAGCTTCTCAGCTAACATTTACTCCCAAGGTGGTGGCCGGGGAGTGGGCACAGGACAGGAGACACCAGAACAATTGAGCGGTGTCAACAGCCGCTCTGGCCAGAAGTATCTGTCAGCTCCCGACTGACTGCAGCCACCCTGTCCAATAGAAACAGAATTCAAGCTGCATATGTAGTTTTAAATTTTCTATTGGCCACATGAAAAAATAAAAAGAAGTAGGTGAAGATAATTTTAATAACATATATTCCTTAACCCAGCACATCTAAAATATTACCATTTCAACAGGCCAACAATATTAAAAAATACGAATGAGATAGTTTACATTATTTTTTGGTACCAAGTCTTCGAAATCCAATGTGCATTTTATACTTATTTGTATGTCAATTTGCATGTTATATGTTAATGGAAAATTTGTAAAGTTATGTACATTTCATCAGTTATTTAAAAACTGTAAATTCCATAAAAGACTCCGTTCACAGTTGAAAAGCTAGATTCACCTTCTAAAGTTGTTTCAAACATACTTCAAAAGTTTCCTAACAACTGAATCAAGTATCAGTTTTTGAATTTAGGTTGATTAAAATTAAATTAAACTAAAAATCCAGTTTCTCAGTTGCATTGGCCACATTTCAGGGTTCAGTAGCCACATGTGGCCAGCAGCTACCATATTGGACAACAGCCGTTAACACACTGGGCACCTCCTGTTAACACTGGATTTCTTTTTTCAGCTCCAGCTCTGTCTCCTTGCCTTTAGCTTGTCCAAGTAAATCTTCAGACTTGGTTTTCTCATCATCAATTTGTCCTCGCTTTGCACTTTTCACCCAGCGAGGGCTTTGCCAATATGGTTGGCTTATGCCAAGGACTTCCGCTTCTGAGATGGAGACTTGTCTGGGGCATGGCTTGCCTTTGTTTTTCTAGATCCCCATCAACATCGGTCCTTGTGGAAACTACTCAAGGGGCTGTGGTGTAATTTGCAGGTCCTCTGCCCTTAGGAGGAGCACAGAAGTTGATGACGGAAATTGTTCTCTATGGTGCTGTCCTGATTTTTTTTTCCTATCCCCTCCTGAGCATTTGAACTGTAAGCCACCATTTCCAGGGCGATGCTGTGGGTGTGTTTATCTTGGCGTCTCAGGGAGGGGAGCCCTCCCAGCCTTGGTCATGTGGCTGTCAGCACAACACACCTGTTTTCTGTTTCTGGTGGTTGATGGGGACTCACTCACTGAATTTTGGGTCTTCCTTAAGTGCTTAAATTAGAGTAAGCAAATAAATAACAGGGGAAAGGGAGTTTTAGAAATTGTATGTACAAACCACTAAAATTTACTATACAACTTCCTCAGCCACAGATATTTTTCTAGGGAATTTGAACAGAGCCATAAGAAGTTTCTCTTCCTGGCAGGAGACGACCCTGATCTGTTTTCAGCCTAGGGGGCGTTGCACAAGAGTGTTGGTGCTATGACAAGATAGCGGTTCCCAATGTTCTTAAGGAGTTTTTCATCTGGAACCACTTGTGGCACCCTTAGGGTATTTCAAGCATTGAGGCATTCTAAAGATGGCTCATTTGTGGATGGTAGTCCTGATGGTGGTGATGATGGTAATGATGGTGGTGATGACAGTGATGACAGTGATGACAGTGTGATGACAGTGATGACCCTGATGATGGTGATGGTGGTGGTGATGGTGATGGTGATGATGGAGGTGATGGTGGTGATGGTGGTGGTGATGGTGATGGTGATGGTGATGATGGTGGTGGTGATGGTGATGGTGATGGTGGTGGTTATGGTGATGGTGATAATGATGGTGGTGGTGATGATGATTATGGTGGTAATGGTGATGATGGAGGTGATGGTGGTGATGGTGGTGGTGGTGGTGACAATTGGATTAACTGGAACCCAGACCTACCAGAGGACTGCATGGAAAAATGCTTTAGCAATTCATGTCATCTTTCTGGACCTCGGATTTCTTCATGAGTATGACAAGGCCTCTCCCCAGATATTCTCTAGGGTCCTTAACATTTTATTATCCTCAAACTGCAATGCTGTCATGGTGATGGTGATCATGGCAATGATGACAATATTAAGAATTAAAGTGATGCAGAAGGACCATCAGGCATGATAATTCGCCAAAAAAAATCTCTAATGATGTTAATTTTTGACTTTATAATTTATGTTGTGGCTCTTGATCAAACCTGTTCATGTTTTCCCTGTATAAAACTCATAGGTGAAACTTCTCTTTCCTTTTTAACTGTGAAGAATCACAAGTGGTGGTATTGCATGTTAGTTCCTTTTTCAAAAACCCACAGGGTTTATGTATTCATTTGGCAAGCATTTAGTGAACACTCACTGTGCCAGCCACTATTTTACACCCTGAGGGTACAGCTCTTGAGCAGACAGGCTGCGGGCTTGTATTCACATCAGGGAAGACAGAAATAAAGAAGCTGATCAACAAACCAGATCACTTCAGATAGTGAGAAGTGCTGCAAGAGAAATTAAACAGAGTAAAGTAATAGAAAGTAACCATGGCACTTTAGTAGATCAAGTAGGCAGGGAAGGTCTTTTGTATGTTTAAAATGCAAAGGGAACATTGAGAAAGATCCAGCCATGAGAAAGCAAGGGAGAGCACTTCTGGCCTGGGGGATGGTTAGCACAGAGGCCCTACGGACATGCCAGGGCACCCGGTCTTCTGTCCTCTCTTGTCTAGTGGGCCACTTTTGTTAAGCTGGCCTGGTGATTTAGGCAAGTGTTTAGTGGTCCACTGTAGATAACAACTGGGGCTTAGTTGCTTCTTCTTGCTGGTGGTGGCAGCAATGACAATAGTGATGAGAGCTCCCTGAGGTGCTGGTGATGAGTTCCCTGCGATGTGCGCTGTCCGTGGGGACAGGTCATGTCTTTCACTTGCCTATCTCCAACTCAGCGTTTAGCTCAGGAAATGCTTGCGGAATTGGAGGTAGATACCGTAATTAAGGAATTAACTGGAAACCAGAGCTACCAGAGGACTGCGTGGGAAACCAGACATAGGTCTAGAGCCCAAGTTAAAGAAGAAAATTAAAGTCTGACCAGACAGAAAAAGAGAGGGAGAAACTGGGTATTTATGCCGCCAATGTACCCAACCACAATCCTCCCAGAACCAGGAAAGGATATGAACACAGTGAATTCCAGCTCATGGAGTCATCAGTGCAGTATCTCAAAGTGATAAAGTGATCAGGCAAACAGCCAGGCACACAATTGAAAGGCTGGAAATTTTCTGTGGTTACCAAAGGCCCTCCCAATGGAATTTCTGTTTAGTTTCTTGGGATTTGCCAAGTATTTTCCGGTACTTTAGTTATTTGCATATTACCTTCCATATTTTTGCTCTGTCAACGTCACTGATATAATACCTATTACCAATCATGTACCATATATAACAGATCAGCACACTTTTTCTGTACAGGGTCAGATGGTCCATATTTCAGGTTTTGTGGGCCAGACAATCTCTGATGCAACTACTCATCTCTGCATTAAAGCAGCCATAGTAATATAATATGCAAATGACAGGCGTGGCTGTGTGTTGATAAAGCTTTATTGACAAAAACATGCTATACACTAGATTTAGCCCAGGGCCATAGTTTGCCAACCTCACCCATACTATTACCTACAAAATATATTAAGGACTCACTGTAAAAAAATATATACAATAAATTAATTTAATGGAAAACTTCCTATCACTCCCCAAAATGGAAAACCAGGAGGCCCTGCCATGAATAAACAACTCCAAAGGTAAATTCTATGAAAACAAAACACGGTTATTAAATTCCAACTAGAAGGATGAACAGCCTGAGGCTTAACTTTTCTTGTTTAGAAAAAAAAAGGAAAACTTAGGAAGTCCTCAGAGGCATTAAAGACTCATTAGCACCAGGCTAAGTCTTTCTCTTTGCAATAATCAGCAGGATTAAAACAAATTGGAAGGGAATGGCTTCTCCACGAGGTGGCTTGATCTCGTTTAAGTACATTCCATTTTCCAAGTGAAGTCATCTTGCTGCCCCTACAGCGGTGCCTGTTTCTGAGAAGCCCTCTGACATAGACAGGAGGCAGCCCCCCTAAACCACACAAGGAGGTGAAGGCTGATCACCTGCCAAGAGGCAGGGCAGCCCTAGGAGGACGGCCCCCACCCCCACGTCCGCCCTAGGCAGTGTGCCTGGGGCTTAGACAGCTGCCCTCGCTGATCCCATAGGGAGGAAACTAAACCCTCCTGCTGAATTACTGCTGGTGACAGGCTATGATGTGAGCCCTCGCTGGAAGGATGACCCAGGACGCGTGCCCACCCTGGCACCTGGATGATTATAAAAAGCCAAATCTGACTCACTCTGCTCCGGCCCGCCCGGCAGCATACACTGGACTGCACTGGTGAGCCCTCTATCTGCTTGTCCCCTGATCTGTCAGGGGCCCCAGGTGGGAGGTGGGTAACCAAGCAGCAGGGGTTGTAAAGCCTGAGCCCTGGGGGACCCAGATGATCCCAGGGAAGGAGGGGCCAGGGTTTCCCTAGGCAGCGCTGGTGCTCCTAAGCTTCATCCGATGGAAGATAATAAACCAGGGCTGAAAGGCAAACAAGGCTAGGCCGCAAAGTAGAAGGTGTGTTAGCTCAAGAATTATCAGCCACTATTACCGTGAGTGAGTTAAACACTTGATTCAAAGAGCAAACTCAGGTGCTCAGCTCACGCACACTGTGCAAACAGGCGGGGCACAGGTGGAGGGCCCAGGAGACACGTGGGCACCAGGCCTCCAACGCACCCCATCCGGAGCCGGAGAGGCCCCTGGAAGGTTTGTGAAGCTCATAAAACCCAAAATTGAAGATTTCATGGGGCTCCAGGGCGAGGGTGCAGCCTCAGGAGCTCTGAGACTCCTACAGAGTCCCTCTGCCTGCTCAGGAATCTTGTGCCTCTCAAGCTAGTTCATCCCACGGGGAAAGCAGGAGACAGAGGACAGCAGAAGCCGTCAATGTCACGCACTCATCCCCTGGGCACTCAGGGCCAGAAGTGCCAGGGACTCTGTGCCTGCTCCCCTCAGGAGGAGCCTTGAGTGGCGACCAACTGAAGTTGATCCCTTAGGGAAGCAACTCCAAGGTGCGTTCCTCCCGTCTTCCAGGGTTCCTTACTGGGATGGAGCCTCGGTGGCCCAGTAGTAACCAGCTCCCTGACGCATGCTTTCTTTCCTGCCTGACTCCCCGCTGCTTCTCTCTGGGAGGTTCCTGGAATCACATCCCAAAATACTCCTCGCACTCAAATCCTCAGCTCACAATCTGCCTCTGGGGGAATCCAGCCCAAGCCTGGGTGTTTCACAAGTAAACACAAAAATATCCCGAGACAGCAGTCGACCAGGTCTGTTGCTAGCTCACCCAGTGCATTTGCACAAGTGAAAAGAGGGCATCCCTTACTCTGGTGGACCCAGAGCACATGTTAGAGTGCAGAGCTTAGGGAGTAGAGCATGGATGCTTTCAGCTCCCATCGCTCTCCTCAGCTGGAACACCCTTGGACAGTGAACAACCTGCCCAACCATACACGACATCTCTACATTCTTAAGCTAGGTGAAGAGCTCATTTTCTGGAAGAACCAGAAGAAGTGATTTTGAGAGAAATTAAAAATAATTAGAAAGAACCCATTGTGTTGGATTGAAATCAGAGTAATTGGTATTAACTCATGGTAACACATATACACACACGTATACACACGCAGATGGATAGATGTATAAATAAATGCAAATGTGTGCATGCATGAATTAGTGTACATATATATATTTGCTGGCTCCAACACACCCAGAAGCAATGACATCCCAACAGTGAAGAGCACCCTTGCACTCAGATCTTGGTTCCTATGCACCATTCTCCAACCAAGCAACCAGTGAACACTTGGAGAAAGGGCTACTTTCAGGACTGGGATGGGGAAAACAAAGATGATCCCATACTGTTGGAAAGTAAGGATGTACTAAAAATAATGATAGCATCACATCAAAAGGGCATTGCGGCAAACTACAAGAAGCACCCAAAGCCCAAATCTGAGAATATTCAAGCCAAGAAAAACAAATAATGATAGTAACGGGTATTGCCCACAGAATAAAATATGTATCCATGAGTCCATACTGCTATGAATAAATGATTGATCTAATAAATAGGATGGGGAGAACACACAGCTCTTCCTGATGGTAGAGTTCTAATGAATGAGTGTGTAGGAGAGATGATGAAATAGAAAGTCACCATTAAGCAAATATGGCAGTCTTAATTACTGCAGGCAGGAATCAATGATGCATGCTAAAACCATCAAGTAAAAATATGAAGAGAAAGGGGACATTTGGAAGTTCTCAAGTATCTCCCCATAAGATACTTATTAAATACACAGAGAGAAACCTGGCAGATGCCACCTTAACAAAGGTCAATGTCTCCAGTGAAAAGGTGATAAGGTTAACATCACCCCTGGTAAGATGGATTGAGGACATGACATCACTTCCGTGGTATTCTTGTATAACCTCAATGTAATCATGAAAAAACATCTGACACAACCAAATTGAGGGACATTTTACATAATTGGCCAGTATTGTTCAAAAGTGTCAAGGTCATGAAAGATACAGAAAGACTGACCATTGGCTGATCTAGGTTGGTCTTGCTGGGACAACTGGGGCCACTCAGCATTGCTCCATGTGTCCCTTACCCTCCAGCAGACCAGCCCACAGACATTCTCAAGAGTGTAGCAGAGGGCAAGAGACCAAGCAGAAACATGCAAGGCCTCTTGAGACTCAGATGTGGAACTGACCCAGCCACTTCTGCCTCATTCTGTTGGTCAAATCCAGTCACATGGCTGAGCCCAGGGCCAGCATAGAGGGTGCTGCAAAGTTAATGCAGGAATCAAAACTACAGGGAGTTATCACTGCACACCCCATAGAATGACTAAGTTTAAAAAGACTGACAATAACAAGTGTTAGCAAGGATGTGGAGCAAGTGGAACTTGCACATACTGCAGACAGGAATGCAAAATGATAGAGCTTTGGAACATAGTCTAGCAGAATTTATAATTAAACATAAACTTACCATGCAACCCAGCAATTGCTCAACTCAGTGTTTACCCCAGAGAAATGAGCTACATCTGCACAAAGACCAATATGCAAATGTCTATAGCACTGGGCTATCTTTTCACAATCACCCCAATAAAAACAACTCAGATGTCCATCAATGGGTGAGTGCATAAGCAAACTGTAGTCTATCCACCCTACAGAATCCTGCTCAGCAACAAAAAAGAGTGAATTACTGATGCACATACAATGTGAATGAGTGTAAAAGCATTATGGAAGTGAAAGGAGCTAAACTCAAGAGGAGACATTTATAGAAAATGCTACAAAAGGCAAAGTTATAGCAACAGAAAGGTTTGTGATTGCCTGGAGCTGGGGGTGAGGGTGAGGTTTGATTGCCAGGGGGCACAGGGAAGTTTTGGGGATCTTCTAAGTGCTCTAGATCTCATCTGTGGGGGCCGTTACATGACTGTATACAATCACCAAAATCCATCAAACTTAAATAAAGCTCAATAAAGCTGGGAAAAGTAAGTTACGTGGCAAAGGGTGTGGCTAGAAAAAGGGGGTGAAGAATTGGGGGCATTTAGGCTCTGTCAGAGGGGACACAGAACCCCACCAAGATCTCCCTAAGAGCCGTGAGTGCATGGGCCCCAGGACAGAAAGTGTTTGAGAAAGGTGGGGTAAGACCCCAGCCAGAGCCTGCCTCTCAGAAATGCATTCCGGGGTCCCATAGGTGACGTGGCCAGGGCTGGGAGGGCTGAATGGGGCTCTGAGCTCAGGGGAGGACAACGTAGGGGCTGCAGGATTACCTGGAAATCCAACGTGATGAGGTCAGAGGGTTCCTGGTCTCAGCCTGTCTCCAAAATCAGGACAAATGGCGTGTGAGCCTGCACAAACCCATTCCAGCCCCCTGCCCTGACAGATGAAAATAAATAAAACCCTCTGGGTGTCCAGACGCCTGCCAAGGGTCCTCCCATTCACCTCGTCACCCAGACTTGAAACCTCCAACGCCTCACTCACTTTTGGCGCCAACTTCCAATTAAGCCCAGAGGTCTTAGGGACCTGCCTTTGAAGTGTGTTCACACGCCTTTTTCTCTTTTGATTCTGCGCCACCCCTCACCACGGTGCCATCTGACTGCAGCTGTGATGGTGGCCTCCCTGCCTCAGGAGCCGCTCACGGCCTTGGACCCGTGGGTCCCAGGCATAGTGACACAAAGAGCCCTGTCTCCCGGCCTCCCCCCCGTAGGACACCCAGTGCCACCCCACTTTGCTTGGGCAGGAGTCCAGGCTCACCCTATCCTCCACTTCGAAATGCCCCATCCCTCTCAATGCCTTGGCTGCCAAACACACCTACCTCATGCTTTGCTTCGTGATGATGATGAAATATTTCAGGCGTTCAAGAAATACATGCATCACCACCCCCGGGGACCTGCCACCCGTGCTTACGAAGTAAATGATTCCACGATGTGTGTGACCCCTGGGGTGCCCTTCGCAGGGGGCATCCCCAGCCTATCCCAGCCCACCCCCACACAGCGGGAGTGGCAGCAGCCACCACCCCGGACTTGGTGTTGTCGGTCCCTCGAGTGTCTTGAGCCTGTCACCACCCATGCAGTGCGTCTGCTGTGGTGCATGGTTTCAAGCCTGGCCTCTGTGGTTGGATGTCACGTGGGTCTGTCTGTGTTTGGCTTCCCCTAAAGCAGATCTGGAGAAGGTTTGGTGCAGAGTCTCCGTGGGAGGTGAGCCTGGGAGCCCAGTGACGCAGGGAACAGAAGGGAGAAGAGGCAACAAAGGGGAGCTGGTGAGGCGGCTGTGGGCAGGGGCCAGCCTTCGGGGCTCAGAGAGTGTTGGACACAACTCAGCCTTGTCCCCACCAGAGGCCGGGGAAGCTGGAGTCTATGGCCTCTCCTTCATGCTTCGGTGTTCTGATACCTCCCGTCCATCACGTTGGTCAAGCACTGCTTGTGTGGGCAGAGGAATTCTTCAGGGAGGGCGACACAGGTGCCTGGAGTGGAAAGCAGCCATTGTGTGCAGGAACCAGGGGCTTGGGTGGGCTGGGGAGGTGTGGGGTGTGGCGGCAGCAACCCCTGCTACCGTATTCTTTTGCAACTTGCTTTTTCCTCTCAATGCTGTGCTTTTTCCTCTCAATGCTGTTTTGTGAAATATGTCCATGTTGACTGAGAGGTAGCTCTAGAGTTCTTTTTTTTAGATTTTGGAAAATTTATTTCTATGTGGCAAGATAGACTAAATACACTTTTCCATTGGGGCATCTGGGACAATCACAGTGGTGCAGTCACCTCTATCTAGTTCCAGAATGTTCTCATCACCCCCAAAGGAAACCTCCTACCCACTAAGTAATTACTCCTCATTCCTTCCCTTCCCCCAGCCTCTGGCGAACCTCCATCTGCTTTCTGTCTCTATAGATCTATCGACATTCTGGCTGTAGCCACATTTTGGATATTTGGTATAAATGGAATTACACACCACACAACCTTGTGTGTCTGGCTTCATTCACTCAGCGTCATATTTTCAAGGTTCATCCACATGGTAGCATGGGTTGGAGCTCATTCCTCTTTATGGCTGAATCATATCCCAGTGTACACACACACATGCACACACGCAAGCATGCACCACATTTTGTCCGCCCATTCATCTGGGGAAGGACATTTCGGTGGTCTCCACCTTTCGGCTACTGTGAATAGTGCCACTGTGAACATTCGTGCACACATTCTGGTGAGAACACTGTCTTCCATTCTTCCAGATATAGACCCAAGTGGAATTTCTGGGTCCTAGGGTAATTCCGTGTTTAACTGATTGAGGAAGCTCTGGGCTGTTTTCTGCAGCAGCTGCACCATCCTACACTCCCAGCGGCAATGTATGTGGGCTTCGATGTCTCCACCTCCTCGCCAGCACTGGTTATTCTCTGCTTTTTTGATTCTGGCCATCCTCGTGGGTGTGAGGGTTACTGTTCCTTTGGACTGATCCACTACACCAGGCGCTCAGGCCTCTGTTCATCACACGCAGGTGTTTCTCACTTCTGGTTGTCACCCACCACGGAGTCATGAATGCTCTTGTATGTGACCACTTGGCGTGTGTTACTTGACTTTGGATTTTTCTCTATCCCACTCCCATTTGGAAATATCTTTTCTGCCTTCTTCCCGTCCTTCCTGCCTAAAAGTCTTAGCTCAAGCCACAGCCTCTAGCACCTATCGCCGAGACCCAGGTCGTCCAGTTTGACAGCCCCTAAACTCCCGAGGCTGCTGTGCACGAAAAACAGGGCTAGTCCAGGTTGAGATGTGCCGGAAGCATCAAACACACCCTGGATTTCAAAGATGTAAAATACGGAGAGATTGTGAAACAAGCTCATAAATAACATTCTACACTGATTACATGTTGAAAACGTGTTAAATATATTGGGTTAAATAAAATATTGGTTAAAATTAATTTTACCTGTTTCTGTTTTTTTGTTGTTTTTTTGTTTTCGTTTTTTTTCTTGGTGGGGTAGAGCTTCTCCTAGTGATTAGAGCCACTCTGTCTTCAGAAGAATCCCAGTACAGGAAATCTGTTTCTTTTTAAAACATGTGGCTACTAGGAAATTTAAAATTATATCTGTAGCTTGCATTTGTGGCTCACATTTCTAGTGGACGGTGCTGGTCAAGATTTTATTTCCAGAGGACGGTGCTGGTCTAGATTTTATTTCCAGTGGACAGTGCTGGTGTAGACTTTATTTCCAGTGGACGGTGCTGGTCTAGATTTTATTTCTAGAGGATTGTGCTGGCCTAGGTTTTATTTCTAGAGGAGGGTGCTGGTCTAGATTGTATTTCTAGAGGATGCTGGTCTAGATTGTATTTCTAGAGGAGGGTGCTGTTCTAGATTGTATTTCTAGAGGAGGGTGCTGGTCTAGATTTTATTTCCAGTGGACAGTGCTATTCTAGGTCATTCATTTGCCTCATCACGTGTTTCTCCAGACAGTTTATTTCCATGTCTCCATCTCAATTGTAAACTTCTTGCAGGACAAGCCATGTCCCATACATCTTTCTTTCCGCCAGCCCAGGGTGGCTTTAAAGAAACTTAGGCAGAGTGATCTTTCCAAAAGTGGGTTCAATAAAGTGAATGCCCTCCCACCCCCAGCTCCAGTCTCCCTTAACCCCTTTTGATGATTTCCTGTTGGCTTTAGAATAAAGCAAAACTTTTCAACGTGGCTGCAAGGGCCTGTGGGGTCTGGCCCCTACCCACCTCTCCACACTCCTGTCCCTTTCTGGGCCCAGACAACCTTGCCTTCTTTCCTGCATGCTCCTGCTGCAGGGCCTTTGCACATGCCATTTTCTGTTAGGGATGCCTGTTCTGTCCTGCATCACCTGGAAAGTTCTGTGCATTCTTTGGATGTGAGCTTAGACAGACCACTCCAACCAAGACTCACAGGTGGCTCCTCACACCCAAGCCATGGCAAACCCCGCAAAGCATCTCTTTGAGCTCATTTGTGAGCCCCCTGGGAAACCCTGGTCCTGTTCACCATTCAATTAACGATCCTGCAGCATGCTCATCGCACACTAGCTGGGAGAAGGTCTGTGAACCAGGGATTCTATACCTGGGTCTCCAGTGTCTCTGAAATATAATTTCCATCCAAGAATAACATTGGTAATAAGATGCCTCGTGTCCGTTTTATGAACTGCAAATACCTTCCAGTTTGACCCTGAGGTACGTTGCAGGTCCTGGCAGACCTGGAGAAGCCGCCAAAATGTTTCTCAGTCATTCTTCTAAAAATGGCTTTGTCCTTGGCTCTGGGGCTGGCCACCGCTGGATAGGGGCAGAGAAAGCAGCCTGTGGCTTCACGCTGGAATGTCATTACCCGGGCTGTGGGGCGACCTCACAGGCAGGCAAGCTCGAGCTGGGCAGCCAAACCAGTGCCGTTGTCCAAGGTCGGGACATCTGAGCCTCTGCAAGGGCATGCGCACCTTTCGGGCCTGTCACACTCACCTGCTTGTGGTAGAATTGCTGCTGGATTTTGCAGGGAGACACGGAATCTCTCACCCGGAGGCCTGAAGACGGTGCAGATGCGCTGTCTGTAAATGAGAGGAGGCAGGAAGACATCGGCCCCAAACCAAGTCACAGGCAGCACTGGGCCACCACGATGCTCTGTGGCTCTCATTTTGCACTGTCTTTTTAAAAAGTTTTTTGGGTAAGACAGGGTCTCACTCTGTCACCCAGGCTGAAGTGTGGCGGCACCATCACAGCTCACTCCAGCCTCGAACTTCTAGGCTCGAGCCATCCTCCCACCTCAGCCTCCCGAGTAGCTGGGATTACAGATGCCAGGCACCACATCCAGCTTTAACAAACATTTTATTGAAGCAGAACATATACAGAAAAATTGTATGTGTACGGCTCAAGGAATTTTCACGAGTGAACACACTTACATAACTAGCACCCAGATGAAAAATCAGCCCCTTCTTAATTCCCCAAATGCCCTCTGCGGGCCACCTTCCAGGCCCTATAGCAATTCCACTGCACCGCCATCCCAAGTCCTAACGCTACAGGACCACTTGCTGTTTCTAAACTCAATGCAAATGGTATCCTATGGGATCATGCACTTTCCTGTCTGGCTGAAGATCACGCTGATGAGCTGCATCCACATCTTGTGCAGCAGACACTGGCTATCATCGCTCTGCTACGTCACGCTGTGTGAGTCTACCACGTTTGTCCTGTTCACCTGCTAACAGATCTGTGGGTAATTCTCAAGATTATGGCTGTGACAAAGAATCCTGTTACAAACTTTCCAGGATGTGGCTTTTGGTGAACACATGTACACATTTCTATGGGGCGTACCAGGAGTGGAACAGCTGGGTCACAGGGTAAGGATATGTTTCACATTTTTTTTGTTTTGTTTTTGAGACAGAGTCTCACTCTATCACCCAGGCTGCAGTGCAATGGCGCAATCTCGGCTCACTGCAACCTCCGCCTCCTGGGTTCAAGCGATTCTCCCGCCTCAGCCTCCCAAGCAGCTGGAATTACAGGCACACGCCACCATGCCCGGCTGATTTTTGTATTTTTGTAGAGACAGGGTTTCGCCATGTTGGCCAGGTTGTTCTTGAACTCCTGACCTCAGGTGATCCGCCCACCTCAGCCTCCCAAAGTGCTGCAATTACAGGCGTGAGCCACCGTGCCCAGCCTGTTTAACTTTTTAAGAAACTGCCCAACTATCTTCCAAAGCAACTGCACCATTTTACATCCCGCCTGCACCGTATGAGAGCCCTCGTAGCTCCCTGTCCTCGCCAGCACCTGGTACAGTCAGTCCTTTTCATTTCAGCCATCCTTGTGGGTGTGTACCAGTGGAAATGATTATTAAACACCCACAATAAAAAATCGAAGGACTTGGAAATTTGAAGGAGGACAAGATTACTTCCTTTGTGTGGGAAGGTCAGGAAGGTGCCTAGAGATGTTTTTCTTGTTTGATCCTAAATTTATTTTTCAAGCAGGCTCACATGGCTCAGACTTCAACACGTATAAAAAGGAACATGGTGAATAAGATGTGTCTCTGATTAAAACACACGTAGGGCCATCCCTCCCTCTCCATCCCTTCCCCTGGTTTCCAGCCCTGGGCAGCTGTTCTCTCCCGGGGGCAGCCCACCCTGTGGGCCAGGCGAGCTCCTGGGCAGGCACCCTGCCATATTCCCATTCTAATGGGAGCATGGGAGCCGCCGTGGGCGAGGGGAGGGCAGGCTCGTTCTCAGCTTGTAAACGTGTCCCTGGCATTTACAGCCAATATTTGATCTTATGGCCAATATTTGATCTTCTCTCTGGCTCACCGAGTTCCCCATTTCACAGGGTTATTTATGTCTCTTGTCACTTTCTGTTCCTTTGCCCACTTTAGTTAGTTAGTTAGTTATACACAGTTTGTTTGTTTGTTTGTTTTTTTTACCAATTTCATTTGGAGCTAGGGTGATGAAAACAAAATAGGCATGAGCTCATGGGCATCTTAGTGGCAGCTGTGTGGACTCAGGGACTCTGAGCTGACAGGGTGGTCCTTCTGGGGCTAGCTCTCTGTGGCCAGCAGGGGTGGAACACAGACTTTAGAGCTTTGGGTGCTGGAAGGGCTTTCCCATCTGATCAAGAGGCTGGCTGCCAGTGGAGCAAACTGCCTGGACTGGGGAGGTGAATTGCATGGATTCAAAACCCGCCTCTACCCACTGCCTCACTCTTTGTGCCTCAGTTTTCACACCTGTTAAATGGGACCACCACGATGATTCAAGGAAGTCGTTCCTATAACATGCTTAGAGCAACATCTGGCACCCAGTAACGGTGAGCTGCTATCCTTAACAGCATGGATGACAGCGCTCATAAAATCATAGCCCTAAGGTGACCAACCTTCAGTTTGCTGGGCATTGAGGAGTTCACAGGACATAGGACTTTCAATGCTAAGACTGGGAAAAGTCTTGGCAAACTAGGACAAGTTAGTTACCCTACATAGCATTGGATGAGCCCACAGGGTCCCTTCTCTTCACTCCAACAGAAAGTCCAAACAAAGAAATCAATATTGATTAGGCATCCATTCATTCAATAAATAGTTACTAACTTCTCTACTCTATGCCAGGCACTGCTCAAGGTGCTGCGGACACAGGAGAGAATAAAATAATGTCCCTGCTACCCTCAGGGAGCTGATGTTCCAGTGGACAGACAGATAATAAACAAACAAACAAACAGACAGACATTTGGATGGCAGGTAGCAGTGGCTGCTGACAGGCAGAGGTATGCCCCAGTTAGGAAAAACACCAGGATAGGAGCTTGGAGAAGGATCCTTTAACGAGGCAAATAGATAAAGGAAGGGAGTGAGCCATGAGACCATCTGGAAGACAAGGGCTCCAGGCAGGAGCAGCAAGTGCAGAGGCCCTGAGGTGAGAGGGTGCTAGCACTGAAATGCTTGGGAGGCAACAGCCTGAGAGATTTCATCTCAGCCAGCTGTGACCATCTCCATCTGGAAGCCAACACTAGGCATTGTAGGTGTATTAGTCCGTTTTCACACTGCTCTAAAGAAATACTCAAGACTGGGCAATTTATAATGGAAAGAGGTGTAATTGACTCACAGTTCTGCATGGCCGGGCGGGCGGGCCTCAGGAAACTTACAATGATGGTGGAAGGCAAAGGAGACGCAAGTACCTTCTTCACAAGGTGGCAGGAAAGAGAGCAAAAATGCAAGGAAACTACCGTTTATAAAACCATCAGAGCTCGTGAGAACTCTCTCACTATCACGGGAACAGCATGGGGGAACTGTCCCCATGATCCAGTCACCTCCCACCAGGTCCTTACCTCAACATGTGGGGATTGCAATTCAAGATGAGATTTGGATGAGGACACAGAGCCAAACCGTATCAGTAGGGATGCCAGTGAAGATGAGCATCCACAGCTAGCAGTTACCGGGAAGACAATGTGGCGCCACGGAAAGGATTCTAGACTCAGAGGCGGAAGACTGGGCCCCTCCGCTCGGTGCTGAGTGACCCTAGTCAAGCCACTTAACTCCTCTGCACTTCCCTTTTCTCAAGTTTAAAATGGGGACTCAGAGGGAAGGATCTCACCCTTTAGAGTGAGCCACTGGCCACGGGGCCTGGTTTTAAAATGCCACTTTAGGCCAGGCACGGGGGCTCACGCCTGTAATCCCAACACTTTGGGAGGCTGAGGCGGGTGGATCACGAGGTCAGGAGTTTGAGACCAGCCTGGCCAACATGGTGAAACCTCGTCTTTACTAAAGATACAAAAAATTAGCCAGGTGTGGTGGTGTGTGCCTGTAATCCCAGCTACTCGGAAGGTGGAGGCAGGGGAACCGCTTGAACCCGGGAGGTGGAGGTTGCAGTGAGCCAAGATGGCACCATTGCACTCCAGCCTGGGTGACAGGGCGAGACTCAGTCTCAAAAAAAAAAAAAAAAAAAAAAAAAAAAAAAAGATTCCACTTTAGGGGACGACCACACAGAAGGAAGGACAGTAGTTCCCCAAGAGGATCTGTCCCTGGCAGCCACCAAGGCCCAGGGAGCCTTCCTAAAGCCTCGCAGCTTTCTCAAGTGGGCCCGAGGGTGCCCTTGCCAATCTGGACAGTGGGACAGCGAAGTTCAGGGGAAAGCAGCCTCCTTGCTAGCAAGAGGATCAGAAGTTAGGAGCTTCCTTTGTTGGGGCCTCCTTGTCAGAGGAGAATAAATTGCAGCTTCATTCCCCAAAATCTTCTTCAGAGAAAACCTGCAAACAAATATCCCATGGGCTTGATGCTGACCATCTAAATCTAGGATTTGTTAATATAGCCAAAGCTGCTTTTCTGTGAAAATTCATAGCTCTGCCTGTGTATGAAGTGTGTAAGAAGCTTGATTTCCTGGTTTGGTTTTCACAGTGAAATAGAAGCCCTGCCCCTTGTCCACTTGGTTTTCAGACACACAGATCTATTGTCTGTCTGTGGCCTATACCTGGCTCGCCTTAGAGAGGGGAAGTTGAGCCTGGCTAAGTCAATGTGTTGCCCCATGATTCAAGGAGAAGACAGGCTGCCCCACCATCAGCCCATATCCAAGGTACAGCCCCAACTTTGAACCAGAGGCCTCTTGCCTCATAGGTGAAGCTGATTGGACAGAGGGGGCAACTCAATGTCAGCAGCCAATCCATTGGCTGGCTGGCAATCAGTGAGGAAGCTTAGAATGAAGACTCTGCCCAAACAGGATAAGCAAGACCAATAAGATTTTCCTTCTTTGAATTAGGAATGTAGAGGGGATCAGGTGGTTGGCAATAAGATCAGAAAGACCTGAGGTGGAGAGGAAACATGAATATGGGGAAGCCAGGGGCAAGTCAAAGCTATGACCAAGACACTCTGCATAGAGCTCAGGATGTCTGAATGATAGCAAGAGAATACGCAAGAAGACACCCAGAGATATAGAAGCAGAGAGTAGCTGAGTCCCACTAGTGCCTGCCCTGGAGAAAAGTGTCCTCATGTCCGCTGAAGTCTTCGTACCTTCTTGAGAGTTAGGGCTTCCTAGTTCCTTCCTCTGAGAGACGTTATGTCCAGGGTTGCTGCATTTAGCTGGGGAGGGTGTGCAGTGTACATTTTGGGGAGGGGGAAAACCACATAACTGACAGCACCTGCAGCTGTGCAGTGTACAACATCTACAACTGTACATGAGGGTTCTGACCAGGGCTGGCTTCTTGGCATTGGGTGACTGCCAAATATTCATTGTATATTTATTTATTTGTTCATCCAACACATAATTTTGAGGCATGTTCTAACTGCCTGGCACTGCTTAAGGCACTGGGAGTTCATGAGTGAATAAGACAGGTATGATCCCTGTTCTCATGAGGAGAGGCAACAGAAAATAAGATGATTTCAGAGTGACGACTGCAATTAAGGCAAAATGAAAGAGTGATATGATAGAGAGTGGCTTGTGGGTGAGAAGGCTGTATTCATTAGGTGGTCAGTAAAGGCCTCTCTAAGAAGAGACATTTGGGCACAGATTTAATGAATGAGCCTAGCATGTAAAAATTGAGGGAACAGTGTTCTGTGGGGGAAACAGCGAGTGCAAAGGCTCTGAGGCATGAACTGCCCTCAGACAGGGCCCGATTGTGTAGGGTTCATTCTAATTCTGATGAAAAGCGTGTGGAAGGCATTAAGCGTGTATTACAGCCTTGCAATACTCCCAATATTTGAGCAAGCCAGAATGGGCCCTTTTATTTAGCAATGAAAATAGCTAAAATAGCACAGCCTGCTGGAGTCTTAATATTACTCCTCCATTTCTCAAAAAGGTCCATCTTCAGATCAAATAAGGCCACATGGAACCTTCACCCTTGAGTCATGTCAGATTCGCTCCTTGATGAATTACCTTAATTGGATTGGCTTCTAGCCAAAGTTATTTCAAGAAACCATCATGGGACTTCCATATTTACATTTGCTATAAAATGTTTGTCAAGAGAACTGTAACTCAAAGCTGGGTGTGGTGGCTCGCACCTATAATCCTAGCACTTTGGGAGGCCAAGGCAGACAGATCACCTGAGGTCAGGAATTCAAGACTAGCCTGGCCAACATGGTGAAACCCCATCTCTACTAAAAATACAGAAATTAGCCAAGCGTGGTGGCATGCACCTGAAATCCCAGCTACTCAAGAGGCTAAGGCAGGAGAATCACTCGAACCCGGGAGGCGGAGGTCGCAGTGAGCCAAGATTGTGCCACTGCACTCCAGCCTGGGCAATAAGAGTGAAAACTCTGCCTCATAAAAAATAAAAATAAAGAGACCTGTAACTTCATATCCCTTATATAAAGCCCAACATAAGAATTTACTTTACTTTAGAGTTTGGTATCAGAAATAAACTAAGGAATTGCTGTTTCCTTCTTTCTATAGTGAGAGAGATGAGACTTCCTGTGTTTCTCTTTTTGACCTCACTACCAGGAAGCTCAGGGCTGAATCAGATGCTTCATCGTAGATATTGTTCATTCCTAGGGCTGGCATACTTACTCCTATTTTCACTGGACCTAACTTACCATTTCTGTCACACTAATCTTTTTAATTATTATTGAAAGATGCTCTTTGTTGTATGCTGTCTCAAATTCTTTTTTTGGAGAGAGGTGGAGGTGTAAATAAAGACTTTATTCATCCAGGGTGTAAGCATATGCAAGGTCTAGTTGACCTAGTTCCCAAAGACTTAAGACTTGTAAATTCAAACATACCTAAAGAAAAACAAACACAGATTTCATTTCTTACAATTAGCTTTGGGGTTAGAAATGAAAACAAATCTATCTCCTGGAATAGCTAATTATTCTCCCATGCCCTGACATTCGCGGCTGTTTGTGGGCTGAGACAAGCTCACTTTATTCCTGACACCGCCTCCCTGGGTGGTGTCTGTGTCTGTCCTCGCCGAAGGATGTGAGCCTTCTAAAAGAGAGCAGGGACCCAGCGAAGCAGAACAGAAACCGATTTCAATTAAAAAGTCACTTGTGCATGGGCTGACAGCTCACCCGAGCCGCCTCTGACAGCCTCTGGTAACCCGTCATTTTTCCACTTTGCAAGGACGATTACGTTCCTTCAAATGGCAGCATAATTAACGGGACCTATTACAGCCTCCCACGGCTATGTACGTTCGCTGGCTGTTTCCAGAGCTGGGGTGCGGGCAAGACCTGTCACTGTGTCCTCTAACGAGCCTTTGCAAGAAAAGGCCACTCAGGCTGCCGGTGGGGCATCGCTCCGAGGAGGTGAGCTGTGGGTGGCATTCCCCTGGCACACCAGGCCACCGGGCTGCCCCTGTGCTGCAGCTTCTCAATTCTCAGCCCTGGGGAAGGGATTTGCACCAGCAACTCCATTATACTCTCGGGGCTGCTTTTCTTCTATCTGAAAAATGCCACACACACCAAAAAAAAAAAAAAAAAAAGCAGGCAGGACTTAGGAATAGCCCAGAATGTAAACCATTGGTGCTTATGAATTGAAGCAGAATCATAGTTCTCAGGGTGCGGTCCCTGGATCAACAGTATCCCCCGGGAATCGACAGGAATGTGGCTTCTCAATGGGAACCCGGACCCGCTGAGGGAGAAAGGCAGAGGTGGGGCCCGGCGGTCTGTTCCCATCAGCTCCCCTGGGATTCTGAGGCTCACTCAAGCAGGAGGACCACTGGGGGTTAAGGAGGCAAAGAAAGGACTGAGCCTTGATTTGGGTCTCCCGGCTGCCTGCTCTCATTCCTCCTCCCACATGTATTGAGAGGACAGAGAGGGCCTAAGGGTCTGAAGGGAGGGCAATGGAAAGAGAAAACGACTGTCAAAGGACATGGACATGCAGCCGCATTTCAAACCTCCACCGATGGGCTGGGCACCGTGGCTTCTGCCTGGAATCCCAGCACTTTGAGAGGCCGAGGTAGGAGGATCGCTTGAGGCCAGAAGTTCAAGACCAGTCTGGGCAACATGGCCAAACCTTGTTTCTACCAGTAAAGATACAAAAATTAGGTAGGCATGATGGCTTCCACCTGGAATCCCAGCGCTTTGGGAGGCCAAGGCAGGAAAATCGCTTGAGGCCAGGAGTTTGAGATCAGCCTGGGCAACATAGCAAGACCCCACCTCTACAAAATATAAAACAAAAAACCTCCACCGATGATAAACAGAAGACATAATTAAACAAGAAAATTACTGATTGTACTGAGTGCTACAAAAAAGAAAAGGAAAAAAGGAAGGAAAAAAGAGGGAGAATAAAAAGAAAAGGTCTGGGAAACATCACATTTCATTGAGCAGCAGTTGAGTCTCATCTAGGGTGATTGTGCCCCCTCCCAGCCAGGGGGATATTTCTGGTTGTGTGTGTTGGGGGTGCTGGAGGAGAAATGCATGCTGCCAGCATCTGGTGGTTAGAGGCCAGGGATGCTTCTAAACAGCCTACGACACCCAAGACAGCCCCACCACAAAGAATGATGGAGCCTCAAACGTCCCCCGTGTGGAGGCTGAGAAGACCTGCCATGGCATCATCAAGGAAAGCATCTCCGAGGAGATAACATTCGAGCCGAGACATGCACGATAAGAACAGACAGCTATGGGTGGAACTCTGTCCCCAAAGGAGCTACACTGAGTCGTAGCCTCTGTGAATGGAGCCTTATTTGGAAACAAGGTCTTTGCAGACGTGATCGAGGTAAGATGAAGGCATTCAGGTGGGCCCTAATCCCGTATGATTGGTGTCTTTATACAAAGAGGACAGAGACGCAGAGACAGGCGCATACAGAGGACAGACGATGGGAAGATCCACAAGGAGCAGGCCACATGAAGACAGAGGCTGAGATCAGAGGTGTCATCTGCAAGCCAGGGGCCACCAAGGGTGGCCAGCAACCCCCAGGAGCTAGAAGGGAGGCCTGGAGCAGACCCTCCTCAGAGCCTCCAGAGGGAAACACGCTTGAGTTCGGACTTCTGGCCTCCAGAACTGTGAAAGAAGAGATTGCTTTTGTTTGGGATACTTGTTGCAGCGGCCGAAGAAACAATACCAAGACCAACTATGCAAAGAAGGGAGAGAGTCTTCCAGCAGAGGGGTCAGCAAGGGAGTCGGGAAAGGTTTGGGGTGGTGGAAGATCAGGAAGCACGCCCCAGTGATCGAGCACACAGTGAAGGGGGCATGGTGGGGGATGAGGCTTGAGGAGCCAAGGGGCCAGGCCTGGCGAAAGTCCCATGCAGGAGCTGCCCTCTTTCCACCAGGAGAAATGAAACATTCTCAACACTGGAGATGGGGAGGCGAGGCCGAGAGAAATGTGTACAAACTGACCTTGTTAAAATCACTTATATCTTCCTTTAGCTTCTCCATATATTTTAGTGCCTTTTCCAAAAGAGGTCGCCTCTCTTTATTCAACCTAGTATAAAAACATTTAGGGGTTGCTACATTTTTGGGGAAGGATCCTGTGTCCCATAAAATTTATTAAATCAATTTGTTTGGGCTGGGCATGGCAGCTCACACCTATAATCCCAGAATCTTGGGAGACTGAGGCAGGTGGATCACCTGAGGTCAGGAGTTCGAGACCAGCCTGGCCAACATGATGAAACCCTGTCTCTACTAAAAATACAAAAATTAGATGGGTGTGGTGGCACACACCTGTAATCCCAGCTACTCGGGAGGCTGAGACAGGAGAATCACTTGAACCCGGGAGGCGGAGGTTGTAGTGAGCCAAGATCGTGCCACTGCACTCCAGCCTGGGTGACAGAGAAAGACTCCATCTCAAAAATAAATAAATAAATAAGGTTGTTTGCTTTTGTCCTATGAATCTGTCTTATATCCATTTAATTCTCAGGTCTAGCTGACAACCCTAAGGGGCATAGGTAGAGTTTTGCCCCTGCTGCAGTGGCTTTCTGGAGAGGACTAGAAGGGGATGTTTCTACTTGTTGGGATCTCCTGGGCAAAAAAGAATAATTTGCAAGTTCATTTCAAAATCTTGTTCTGAGAAACTCGGTAAACAAGCTTCATGCTGAGGGTCTTAGTCTAGCACTTGCCAGCTCAGCCAAAGCTGCTTTTTTAGTGCAAAATCATAGCTTTGCCTACATGGGACGCATGTGGGTAAGAAGCCTGATTTCATGGTTGGGTTTTCATGATGGAATACAAGTCCCAGCCCTTGTCTCTCTGCTACTCTGGTAGAAGCAGGAGAGATGGAGAAATGAGCAAATCGGGGAGAGAAAATGTTCAAGGTTTACTGGTGCAGGGGATATGGGGGATTCAGGAGAAGTCTGAATCCTTGATGACTCCTGTGAGCATTAGGGGCGGGGATAAACTTGGAAGACAGTCCACACCCCAGTGCCTGGTGTCTGGAGCAATGTAGGAAAGCTCAACATTCAGGAAACTCTGAAGAAATCCACTAGGACACTCACAGCCCTGACAGTTCACTTACTCCCTGAGGTCTAGGAAACTCAGGCATCCCAGCGGAGCCTGGAACCATTTTCAGGGCTAAGGACAAACCCCCAAAAGAGAACCAGTCCCTTTTGCAATCCAGGGAGGCCACTAAGAGCCTCCACTACCCTGAATTTCACCAGCATCTGACACCAAGCAGAGAGCCAAGCATAGCTGTCAGCCCTGCAGAAGCCATGGATGAAATCCAGCCCTCTGCTACCATCCGTCATCTCTAATATCTGGAGATTAGGAAGCTGAGGGGGGCTGGGTGTGATTTTCACATTGATTCTGCAACAGGATGTGACCCCTGCTGGAGCCAACAACGGTACTAGGGGGCCTTTTAAGAAAAAACGTGAACTTTTCCATTCCCTTCATTGCCCTAAAATCGTATGAACAGGCTCTGGCCCACATTTGAACTTTCCAGAATAAGGAGATTATTGTTTTTCTCTTTTGTTTTTCTTGGTTACCTGCTGCTCAGTCGCTGGGCTGGGCTGTTTTGGAAAATTTGTAGAAGGATTTCTAAGCCCGTTTGTCAGTTCTGATTTGTGATCACAATGTGCTTAAGAGCAAAGGTTCCACGCCAGGTGGTCCTCCTTAGCCTAAGCTGGGCAGATGTCCACAGCCCTGCTGGTGCCGAACAAAACCACAAAGCATCTCCCGCAGACCATCAAGCAGGCAGCCATTTATCCTCCGGGTCAACTGGAATCTGCACAACTTTCACATCCTCGTCATAAAGGACTTGTCTGAGATCACACAGCAAAACAATGTACATCCCTTTCTCAATTCTAGTCTTTTGTGCTAAGGAGAGAGGAATCCTCTTTCTCCAAGGAAGACATTGATCCTGTTTTAGATGAGTTTGATAATCACGAGAATAGTTCAAAAATGAAATGAGTTGATTTTGAATAAGTGAGCTCTTCCTTGGTAGAAAGCAAGAGGGGAATAGGTAGTGTGCTCACACTGACTCATACAGCCATGGGAGGTGACCCGCACACCTCTTCCCAATGCCATGTAAACTGACATCTCATTGGTAGCTCAAGATCAGTCACACTAAGAGGATTTACAGTACGGGAATTGGCAAATTCTACAAACCAAGGTTCCCTCCACCCAAGAGACCCAGTTATTCAACATCTATCAGCACTCTCCTAAGAATCATTCATTCATCCATCCATCCATTCATGCATCTGTTCATTCCACGAACCCTAAACAAGCAGCTACTGTACACCAGACACCATGCTGGGTACTGGGTACCAAATAAGTGATGGAGAGTCTGTTTTTAAGAAATGCATTATAGGCTGGCGCGGTGGCTCACGCCTGTAATCCCAACACTTTGGGAGGCCGAGGTGGGCAGATCACAGGATCAGGAGTTCGAGACCAGCCTGGCCAACATAGTGAAACCCCATCTCTACTAAAAATACAAAAAAAATAGCCGGGCATGGTGGCAGGCACCTGTAATCCCAGCTACTCAGGAGGCTGAGGCAGGAGAATCACTTGAATCCAGGAGATGGAGGTTACCGTGAACCGAGATTGCACCATTGCACTGCAGCCCAGGTGACAGTGCAAGACTTTGTCAGAAAGGAAGGAGAGGAGAGGGGAGGGGAGGGAAGGGGAGGGGAGAGGAGAGGAGAGGAAAAGAAGAAAGAAAAAGAGAGAAAGAAAGAAAAAGAAAGAAAGAAGAAAGAGAAAGAAAGAAAGAAAGAAAGAAAGAAAGAAAGAAAGAAAGAAAGAAAGAAAGAAAGAAAGAAAGAAAGAAAATTCATTATATGAGGCAGAGGTCAGGAGTTCAAAACCAGTCTGGCAGACACGGCCAAACCCCATCTCTACTAAAAATACAAAAATTAGCCAAGCATGGTGTTGGGTGCTTGTAATCCCAGCTACTCAGGAGGCTGAGGCAGGAGAATCGCTTGAACCCAGGAGGCAGAAGTTGCAGTGAGCTGAGATCGCACCACTGCACTCCAGCCTAAGCGACAGAGTGAGACTCCAAGACTCTGTCTCAAAAAAAAAAAAAAAAAAAAAAAGTCCAGGCGCGGTGGCTGACACCTCTAATCCCAGCACTTTGGGAGGCCGAGGCGGGTGGATCATGAGGTCAGGAGATCGAGACCATCCTGGCTAACACGGTGAAACCCCATCTCTACTAAAAATACAAAAAATTAGCTGGGCGCGGTGGCGGGTGCCTGTAGTCCCAGCTACTCAGGAGGCTGAGGCAGGAGAATGGCGTGAACCCGGGAGAAGGAGCTTAAAGTGAGCAGAGATCGTGCCACTGCACTCTAGCTGGGCAACAGAGCGAAACTCTGTCTCAAAAAAAAAAAAAAAAGCATTATATGGAAATATGGAAAGGGGGATAAATACCTACCTCCTCACCTTCATTATTTTAAAAACAATGAAAAGAAGAAGACTAAAACTAGACAACAACAAAAGGAAGATCTGGGAAGAGTCCCATTTTACTGCCGCAGCTGTAGGAACACATCTGACTCAGCAAAAGGACTGTGTTTTTACCCTTCTCATCTTTCTTGTTACAGGAAGAAAAATCTTCTTCAGATAGGACACTGGATGGTGATGGAGGCCAAGTGACTGGGGAGGAGGGGACAGGTGTATGTTATTATTTGAGTGTAATAATATTTAGTAAGAATGACATGCCAGGCACCATCCTCAGTGATCCCTACAACAGCTTATAGGGTCAGTGGAAGAGCGTATCACTGTTCACCAATGTATGCCATCCCCGTCACCCTACTTCCCCTCCTCCATGGAAGAATGATGCCATCCAACCCTGTTGAACTTAGGTGTAACCATGTGACATATTTTGGCCAATGAAATGTGTGCATAAGTGATGTGTTTCACTTGAACTTGAAAGCTTTACAAGACAGGATGTGCTTTGTCTCATCATCTTTGCCCTCTGTCAGGAGGCTGGCCATCTTCTAGATTAAAGCTGCTCCATTAGTACTGAAGTGAGGATGAA
This sequence comes from Homo sapiens, assembly GCF_000001405.40. Lineage (NCBI taxonomy): Eukaryota > Metazoa > Chordata > Mammalia > Primates > Hominidae > Homo > Homo sapiens. Next base: position 124,211,466 of record NC_000012.12, on the reverse strand, counting down.
GGGGAGCAAAACTCCCTGCCTCCCTGCAAAGGACATGGGGTGAGAGTGAAAAACAATCCTTTGTTTCATGAACAAAGATTTTAGGGCCGTTTGTTACTGCAGCATAATGCAGCATAGCCTGACTGATGCAAGGTAGCTAATATCCATTTTCCCACAATATAAGTGAGGAAATTGACACACAGAGAGGCTTAGTTATTTTCTCCAGCTCACATAGCTGGCAAAGGATAGCAATGAAACTTGAACCCAAGAAGGCCGCCGCTGGAATTCGAGCTGTTAACAACTACCCCCAAGGACCAGGGAGGAAGGAGTCAGCTGATACTTTGCTCTAATCCTGATTGACATTTTGGGTCTTAGCAAAAACCTAAGACTCATTGTCTGGAATCTCTTTCCCATTCACTCTTCTTAAAACCTATGTTTATTTTTAAAAGAATTTATTCCATATGTTCCTGACCCTCTTTCATTTAAGTCATCCTAACTACATTTGGACAGAGTTGTCTGATATCCAGGGAAATTCTGGGTTGTAATTTCTTTTTTCTTTAGTAGAGGAGACAATGTGACCCAACCAGGCTCCCAAGGGGAAGGCAGCCTGGGGGCCTGTCACCCACTTCAGCCTAAGAAGAGACAGGATAAGGCAGAATATTTCCAGAAAAATCCTAAGAAAGCCAGGGCGATAGTGGATGGCAGAGGGTCTCGTTGCTATCACAGGGGCATGGGGAAAATCTAAACTAGATGGCAGTTGAATTTTCACCGGATGTGATCTTTATCCCTGATTATCTCTTTAAAAAGCAAACTGGGGAGTGGGATGCTGATGATTGGAGGAAGGGCATGGAGCCGCAGTTCTCAGGTTGGTTGGTTGCAGGATGTGGTGGGCTACACAGTGGTCCCTCAGAAGTTGTGTCTACATCCATATCCCTGGAATCTGTGAATGGGATCTTATTTGGAAAAAAGGCATTTACAGATGTAATTAGGGATCCCAGATGAGATTATTCTGGGTTTTTCAGGTGAGCACTAAATCCAATGACGTGTCCTTATAAGAGAAAGGGAGACTTAAGATGGAGAAGAGGAGAGGGCTGTGTGAGGACGGAGGCAGAGACTGGAGTGATGCAGCCACAAGCCAATAAGCCAGCAGCCCCCAGAGCCTGGAAGACCTTCCTCTAGAGCCCTTGGAAGAAGCAGCACCCTGCTGACACCTTGATTTTGGCCCAGTGGTACTGATTTTGGACTTTGGGCCTCCAGGACTGCGAGAGAATAAATCTCTGTTATTTTAAGCCACTAAATTTGTGACAATTGGTTACAGACGCTCTGGGAAACTAATACACAAGCCCTCTTCTTAAAACTTAACTGAGGATTCTCAAAGAGCTTTTACTTTTATATACACTTTATCTGTTGATATTTATTGTATTTGAAATTAAAACAGGATTTTTTAAAAAATTATATATTTTAAAATAACAATTATGTATCTAGTACATGTTGACATAAATAACACATTTTTTTTTTCAGGACAAATAACTGTGCTTTCCAAAATAAAAGACTGAGGGGAAAGAAGAGTGGCATGGTTTTACCTTTTGTACACTTCTCTAATGTCTGGCTTAGCCAAAGATGGCTGGATTCTCACCTCTGCTTCTGCATTGAATCCCTTGTAAGATGTTTTATTTGGTCCAAGTGTGAAAAAAATCCAGCCACCCACTGATAAGTAGCTGGAGGAAGAAGCAGGATTTGAACAATCTTTTCAGATCTGTGCATGCACCATGTAGCCTCTGGAAAACTCCACCATACACTCGTGAGAGAATGAGAGCCAGAAAGACAATTCCTTTAGTATTAATATAAAAATAGATTTGATCTGGAAGGGGTTCCCTCAGGGGTTCCTTGACCATACTTTGAGAATCACTGCCAACGAGGAAGGAAGAGAAAGTTTGAAAGAAAAGAAATAAAGACTCTCTGACATGGACCAAAGTAAACCAAGGGAAGGAAACCGCGCTGGTTTTGGCCAAGGTGAAGGCTTTCTCCCGCTCCTGCCGTGGCAGAGCGCTGGCTGGAGGGCCGTGGCTGAGAGCTTCACAAACAAGGAGAGGTCTGCTCCTCCAGTGCCAGAGCTCCCAGGCAGCTCCCAGCAGCCCTGCTGGAAAAAGTGCTCAGTTCTCATTTTGGCACCAAGGCCATGAGCCGTGCGACTTTCTGCTCACGTGTGGCAGCGCAGCCAGGAGCTGTGGGCCTGGCTGAGACACATCCTGGGTGCTGTCGACGCGGCAGCCTCCAGCTCCCCGATTTCATGAGCTGGCTCCATACAGGGCCTCTGCCTCTGGGCACCCTCAATTCCCTCCTCTAAGGCAGAGAAGCCCTCAAGAAAGCCCGCTAAGGATACGGGTCACACACATCTCATGGGACAGATTCAACCCTTGATAACATACAAAAATATATAATATAATGATAATATTAAAAAATAGGTAATATTTTACAAATCTATTTTTATATTAATACTAAAGGAATTGTCTTTCTGGCTCTCATTCTCTCACGAGTGTACGGTGGAGTTTCCAGAGGCTACGTGGTGCATCCACAGTTTTCCGAAAAGATTATTCGAACCCTGCGGCTTCTTCCAGCTACTTATGAGTGGGTGGCTGCATCTGCAATTTTTCATACTTTGACAGAAAAAAAAAAAATTCTTACAAGGGATTGAATGCGGAAGCAGAGTTGAGAATCCAGCCATCTTTGGTTAAGCCAGACATTAAAGACGAATTCCTCCAGGGACCTCCCTGCCTGCGGGGGGTCCACACCGGAGGCCCCAGCCCTGCTGCTGCGTCTCCGTCCCTCCCCATTAAACACCACGTGGCCTGTGTGGGCCGGAGTTAACTAGTCAGGGACGCAGAGCCAGCCTCAAAGCACCGTGCTCCGTGACCATCCCATAAACCATCCCCGAGAATCCCAGAACTCACGCCTCACGGAGCCCAGAGCCACTAATGCTGGTGTCATGGCATCCCCCACTCTCCAGAGACCACCCCAAGGGGAGGAGGAGAGGGAGCCAGGCTTCTGACAAACCCCACACCCTGTGATCCCACATCCTAAAAACCCATGGGCCATGGCTTTCTGAATGTGCTTTCTCCAATGATTCCATTTACTCCCCCTCCTTCCCTGCCACTGCCTTGCTCCCCACAGAAGCCTGACTTGTTACTGGACCTCCAGGGGAGCTGGACTCCGCTCGTCTCAAGTCCTGCTTGCCGAGAGTTCTCCTAGTGGAAAAGGGTCCTTGGTTCTTGTTTTGGCATCAAGATAACGAGCTGTGCAACTGTCTGCAGCCAAGAGTTCCCGGCCGGCTGCTGAGACATATCCCCTGGTACTGTCCACATGGCAGCCACAAGTTCCCTCAAAAACGAGACACTGGGATGACTTTGCCCTTTCTCCTCCACAGGATTTGCCTGAGGACCTGCAGAGAACACATGGGAAAGAGCATTAGGAAAAGTGCAGGTCCCACAGGTAGAGGAAATGCTCGGCTTCCATCTGCGATTCCCAACACTGCGTTTCACCGTGCGTTGTTGTCGGTCATTTTGCTTCTCTGGATAAATTGCCAAGCCATGCTATCTTGGTTTCCTTATCCATAAAGTAAGGGTGATGACAAACCATCCTTTCTCCCTCCACTTGTAAGAATCGAATGAGATCAACGCGTTGAAGTGTTGAGAAAGTCAAGATAGCAGAGAAATGAAAAGCTCCTCCTTCCCTCTGTTCCTTCCAGGAACGTGTATTGAGCCCCCAGCACGTAAGTGCCAGCGATACCGAGGTGAGAAAGACCTCGTTGGTGCCACCGTCACTTGCAGAGTTTCAGTCTTGTGCAAATCACATGCAAATCAACATCTCCCCCAAACCCAGTTCTTCCCCTGGGGCCAGTTGGAATTCTGGAAGTCCTGGCTTCCACCCGGCTGTCCGAGCCAACTTCACAGCATCTTCACACTGTCATGCTTTGCTGGAACAACCTGCCCATCAGAGTGGCACCAAAGATATCACACTATCTTGTAGCTCTGTGCCTATGTCATAGCTTCCTTTGTGACATGGGATTCATGTTCCAAAAGCCAGAATCAAGTTGTGACAGGATTAGAACAGGTCTCAATGCTCAATGTCCAGATTCCCAACCTCAGTTCTGGGGATGGGGTCTCTCTGGCAAAGGTTGACACAAGAAGGGGAATTAGGCAAGATGGAAATGGGGGCATTATTTCAGGCTGGCTCACCATTCTACTTTCAAATCCAGGATTATCCAGTTCTTAATCCTCTCTGTGCTAAAACCCTTCTCAGGTGCTGAAACTTCAACAGCAAAAACATTAAAGAAGAGAGGAGAAGGGATCTCTAGTTGTCTCGAGTGGTCAGCTTTCCAGATCTCAGGTTGACAGAGTGGGCTTAGATCTGGTAATTCAACATCCCCATAAACCCTCCTCAGCCCCAAACCCACCCCTTTCCATCAGATGAGTATGTGGAAGAATTCAACGCAGGCACTAGTGGAACTGGCCTTGTGGGATCAGAAAATAATTGCAAGGAAATCTGATCTCATGAGGGGGGAAAGCTGACCCTAATGAAAAGTTCTATAGAAAAAGAAAAAAGAAAAGGACCCAGAAAATGCACAGAAGTCAGCCCTACTCATGAATTAGCAATCCTCCACGATGACCCAATAGTTTTTGGAAACAACTACAGTCCTTCCAGGAGCGTCTCCTATGTTCCAGGCACTGTTCTAAATGTCTTATGTGTCTTACCTAATTTAGCCCCAGAGCACAGACTTCCCACTACTGCAATCAACAGGGACATGACACAGTGGGACAAGGACCAGGCTAGGGTAGAATTCCCAAAATAAAAAGTTTTGAATCATTGCAGAAAGCAGTCAACACATGGGACCAAAGATACAGACAGTCAATAAAACAGAAGATCCTGAAAGCACAAAGAAAGATTGAGGAAGAAGTTAACAGAAATGAGAAGAATGAGAAAGAAGGTGAAAGTTCCTCAACCTCCCAAGTAGAAAAGACAGATTCCTTTCAAATATGCCTAAAACTGGCTACTTCTGGGGACTCTTAGGCTGCTGTGGCCAAGACTGGAAGTTAATTTTCAAAAACATTAAAGAACTGGTGGTAGCTAAGAAAGTGGCCCACACTGATATTGTTATTAAATGTAATTGCATCAGAAGGATATTCTTACATACTTTACCTCCTAAGTACCATTTTAGCAGACATCAGTGGAAAACACTTTGTTGAGAACTGCAAGTTTGCTTTAACAGAGGTGTTAAAAATGTTTATAAAAAAGAGCTGCAAGGACTAAAGAAAAGGAGAAAGAGTTTTTAAAACCCTTCCCATGTTGGAAAAGTATCTATGAAAACCAGAATATTTTAGACAAAAATAAATAATGTAAATTAGGATGGGGCACTTTTGGGTCAGGATGGTTGATTGGACATATACATCTAATGTTCCTTCTCAAAATTTTAGCAAAACTACAAAAAAGGGCAGTTTTTTTTTTTGTTTTGGTATTTTAAAAGCTTAAACCTTCAAGGGGACATGAAGAAGAAGAAGAAGAGAGAATTGCAAGAAAATTTTGGAAGCTGAGAGATGGATGGATGAGTAGTAACTGACTTAGCAGACTCAAAAAGCCAAATCCTAAACCAGTAGTGCGGAAAGGTGATAACTTAAAGGAAAGTCCACTTCTCATGGGTGATACTAAAAAGCAGGTATTTGCCACTAAATATACTATTATATCACTGAAAACAGAACATACCTTACACATTAAAATCATCCTAAGAAAGGGACAATGAAGAAGCCTAGCTAAGAGAAAACAAAATCAAGTAGCCAACAAGGAAAGCAAAACCATTATAACAATAAATATAAATAGTCCAAATTCAGCTATAAAGAGGCATCGGGTCTCCAAGTAGACTTTTACAAGAGAAATTTGTATAGAAAGGCTAAAAATACGACAAATAATTTTCAAATTCATATAACAAGAAATAGATTAATAATGTAGTTTGAAAAACAAAATATTCATCAGGATATAAATTGATTATGATTACAAAGTTATAGTTAGTAATGGACTAAAGATAAGGCATTCATGAACTATAAACTAACAATAGTACAAAATGAACAGAATAGAAACTAGTATTCTATTAGGGACAAGTTAATAAAGGCAGAGTATATTAAAGATCTGCAAGTCCATGAGTAAAGGAAATTAACAAAAAGTTGAATACATAGAACTTATAGTTTTGACAAACCTATACCATACAAGCAGGAATTAGGCCCCTGTCTTGGTTCATTCAGGCTACTATCACAAAATACCATAGACTGAGTGGCTTATAAGTAACAGGAATTTCTCTCGCACAGTCCTGGAGGCTGGGGAGTTCAGGATCGAGGTGCTGGCAGATTTGGTGTTTGGTGAGGATCCACTCTCTGGTTAACAATGGCACCTTCTTGCTGTGTCCTTGTGTGGGGGGAGGAAGAAAGCAGCTCTCCTGGGTCTCTTTTATAAGGACACTGATCCCATTCATGAGGGCTTTGCTTTCATGATCTAACCATGTCCCAGAGCTCCCACCCTACCTCCTAATATCACACTGATCATTAGGTTAAGCACTTGAATTTTGGGGAGACACAAATATCCAAACCATAGCAACCTCCTTTGGAGTGCTCATAGTTCTTGCATAAAAATTACCCACAAAACAGGTGCCTGTAATTCCAGCTACTCGGGAGGCTGAGGCAGAAGAATCGGTTGAACCCAGGAGGCGGAGGTTGCAGTGAGCTGAGATCACACCATTGTACTCCAGCCTGGGGAACAAGAGTGAAATTCTGTCTCAAAAAAAAAAAAAACTTACCCACAAAAACTCAATTTATTTTCACAGAAGCAAAATATATATGTATACCAATATTCAGGGCAACCTTCTCTATAAAAGTAAATACTTGAAAACAAGCTGCATGGTTTCATAATTCATGACACAGCAACACAACGAAATATTACAGGGTCATTAGGGTCATCACGAGGGCCAGGCAGAAATGGGAAAATGTTTGATAGCCCGAGCTAAAACGTACCAGTACATTTTATGTACACATTTATTTTATAATAAGTGAAAGAAAATGTCAAAAAATAAAATTAGCTGTATACTGGATGACCAGATTATTATTGCTTTATTAATGTTTTTGTTATATTGTTTTATACACACACATATATATAAAATATATATATTAAAATTTTGACTTATAAAATAAGTCAAAATAAAACAAAACTCCAAGGAAAAGAAAATAGGACTATTTTACTTCTCTTTTACTTGACATCTTACCTTCTCTCAGTGGTTTTTTTAATATTTTATAAACCCTGGGTAGTTAAGGTTTTGGTACTAAGGGACAATCTGAATTTTTTATCACCTGGACAGGTCAAAACTTGTTGATAATTCCTCCTTTGGGACAGAAATGAAGACATGATTTACTGGATGCCAAACCAAGTGGCCCAAAGATGAGAGACCCATTTCCTCCAATCCAGGAACCCAAGTAGCTGGCCTGGTCCCTGCATCCCTGTGTGTGTGTGTGTGTGTGTGTGTGTGTGTGTGTGTGTGTGTGTGTGTGTGTGTGTGTGCATGCACGTGTGTGCATGAACGTGCAGGAAAGGAGGTCCATTTCTAAGTATCCGCACCTCTGGTTGCAGTCTCTTGTTCATGCCCCACCTAAGCAGGTCATTTGTGGTTTTATATGGCAGACTCTGGAGAGTTTGATGCACAGAAAGAAGGCTCCCTAGAACTTTCGAACTGTGGGAAGAGATTTCCACTTTGCAGTGAAACCTTAATTTAAAAAACATGTTACTTTTGGAAAAGGAGGCTGGTGGATATGTTGACATTTTCTTACAAAGCTCTGTTCTCCACAGACGGTAAAGAGGTCGAGGCGTAAGAGAAAGAGAAGAAACAAACGTTTGGCGCCCACCGTTTTTTGGAACGATGTTCAAAACCCATTCTACATTCTTGTGAAAAATCTGCAATTCTGACAAATCTTCAACCTTTTTGAAGGTGGACCAGGTTTTTGTAAACAGCCTAAAGTAATTCTGAGCTCAGTGTGGTGAATAAACGTGGTAATTTATCTTGTTAATGATGTCATTATTAAAGCAGGTATAGCTCAGTAAGATTGATTTCCATGTGTAATTTACAAGCTGCCTTGAAAAGGAATTTATAAAATGATATTAATAGCTGGGTCATTGCTAGAATAAGTGTAATACACTCCAAGGTCAGTACTTTGAAGAAAAACACTTGTTTGAGCTAAAAGCTTTCATACATTGTTTTTAAAGTTTGGTTTTATTATTTTACAGGTTCTTTCACTCTTTTAAAAATGGGAAAAAATCGCTATTGGTTTTTCTCTGATTATAAAAGTGTACATGGAAATAATACATTGAAAAAATACAGAAGGGGACAAAGAAGAAAATGTTAACGCAGAATTATGTTTCAGAGACCTTCATGGTTAAAATGTTGATGTGCGCCACTCCAGTTTTTAAAAAATTTACAGTCTTTTAATGAGAGGTAGATCTTAGAAGAGATTTTATTTCCAAAGATTTCTTTCTTCTTTATTGTAGCATGTAATGAATGGAGTGAGTAAAGATTTTTCTTCTCAGTAAAAACAAATCTTATTTTTATTTTCAAATATCATTTTTAACTCGTCTTTAAGAAACAATGTCTTTGCCAGGCGCAGTGGCTCACGCCTGTAATCCCAGCACTTTGGGAGGCCAAGGCGGGCAGATCATGAGGTCAGGAGTTTGAGACCAGCCTGGCCAGCATGGTGAAACCCTGTATCTACTAAAAATACAAAAATTAGCCAGGCATGGTGACAGGCGCCTGTAATCCCAGCTACTTGGGGGGCTGAGGCAGGAGAATTGCTTGAACCTGGGAGGCAGAGGTTGCAGTGAGCTGAGATCACACCACTGCACTCCAGCCCGGGTGACAGAGCAAAACTCCATGTCAAAAAGAAAAGAAAAGAAAAGAAACAATGTCTTTATGCCTCAGTGTGCCAGTAGAATTGTCTGTCTTTGTTTATTCATTATTAGATAATTCATTATCAGATGTTGGAAGGTGATTCTTTGGTATTTATTTTGAAATTATTCATTAAGATGGAAGTACTTTTATAATAGTTTATATGAACAAAGATTACTTTTGATAGACAACTTGCACGTAATATTGAATCTTTCTGACAGTATTGGGTATATTTTCCCTTATAATTATTGTTTTTCACCATAACCTTTAAAGAGCAGATGGTATCAGTCCCTTAGGAAGATATCTGTTATCACTTACCTAACCCATCACCTACTGCTGTACATTTTAAGTTGTTTTCCTTTTTGGCACATTCATAGAAACAAAACTTTATCAAACATACAAACTTCATCAAACTCGAGACTACAGCAGCCTCCGCTCGAGTTTCACCATGTTGGCCAGGCTAGTCTCGAACTCCTGGCCTCAAGTGAGTTGCCCTCCTCAGCCTCCCAAAGTGCTGAGATTACAGGTGTGAACCACTGCGCCCAGCCTGAGTAATAAATACATTAATTTCTTTGGGTCATTACTGGTAGTTGAGCCAATAGCCTTGTGCTGGAAATAAACCAAATGTCCATCAACTGGTGACCAGATAAACAAAATATAATGTGTTAGTCCATTCTCGCACTTCTATAAAGAAATACCTGAGACTGGGTAATTTGTAAAGAAAAGGGATTTCATTGGCTCACAGTTCTGCAGACTGAACAGGAAGCTTGGCTGGGGGGTCCTCAGGAAATTTACAATCATAGAGGAAGGTGAGGGGGAAGCAGGCACCTAAATGGCCAGAGCAGCAGGAAGAAGAGCGGGGCTGGGTGCTACACACTTTTAAACAACCAGATCTTGCAGTAACTCACTATCATAAAAACAGCACCAAAGGGGAAATCTGCCCCCATGATCCAATGACTTCCCACCAGGCCCCACCTCTAATACTGGAAATTACAATTTGATATGAGATTTGGGCAGGGACATAGACCCAAACCATATCATGTGATCTTTTCGTACAATGGAATACTATGCAGCAGTGAAAAGGAACAAACTATTGATACACACAACAATAACATAGGCAAGCCTCAAAAACATGCTAAGGGGAAGAAATCAGACATCTAAGACTACATGTTATATGGCTCCACTTACATGGAACTTGTGGAAAAGGCAAAACTATAGATAGAGAAAGCTGGCCAATCAATGGCTCTTTTTTGCCTGGGGTAGGAAGTGGGGATTGACTGCAAAATCATGAAGGAACTTTCTGGGGTAATTAAAATTTTGAAAACTGGATTGCGGTGATGGTTGCACAGTTGTATAAATTTTCTAAAATTCACTTTGTAAAACTACACTTAAAATGGATGAATTCTGTGGTTTGTCAACTACTCCTCAATAGAGCTATTTAAAATTTTTACAAAGCAAAACAAAAAACTTTGTGAATTCTCATACATGCTCAGACAGCTACCTTGGACAATGGTTGAACAGTTTCTTGTGAAGTTGAGTGTATACCTACCATACAACCCAGCAATTCCAGGTCTGGGTATTTATGTAGAGACGTGAAGACTTACAAATCCACACAAAGACCTGTACACAAATGTTGACAGCAATTTTATTCGTAATTGCCTAAAACTGGAGACAACCCAAATGTTCATCGACAGGTGGATGGATAAACAAACTAATTACGGCATGTCCATACAATGGAATAGTACTCAGCAACCCAAAAAAACAATTAACACACACAATCATGTAGTTAAATCTCAGAATAATTATGCTGAGTGAAAGGAGCCAGACGAAAAAAGAGTGCATGAGCCCAGCACGGTGGCTCACACCTATAATCCCAGCACTTTGGGAGGCAGAGGCGGGAGGATTACTTGAGCCCAGGAGTTTGAGACAGTCTAAGTAACACAGTGAGACCCCATCTCTTCAAAAAAAAAAAAAAATTAGCCAGGTATGCAGGTATGGTGGCACACACCCATGGTCCCAGCTACCTGGGAGGCTGAGGTGGGAGGTCAACTCCCAGAAGATCAAGGCTGCAGTGAGCCATGATCATGCCACTGCACTCCAGCCTGGGCAACAGAGCAAGACCCTGTCTCAAAAAAAAAGAAAAAAAGAGTGCATGTTTTACACATGTATGATTTCTATGAAGCTCTAGAGAGAAAAATCTAATGCACAGATAGAAAGCAAAGCAGTAGGAGGGGTGCGGTGGCTCACACCTGTAATCCCAGCACTTTGGGAGGCCAAGGTGGGTGGATCCCCTGAGGTCAGGAGTTCAAGACCCAGCCTGGCCAACAGGGTGAAACCCCATATCTACTAAAAATACAAAATTAGCCAGGTGTGGTGGCAGACACCTGTAGTCCCAGCTACTGGGGAGGCTGAGACAGGAGAATTGCTTGAACCCAGGAGGCAGAGGCTACAGTGGGCCAAGATCACACCACTGCACTCCGGCCTGAGCAAGACAGAGCAAGACTCTGTCTCGGAAAAAAAAAAAAAAAGCAAGCAAAGCAGTGGCTGTCAAGGCTGGGGATGGGTGGGGAGCTGGCTGGAAATAATACCTACTGATTGGGGAGATTGCGATATTTGGAATCTTGATTGTGGTGGTGGTTAGCTGGGTGTATATACATTTGTCATAACTCATTCAACTGTACACATCAAACCGGTACATTTTATTATGTGTAAGTTATGTTTTAATAAAAAATGATTAAAATTTTAAAAATAATTAAAGCATGAAATTTCAATTCTGAATCCATAACAAAATCCACCCCTTCCAAATTCTTATTATTTGTTAAGTGCAGAATTGAACAGATGTCCACCTTTCCACAGCGGAGAATTTATTTGGAGATTTTTAAAATGCAATCACAGAACAGGAGCCATCTTCCAGGATTCTATTTTCCCCTGTCCCCTGCTGCTTGTCTAAAACTTTTCCCAGGCAGGCTAAATCCACTGGAGAAATGACCCTCAAAAAGCCCAGTCCCTCGGGTCTTCAGCAAGAAGAAATACTTCTGAAAACACACACAGTTTGGTTCAAAGTGGCTACTGAGTTTCAGTGTGGAACCTGCTGTTCTTGGAGCGTTCACAATCTCCCTTGTTGAATCCTCAGCGGTTGGGCCCAATAGCTTCACCATCCTTTGAAGATGAAAAAGAATAAGGAGGCTGGGAAAGCCAGGTGAAGCCGCCAAGGTGATCACTGGGAATCTAAGCCCATGGAAAAGCTGAATTCAGGAGACATGACTTTCCGCCTTCTGTCTGTCCTCCCGGAGTCTGAGAGGCAAGTTAGGGTCTTGATCTTGAATCTGTGGGTGGTGACATGCAGGAGAAAAGCTCAGCAGGAGGTTCGGGGGTGAAAATGGACTTGGCTAGCTGGAAACTGGAACTGTACCCACTGGCCTGGGTTAGGAAGTCACTGAAGACAACGGATTTCTGGCCCCCACCTGGAGTGGGTGTTTCCGTGGGGTGGTGTGTGTTCTGCATGGGACCATTCCACAATAAGGTGGCATTCCATAACTTGGCAGGACAGAGGCCACTTCTCCGGAGCCTCTTGAGCAAAGCCCTGGGGAGACAGGGTTTCAGGTCAGGCCGCAACTGTTCTTCTCCAGCCCAGGAAGAAAGTAAACTAGGAAATGACTTCTTCAGGGCCCTGCCGTCTCCTGGAGTAGCTCCCTCGGGTGCTTGATCAGGAGACCTGGAAGACGGAGGTTTGGGTTTCAAAGCAGCCGCATCCCTGAGTGTAAATCTAAAGCCTTTGCCTCGAAGTCAGGTTATAGCACTCAGATTAACTAGCGAGGGTCTGCCCTGGTATCTTGCAAAATGTACACCCTAAGATATTCGTGTTAAAGAAATTCCAGGCCGGGCACAGTGGCTCATGCCTGTAATCCCAGCACTTTGAGAGGCCAAGGCGGGTGAATCACCTGAGGTCAGGAGTTCGAGACCAGCCTGGTCAACATAGTGAAACCCCGTCTCTACTGAAAATACAAAAATTAGCTGGGCATGATGGTGCACCTGTAATCCCAGCTACTCAGGAGGCTGAGGCAGGAGAATCACTTGAACCCAGGAGGTGGAGGTTGCAGTGAGCCGAGATCGGGCAACTGCACTCCAGCCTGGGCGACAGAGTGAGACTCCAGGTAACAATGCTTCAAGCAGCGTAAAACATACAGCTTTATTGTTAGCTGGGTCAGGGCCAGTAATCAGATTCACAGCTCCTCCTCCCTGGGAAAGGGCCAGAGGCTGGCCTGGGGTTGGGAGAGGAGCTGTAGGTATCTCCTTCTCTATTTTGCTCCCCATTTCAACTACTCAGGGCTCCTTCTACTCCTTATAGAATAATACCCAAACCCCATGGCCTTCAGTCTGGTTATGTTTGCCAAATAATGAACCACTCCAAACTTGGTGGTTCATGGAATTAAAGGGCATGGTGAGGGTAGCTTATCTCTGCTTCATGATGTCTGCAGCTCAGGTCTGAAATAATCCAAAACAATCTGAAGTTTTCAGATCTGAAATCTAAAATAATAATCACTCACTCACACATCTAGGAGCTGATGCCGCTTATTGGCTGGAACCTCAGCCAGATTTATCAGCTGGAGCACTTACACGTGGCCTCTCCAGGCGGCTGCTTGTGCTTCCTTACAGCATGGTGGCTGGTTTCCAAGACCAACCATCCAAGGAGAGCAGAGGGAGCCCTGGAGAGTTGAAATAGGGAGTAAAATAGAGAAGGGGGTACCTGCAGCTCCTCTCCCAACCCCAGGCCAACCTCTGGCCCCTCTCCTGGGGAGATGGAGCTGTGGATCTCATTACTAGCCCGATCCAGCTAACAATAAAGCTTTGTGTTAATTCCTCTTCTGATATCAATTCTGGGTGCACAGCTCCTCTGGGACACCCGTGCACAGGAGAGGTAATGGGTGGGGCATGATCCGGACATTTGTGGTTGTAATTCCATCTAACAACACAGAAGTCTTCACCCCTTATCAAGCAATACTGTCAGGGTGTGTTTCTCAGGATAAAGGATGGCTTTACTGATTTAACGGGGGAGGGGACAATCCAAGAGGGGAGGACATGATTTAAAAGGCTATTGCTATATCCAACTGAGAGATGAAGAGTTTGCAAACCTTAGCAGCATTAGGTCCAAAAAATATTTGGGAAGTAGCACTGGCAGAGCTTGGGTATCGACTGGATGTGGAGGAGGAGGACGCCGACATTTCTGGCTTGGGTAAGCGGATGGTGAGGCCACAAACTGAAACTGAAGCTTAGGGAGGTGGATGGTGATGGGAGTTTGTTCAGGGATAGGTTCAGTTTGATGTGTTTCTGGGCAGCCAGCCAGGCAGGAATGTCGTGTGTGTGTGTGTGTGTGTGTGTGTGTGTGTGTGTTTCTGTCTGTCTGTCTGTCTGTCTGTCTGTCTATTTGGGTGGGTGAGATTCTCCATCTGGGGAGGGAGGGAGTCAGATATCGCTATGGTAGTCAGAATCACACAGGTCACCGTTTAACAGAATACATCAAATGCGTGAAGAAATGTAAGGGCCAATTTCTAGGGTGGTTCAGCTCATCCAGAGGCTGTGAGTACAATTAGGAAAGTCAGGAGTTGGGAGGGGAACGAACAAAACAAACTGTACTTAATTGACTGGGGCAGATTGATTGCAAAAATGACCCCAATTCTCACCCCTCCCTATATCCACACTCCTTTTCATAGTGACTTTGCACCTTCTCCCTTTAGGAGGCAGAGTCTATTTCTTGCTTTGGGCCCAGCTATGTGACTTGTTTTGGCCAATGGGATATGGGAGAGGTGGTGGTAGCCCAGTTCTGAGCCTTAGGCACCTGCCTGTGCCATGGGAACAAGCTCCCATGGAGAAGAGACCCCATGGAACTGAGTCGTCGCAGCTGAGGCCACGTTGAACCAACCAGCCCCCAGCTGACTCACCAGCTGCCCATAGAGGCACGGAGGTCAGCTGAACCCAGCCCCATCAGCAGAACTGCCCAGCCAACCAATAGACTCGTGAATAAGAATAAGTGGCCATTGCTACAAGCCATTATGTATTGGGATGTTTTGTTACACAGCATATGTAACTGATACACTGGCCTTGGGAAATAACTCGGGGAGGTCTGTACCATGTAGCTCGTGGACTTGGAAATGTTATACACAAAATGAAGAATACTGATAGGTACAAAAGAAGTCACCATTCTGTCCTCACTGCCTCTATGTACACTCCCAGAACTTGGTGATATTGTCTATTTCTTTGTACCAGTCTCCCTCCCTGGGTCCCAGACTGAAAGGAAAACATCATAGAAATGGCTAGTAGGGTTTCTCAGCCTGGGCACTGCTGAAATTCGGGCTGGATCGCCCTTTGCTATGGGGCTGAGCCTCAGCAGCATCACTGGCCTCTACCCATCAGATGCCAGGAGAGCTCCCTCACCCAGCTGTGACACCCAAACATGTCTCCAGCCACTGACAAATGTCTCCTGAGGAGAAAAAAAAAAACCCAACTGAAAACAGCTGGGCTAAAGGATTTTAGAAAAACCATCAGGCCAGCCCTCATAGAACAAACAGGCAAATCAAGACTCCAAGACGATATACGGCTGATATGGCTGCTATAAGAGCTGTCACTCACTCACTTGTTTATTCATTCATTCCCAAACAATCACTCAGGCCCACGAGGTGCTGGAAATTCCAGGCCCTGTCCCCAGGAACTCATAATCTAGTGGGACACAAGCAAACAAACGAGTGTAAGCCCTGAAAAGTCAGAGAAAATATGTAATGCAGATAAGCAGGAGGCATTCAGGGGCGACTTCCTGGAGGAGGCAGCTTTTTGGCTGAATTTAATTGCTGAGTCAGACATCTCTAGGATAAAAAAGGGGCTGTTTGGGGAATATGGGAAGATAGAATACATAACAGGTTCTACAGGTAATTGGGAATAACCAGTGTGTGGGGGGCGAGGCTGCAGACCGGAACACGCATCTTACGAGAAGCAGGACTCATTTTCCAGGAGTTGTGGCCATCTAGCCTCTCCCTGATCACACACGTTCACGCATCACTTCCCACAAATCTGCAATGAGACAGAAAGCAGACACGGGCTCTAAGTCTCTGCCACAGAGCTGGAGCCAGGACCCAGGGAGGCTCTAGCCAGCCAGCACGGTTCACGCAGAGGACTGAGGGGAAACAAGGCTCCACTGTGGGCCCTGACACATAGGAAGGCCCGGCCCAGCCGCTCCTAAGGGCTGGCACACGGCTGCATCAGAGAAGACGTGAAAAGCAACATTGTGGACCGGCTGGGCAGGAGGGGACTCTGGGCGCCTCACATTCCTGCCTTTGGGCTCCCTTGATCCAAAAGAACCATCGTGCTGAAAGAGAGAATTTGAAATCCTTCCACCTAGCCCTCTATCTTGAGGCAGGTAAATGGAAATACCAATCATTCAGCAAATATTGACCAAGGGCTGCGTACGCAAGGCTGTGCATGAGGTGTGGTGGTGAATTGGGTCTCAGAGTTTAGTGGGAAGCAGGTTGATAGTGCCAGGCATTTGACAGACACTTCCAGAAAACACCGAATGTGCATCTACTATGTGCCAGGCACTGTTTTAGGGATGGGACATTGACAGAAGCTTTTCCTGGTAGCATGACACTTATATTCCAGCCACGGGAACAGGCAGTAAAGCAGTAATTAAATAAACAAGAACGGTATTAGATAAGTGCCCCTGGGAAGATAATAAATTGGGATAATGAGATAGAAGGGACTTGAATGGAAGAGCAGCTTTGGGGAGACGGCCGCAGACAGCCTCTCTGATCAGGCGACAGGTGGTCTGAGGCCAGCCTCGGCTTATTGAGCATGGACCAGGTAGGTGCCAGGCACTGGAATACATCAGTGAATGAAATTGACAAAGATCCCCGTTCTCATGGAACCAACAGGGAACCAGGAGTGAAAGAAGCTGAGCAATAAACAATCCTCTAATAAATACATTCTCTTAAGTGTTAGAAGGTAACAAAGGGCAACGCAAACAAGAAACGGTGGGGCAGGGAGAAAGCAACTGGAGTGCTGAGGCTGTGGCGGTGGAAGAGGCAGAGCGGGGACTGCTTAAAGGAAGCCCCCCGCACCCCGCCCGGGACGTCTGGGTAAAGATGCAAAGGCCAAAGTCACACCAGTAATCTGGAGAAGGGTGTCTCAGGCCAGCAATACAAGCAATACAAAGAAGATAATTTGTTACATATTTATTACATATGCTATTGCAAAATATAGTAATTATAATTGAATACAATGTTTTATAGTAAAAATCTATTGTTGAGAAGAACGGAATTCTTTTTGGGAGCTCAGGAATAATATTTTGCTGAATGGGAGTTTAAAGCCAGTATCCCGTATAACCAAATGTTCATACAAAATCCATTCTTAGGTTATGGGCTATTGCATATATAACAAATTGTCTTCAGCACTAAGCTGAACCAGGGATGCTTGTTACACAGCAGCAGCTAACAGGAAAGCCTGACCAAGCTCCGTGCCTGGCCCAGAAACTCCCCCACACCCAGCTCCTTCCACACACGCACACAATCACCTAATATTTTCAGGTCAAATATCCTTGACTTCTTTTGTTTTGAGGACTCTCCCTTCCAATCTACCGCAGCGACTCTTTCCTGAGCCCACATACTGGACCTTCTCAATATCCAGACTTGGCCCAGCTCTGAAATCTTAGACCCTGGTGTCCCACCCTGGATGGCCACAGCTTCTGCCTCTCTGTTCCCTGCATTGCTTCAGCTTCTTCCTTTTCTGACTCTTGCTCTGTCCGCTTCAGAGGCTCTTACAGCCCCAGCAACCCATCTGCTGTTGGCTGTACTTTGTAAACCTCTCTTGTTCGCACCTTCCTTTTTCATTTCCACCACCTCTCCCTTGGAACGAGCTTTCCTCATTTCTCCCCAGGGTGATTGCAATAGCATCCCTCTTGGTCTCCATCTCTTGCAGTCCAGCTTTCTAACAGCCGTGAATGTGACCTTCCTAAGGCATAAATGTGGATCACACACACACACACAGCAAAAATGTACAAACACCAGTTGCATCTCGAAGTTCCTTCCTAAGGGGTCCTTCTTAGGAAGCCTTCTCCAATATCACCAAGAGGCACTAGAATCTCCTTGGCAGAGTTGCCAACACGTCCTGATGATATTGATTTGTCCTTGCTGTTTACTTGTGTGTCCCCCTATCACCCAGACTATGAATAACTGAGCACAAAATGATTGCCTCATCCACCGGCAGCCTAGTGCGGCACCCAGCATAGGGTAAAGACTTATCCAAAGGAGCCCACCAGCCACATCCAGCCTGCGCTACTGCCTGCTTTGCACGGCCCGTGAGCTAAGGATGAATTTTGCATGAACATCGGACACTAACTTTAAACTCCCATTCAGCAAAATGTTATTCCTCAGCTCCCAAAAGAATTCCATTCTTCTCAATAGGAGACTTTGACTGTAAAACATCATATTCAATTATAATGACTATATTTTGAATTTTGTCAATAAACATTTGGCGTCAATTTGTTCTACCTCATGTTATATGGGTCTATATATTATGCCTGATTTTGTCTCCTGGCTCTCCGGGTCTAAAATATTACTTGACCCTTTACAAAACAAGTTTGCTGATCGTATTGCAAGATCTACAATCTCAAGTGCTGCCTTGACATCTTGGGGCCTTGCAGGACCTCAAAGGTCTGACCATGGATTCCCCTGCTCTCACCGGAAATGCTCCCCGCATCTAGCAGGAAAGTCCCTCACACATCCACTCAGTCCTCAGCCTAGCAGGCGTCACCTCCCTGCCAGCACGTGACATTATTCAAACAAGCCCATCACATCCTCCCACAGAACCAAGGGTCACCCCATCCTCTAGTTACTACTAAGCCTGCCGCCCATGGCCCCTGTGGGTTGCCTGTGCTCTCCAGTGTAACCCCGAGTGGCACGAGGTGTGCACCTTCTCCAGGCTATGAGTATATGCAATCAACAAACTGCTGCCAGCCTCATCTGTCCAGCGTTGGGCGCTGCAGCTGTCTCATGCTATGTAAGGTAGGGCCTTCATCAGTGTGGTGAATAAGAGGTGATCAGAACACTGACCCCTGGTCTAACTGAATGAATGAGTGAATCTGGCTGATTCCAAAACCTGTTCAATTTCCCTTGGCCATCTTTCCTCCCTGCCCCACCCCCAGCCCAGCCTACAGCCTCCTCATCCTCGTCCTCCCTGAGGCTGGTCCCCTGAGCACACGGCCTCGCCTGTGCGTTCCTCCTGCCTGGCAGAATAAACCACCGCATCCTGCCAGCTCACTCTTAACCTCTTCTTGAAAGCTTGGCTCGGCCCCTCCTTGGCCAGGCCCCTTGATCCAAGAAAAAGAAGTGACTTGTTGAATGTTTTGAGGCTGGAAGACTTCGACGGCGGGTCTGTCTGCTCGCGGCATCAATAGCCGTTATGCTCTTAGAAAAGCCCTGTATGAGAAGGGAGGCTGGGAGATGCTGTTGAAGTCAAGGCTGCCAGCTTCCTTCTTTTGAGAAGCCTGATGGGTTTACATGACACCTGAGAAAATAAAGTAGGCGCTGTGCCGGTGGCCTGTTGATAAAGTAACCCGGAGGCAAAAAAAATCCGTGAGTATGCTTGAATCATGGGGACAGAACATTGGACCCTTTGTGAGTCTTTACAGCCCAGCAGCCAACTCAAAAGCAACAAACAGAAACCTCTCTCCACCTTCACTCAGCCTGAGAAAACCCAGTCAACCGCCGTGTTTATTCTGGAACCCAGGTTGAAGGGACTGTTGTCTGAGACTCTGAGAATGTGGGCGCCAATCAACCATCTCCCAGTCTCCCTGAAAGAGAGACGGCTACTCTGCAGCCAGGAGGGAGCACGGAGTGTTGTGCATTTGTGTCGATAGGGCCAGGGGAGGAGAAAATGATGGGCAGATACCTGAATCACAGGGAGAGCCTGGGCATGCAGGGGCGTGGGAGTGGGTGAAAGCAGGTGCGAGAGGGATGGCGAGAGACATCTCTGTTCTTGCCCGCCAATGCATCTTAGGTGCCAGGCTGTTGTCCATGAGAAGGGTTGACCAGACGGCCCTAGTTTGGGGGTTCCATGGGGAGAGGCCAGGCAGGTATTGGCCACAGGCGGCTTGGGCATGGTAGGCCGGGGGCTAGCACAGAAAGGAGTGAGTGGGGGGAGGGTGGGCTTGATCCCGTGTGGACAGAGGAGTCAAAGGCTGGGCAGAAGACTCTTCCATGGCCACAGAATAGGCAGGCCCCTTTGCAGTGTGGCTTAGTTGCTCCTCCTTCCTAGAGGTGGAGTCTATTCTCTACTTCCTGGAATCTGGGCTGGCTGTGTGACTGGCTTTGACCAATAGGATGCAGTGGAAGTGACATCATCTTAGAGCCCAGGCCTTAAGAGTCTGCAGCTTCCCATCTTCTTGGAATTGCACCCTGAGGCCTCCATGCCAGGAAGTCAGTCCAGCCGACTGGAGGCCGGGAGACCACACTGGGGAGACCAAGGCCGGCACCAGCCACCTATCAGGCCCTCCAGTGCCATCTGTGCTCTCCAGTACAGATGGCCCCTCTCCAGGGGCCATCTCGGATCTTCCAGCCCAGGGATTGTTGGCTGAAGACAGACACTTTAGTGAACCCAAGTGAAACCAGCACAGGAACCTCTGAGCCAACCCACAAAAACACGAGCGATTCATTCTTTGAAATCACTAGGTGTATGGAGCGGCCTGTTACCCAGGTCTAGGTAACTGACACTGGCAGACAGATCATCGGAGAGTGATACATATTTAACCCAATATATCCAAGATAGCGTCTGTTTCAGTAGACAATCCATGTCGAAAAGGCTGATGGGGTATTTTGCTCTTTTTTCATACTAAGTCTGCCAAATCCAGTGTGTCTTTTATACTTTAGCTCATCTCAATTCCAACAGGACACATTTCAAATGCTCAGCTGTCACTTGTGAATAGCAGCTGCTGTCCGGGAAAGACAGTTCTAGGTTGATGCGATCTGGAGGATGACTTGGAAGGACAGATTAGAGACAGGGTGAGGAGGTGGTGAGTTCCGGGAGAGGCTCAGACAGATGATAAGGCCTGAGCTGTGTCCTCTGGAATGGAAAGAAGGTGATGGGTTCCAAGGACATTCTGGAGATGGAAGTCGGTGGTTACAATGCGTAGAATGATGGCCTCCCAAAAATACGTCCACCCAGAAGCTGTGACTGTGATCTTATTTGGGAAAAAGGTCTCTGCTGATGTTATTAAGGATCTCAAGCTGTGACTATCCTGAATGATCTGGGTGGCCCCTAATCCCAGTGACAACTGTCCTTATCAAGAGAGGAGAGAGGCCAGGCACCGTGGCTCATGCCTGGCACTCCCAGCACTTTGGGAGGCCAAGGCAGGAGGTTCTCTTGAGCCCAGGAGTTCGAGACCAGCCTGGGCAATAAAGTGAGACCCCCATCTCTACTAAAAAAAAATTAGCCAGGTGTGGTGGCATACACCTGTAGTCCCAGCTACTTGGAAGGCCGAGGTGGGAGGATCACTAGAGCCTGGGAAGTTAAGGCTGCAGTGAGCCGTGGTTATTCCACTGCACTTCGGTTTGGGTGACAGAGTGAGACCTCATCACAAAAGAAAAAAAAAAAGAAAGAGGAGGAGACACAGAGACACAGAGGAGGAGGCTGTGGGAGGACAGAGGCAAAGACCAGAGCGACGCAGACACAGCCAAGGAAGCTGGAACCTTTAGAAGCTGGAAGGGGCAAAGGAAGGACCCTCCTCCTAAAGCCCCTGGAGGGAGCGCAGCCCTACAGACACCTTGCTTGTGGACCTCCAGCCTCCAGAGCCATGAGAGGATCCGTTTCTGCCACTGTGAACCCCCCATCCTATGGTAATTTGCTACAGCAGCCCCCAGGAAAACGGATGCACTACTGCCCTGATGTGGGTGGTGAGCAGACCCCAGACTTCAGGACACACAAGTGGGCGGACGGTGACACCCTCAGCAGAAATGGGAGCTGGGAGGGCAGAGGAACTGCATGCAGAGGCTGCAGAAATCCAAGGAGCTCACGCTTAGCAAGCACAGAGTATGCAGGCGCTATTCTAAATGCTTTATTTTATTAGCTCCATTCATTTCCTCCATGACCTCATTATGAGTAGGAGATACTCATCTCCATGATACAGAAGAGGAAACTGAGGCACAGAGCGGTACCTGCACAAGACCACACACCTGGTAGATGGAGCCTGGATTTGAGCCCCGGGTGTCTAAGCATTGTAACGCCTCTCCCCGACGTGTGCAACCTCTGGTGCAAGGGCCAGGCTTGGGGACAGACAGGCAGAAAGCAGGCATGAGGGGCCCTGGAGAAGAAGAAGGGACTGGCCGAAGACAAGCAGACCCTGGGACTCCTTTGGGCTGTCCATGGTGAAGGACAGTTTTATCAACATGCACATTAAACTCTTTGAGGTGGATTAACAGTTCACCAATTTCCCTGTGTCCACCTGCTCTAAAGTCACCGCTGAATGCCAAGAAGCACCCCAGGGCAGGGGAGCCTGCGGGATTCCTGGCAGAAATCAACCCAGCAGGACTCATGCGAGCAAGGCTGCATTTTCCATTTCCAAACACAGCCTGCGCCCCCGCTCTGCTCCCTCCAGGAAATCCTGTTTGTGCTATTTTGGGAAAAATGGATGGCTTTTTTTTTTTTTCCTGGGCCTTCCAGGAGCCTGACAGATGGTCCCAGATTTGTGAGCTGTGTTTCCAGGGTGGCACCCAAGGGACTCTCCCAATGATTCTTTCTACAGTGTCAGGCACTGCAAGCCAATTTGTTCCTTCAACAAATATTTATTGAGAGCCTGTGGTATGCGAAGAACTGTGCTAGGTGCTGGGAGATGACTCAGAATAGGTTTATCGACCGTGTCTCATGCCCTGGGGCACATGGGGGCCAGCAAGATCGTAAGGCAGGGCCAGGGCCATCCCCAGGGGGCTTTGGAGCCCTCAGTTGAAACATATTTATGAGCAGCAACTTCCAAGTTACCCCATAATACACGGACACCCCCCAGAATGTTTTCAGACGAGCTAGACCAGGTTAAAAGAAGTAACCGTGGCAGCATTAAAATGGAGAAAAATCACAAAGGAACACAAGAAGGAGGAGAAAGCCGTTTGTCTTCAGGAGAGGAGAGTGATTTATAAAGAGAAACTGCTGGCCTTTCTCAAACCTGCTGGAAACCCAGCTCCTTCCCTTCTCCTGGGAGGAAGAGGAGGAGGAAACCAAACCGGGCAGGCACCAGCCTGGAGTCGGGGACTGCTCTGCAGAGCCCGTGCTGTTTCTGTTCTCAAGGAGACTGTATTCTAAGCAAGGCCCTCAGAAGGTCCAGGGAAACCTGGGAAAAATATTCCATGGCCATTCAGCCAGATTCCGCCATGGTGGCCAGGAGCCATTTGCAGTGTGTCTGCCACCGTTATTACGGCTGCGATGAACACGCAGCAACGAGAGGGCTGGTTTTGGATCTCACAGGTGAATCCCAGCCTCACCTGTCCAGGTGAGTTCCAGGAATAAATACCTTCCCTGGGCCTGTTTTCCCATCTGTAAGTGGGGGTAATCAAGGCACCCCCCTCAGAGGGTCGGGTGGGTTGAATGTGACAATGTGCGTGTCTCTGGCACACATCAAGTTCCCTGCCAGTGTCACACTTGACCAAGCTCAGACTGTAGAAGGGCAGCCTCTTCCTTCCAGTGAATTCCGTCTCCGTTGGATCGGACTCCCTAGATGGAGATAAAACTTCTGAAGCAGGGCGATCTTGGAGTCTAAGGAGAAATGGTCCCTAGGAACGTGGAGAAGGCCGCTGTCTTTATTCAATGTCCAGGCCGACAGGCGTCCTAGCTCGAGTCACCCCGGTATTTTATTTTGGATATGCTCGGGCAGACAAGATCAGGAAGCAGGCCGGGCCTGCCCTCCACTCTCCCCCTCCACCCACCCCCACCTACCCAATCTGGTTCTCAAGGCCGACTTTCCCCACACCAGCCTCAGCGCCAGGCCTGCGCCCAGGGAAGCAGGAGGTTCTCTGTGCCCAAGGTTCTTTTTAAGAAAACTCAGGCCAGGGTGCTGTGGCTCATGTCTGTAATTGCAGCACGTTGGGAGGCTGAGGTGGGCGGAATGCTTGAGCCCAGGAGTTTGAGACCAGCCTGGGCAACATGACAAGACCCTCTTTCTACAAAAAATACAAAAATTAGCCAGGCATGGTGACGCGCGCCTGTAGTCCCAGCTTCTCAGAGGCTGAGTTGGGAGGATCACTTGAGCCAGGGAAGTTGAGGTTGCAGTGAGCTGAGATCGTGCCACTGCACTCCAGCCTGGGTGACAGAGTGAGACCCTGTCTCAGAAAACAAACCAAAAAGAATCCCAAAGGATTTTTAATGTCAGACATTAAATGTATTTTCAAAGTATTTTTCC
This sequence comes from Homo sapiens, assembly GCF_000001405.40. Classification (NCBI taxonomy): domain Eukaryota; kingdom Metazoa; phylum Chordata; class Mammalia; order Primates; family Hominidae; genus Homo; species Homo sapiens. Next base: position 124,187,095 of record NC_000012.12, on the reverse strand, counting down.
CAAAAGTACTTTTTAAAGAAAACATTATGCAAATGTTTAGTTAGTAGTACACGTACAACTACACGCGCCACCCAGAGTCAACAATTGTTAACATCTTGCTGTTTATTCTCCCTCCCTCCCTCCCTCTCTGTCTCTGTCTTTCTCTCTAGCCTCTCTAATATCATCTAATACACAGTCCACATTCAAAGTTCTCCAATCTCCCACATATTCTCTTCCCAAAGGATCTCCAAGTTGTGTCAACCCAAGCAGATGTGGGAAGAAGATTTATCAGCCACTGAGGCCAGCTCTGGATCTGATTTTAGCCTGAGTGGCAAAGAACCGTCCAGAAGGATCGACCTCACGAAAAAACTCCAGGCCACACCACGCCACGGTGCCCTGGAGTCTGGGGAGAGGAAGCACCGGGGAGAACTATTTCATCTTTCCTTATAACTTCAGTTTCTGGAAAACCCATATCTTGCACAGGCCTTGGCCCAACCCACTGCCTACGAAACCAGACCCCTGGGTTTCTGTTTTATATTAGGAAGATAGCGTCCACACAAAATGGTACTTTTCTTGCTCTGCCTGTAAGAATCCAAACAAAATTCTTTGGTTATCAACTTTCTTTTCTGTGGCTGAACTCCCTTAATCTGCCACACCCCCTCTCCTCCATGGCTCCCAACGGCTGCTCACACATGCTCACGTGTGCACACGCACACACACTGAATGCTCAGGTCCTTTTGTGCAAGGACAGATGGAAGCTCAGGCTCCCGGATGGTGTCACCCCCTCCTTCTACCTCCTCCCCAACTCTCCCTGCACCATGTTCCCCCTCCCCAGTTTTTGATAAGCCCCCTGGCTTGCTCCCACCTCTAGAAAGGTTGCAGGCAGCCAACCTCTGCTTGTAAACAGGCGGAACTGGCTTGCACAGCCTGGCAGAGGAGGGGCCGCGCCTGAGAAAGAGGAGGAACCTGGTGCTTTCATTGCCGCAGCAGGCTCTCCTCAGCCTCCTGCTCCCACCCGGGGACCCCTGCACACCCCAGCCCACTGAAAACAAGGAGGGAATGTTAAGCCCTTCGGTGCAGCACACGTCCTGTAAAAGGAGAATTTGAACGGCCAATCCCGATGTGTGATGAAGCAGGCTGGGGTCCGGGGAGGGATGGGGGAGAATGGTTCCAGACCTGGGGCAGGGGCAGGGAGGACGAAGGGAAAGAAATTGAGTCTATGTTTTTAAAGGGAATTTGATTCAAAACAGTAGGGTCCCATTTTAAGTCTCAATCTTTTTTCTTTTTTTTTTTTTTGAGATGGAATTTCGCTCTTGTTGACCAGGCTGGAGTGCAATGGCATGATCTCGGCTCACTGCAACCTCTGCCTCCCAGGTTCAAGCGATTCTCCTGCTGCAGCCTCCCGCGTAGCTGGGATTACAGGCATGTGACACCAACCCTGGCTAATTTTTGTATTTTTTTAGGAGAGATGGGGTTTCTCCATGGTGGTCAAGCTGGTCTTGAACTCCTGACCTCAGGTGATCCACCCGCCTCGGCCTCCCAAAGTGCTGGGATTACAGGTGTGAGCACTGCGCCTGGCCTCAATCTTTTTAGAAATTGTCCTAGTCGCGATCTTTGTATAAAGTGGCCTGCAATCAACATGGCAAAGAATAACTCAGGCGTAGGGTACAACCAGTGCCAGCACCTTGGCTCGGTGGGGCTCTGAATAGCCCAGGATGGGCTGTAGGGATGTTACTGAGCTGTTTCCCTCTTATGGAGTGGGTAACACACAGCCCCGCAGAAAGAAGCACAGCATGCAGCCAGGGAATATTCCAGTGCATTCCAGAAGCCATGGCACACACTCTTGACAGGTTTGCCCAAAGGCCGTGGATATCTGTGGGCACCCGTGGTTGGCAAAACTCCACTGCACAGACAGCAATGGGCACCCAACATGGAGGGTGCGGGGAATTCAGAAGTGAAAGAAGCTGCAGAACAGGCTTGCAGAGCACCTACTTGAATCCAGTTTGGGGTCAGAAAAGAGATAAAGCAGTCCTTGCTATTCGCAGGAGTTATGTTTTATGAGGTCCCTGCGAACACTGAATTCACAAATGCTGAACCCTTGCTCTCAGGGAAAATACAGGGTTAGGTTCCTGCAGGCCTCTAGGCACAATATTTCATCCACCGATCAATGCATAACCTTGCTTTATGTGTGTGTTGTTTGAAGACACCTTGTTTAATGTCCAATGTTGCTTCATCCACATGCACATCCCATAGCCAAAGCCTCTCTGACTCAGGCTGAACGAAGTGTCCGTAACACCCGCATCTTCTCTATCAGGCACCCCACAGCTCAGAAACACCAGACCCGCCCTTCACCGCTCCACAAGGATGTTGTCGCAAACAGCAAAACCAACAAGAAGCACACAAGTGCAAAAAGCATGACACCAAACAGACTGAAAAGGGCACTTGTCAGGGGTGTGTGAGCTGACGCCAGGAGGCAGAGCACTGCCCTGTGCAACCTCAGCTGAGAGCATGTGTGTCGGGAGACACGTTGCTCGCTACTCGGCACGCATCAAGTGACGGCCAAGGTGTCGTGAGTACTGGATTTGGAGTTATAGATGCATTTCGGTGAGCAGGCAAATTCGCAAACACAGCAACCACGAATAGTGAGGACCGGCTGTACTGGAACTAGCTGCAGAATAGGGGTGAGGGCTGGAACTCCACCACTGCCCACGTCCAGCTTCATGGGGTACGAGTCAGGGTCACCAGAAAGGAGAGGGGCCAAGAGTCCCTCAATGGACAGGGCTGGGGCCCCTCTGCAAAATTCTGCTCAGCCCATAGGAGTCAGGGGCCTGAAAAGAAACACTTTCCTTTTTTTTTGAGACTGAGTCTCCCTCTGTCACCCAGGCTGGAGTGCAGTGGCACAATCTCGGCTCACTGCAAGCTCCGCCTCCTGGGTTCAAGCGATTCTCCTGCCTCAGCCTCCTCAAGTAGCTGGGACTACAGGCACCCACCATCACGCCCGGCTAATTTTTTGTATTTTTAGTAGAGACGGGGTTTTACCGTGTTAGCCAGGATGGTCTCCATCTCCTGACCTCGTGATCTGCCCTCCTCGGCCTCCCACAGTGCTGGGATTACAGGCGTGAGCCAACGCGCCCAGCCCAAGAAACACTTTCTACAGGTCACTCAGCCACTTTCTGGGCTATCTGATGCAAACTAAGCCACGGCCGTGAGCATGAGTTCAAGCAGCAGACAGGCCCAAGCTTGCTTGGCGAGCCTCGCTACCCATCGAGCCTCTGTTTCCTCATCTTGAAAATGGGTGTAGCATTGCAGAGTGGCTGGTAGCACAAGCACGGAGCTTGCTAAGTAACCGCTCCTGCTATGATTGTTACTATTATTCCTACCAGGCGGCTGTTATTTATTGTTATTGTTTATTACGATGATCACCATTATTTGCTACCCAGCGTGGCATCTGACCACTAACCCATCTTTGGTGGCCAGAGTAGATCCAGGTTTTGGGGCATCTGAAGCTTACGCAGTTTCAGGGGAGTTCTTTAAAAGAAAAAAAAAAGTACAAAATTACAAGTGCAAAATTAGATCCAGGGCCTTGGAGGTGGCTATTCGGGTGAGGACGCTGAAGCTTCAGTTCCTGGCCTTTGAAGTAAACCACCTCTGTTTAGATTTTGTTCTGATAAACTCAGTCCTCAGGCATATGTTTCTCCTTAAATAATCAACTAAAATAATTGAATGTGTGTTTTTTGTTCCCTACTCTGTGCAAAGCACAGCAGTGATAAGACAGAGTCTCTGCCCTCATGGAAGGGAAGTGGCCTCTTCTTCAGGGTTAGGGATGGGGTAGGGAGATACAGGAAATAATATGCAAACCAACAAATAAGGTAAAAGGCTGCAGGGAGAGAACAAGCTGGAAGGGGTCTGCCAGTGGTAGAGAACTCAGGGAAGGTTCAAAGCTGAGATTTTAAGGATAAGAAAGAGCAAGCCCTGTAGAGCCCTGGGGGTGGATCTTCCAGACAAAGAGACCAGGAAGTGAAGGGACAAGCATGGTGTATTCAAGGAACAGCAAGGCCAGTGGGTCCAGAGAGAGGGATGCTAGATTAACTTGAAGAGGTAGGCAGGGGAAGATCAGGAGGGTCCTGGGGAACCTGAGAATGGCGTTTGGATTTGATACTAAGAGCAAAAGAAAGCCGGGGGAGGGGCGGGGGTGGGGCTGTGTTTAAACAGGGGTTGATGTGATTTATGTTTCTGAAAGATCATTCCGGCTACTGTGTGTAGAATGAATTATGGGAGAGAGGATGCAAAGACGAACTGCAGCGAGAAGGCCCCTGAGTGCCGTCTCTTGGGGTCAGCCGCTTGTGGGGTCTGATTGGGCAGGGTGGGGACTCAGAAGTAGAGCGATTCTAAGGGGCACCCCCTCCCCACACTGCCACCCTCTTCCAGCAGCTCATGGCCCATGAGGGTAAGCAGCTGAAACTGCTTTGTACTACTAGAAACAGAATAAAGAAGGAACAAAAGCAACTTGGCCAACTGGGACCCAGTGGGGCTTACATAGCTGGGCCTGCGGAAAGCAAAAACACAGCAACTGCAAAGAGCCGGCCTCGGTGCTCCCTCCCCAGGGCGAGGGCTTCCCGAGGGTCCTTTAGGACCCAGCCTGTCGACGGGTTTTTGGCAGTTGGCAGGGCACGGTCAAAAGGACTCTAGTCTCATGTATCCAGAGTTAGGCAGCGGGGAGGGGTTTGCTGCAATGTGTTTTTGCTTTTGTTTACCCAGGAGGCCTTGCAAGAGGCCCAGGGTTGTGGAATTAATTACAGCCAATTACCTTCCATGTACTAGTTGGGTTTCAGCTTGCTGAAAGCCTCTAGAGGTGGGAGAATTCACAGATGAGCGGCCCAAAAAGGCCTCCTTCCATCCTTCTCACCACCCAGCCTCCTATGAGTTTGCCTTTCACCTCAACATTCTCATTTAAATAAATATGGCCTCCTTATGTCGCCGTTTAAAAATTCTCCAAGTAAGGATTTTTGCAATTAATGTAAAATACATTTCAGAGCCACTTAAGTTTAAATGTTGCCTGTATCCACCTCCCTATATCTGTGCTTATAAACAAATGATAGAAGATGCCCCTAAAAAATGATCCAAATCTCAAAAAATATATAAAATGTGTCATAACCACCAAATAGCAAAGCAATCATAGTAGAAAACACTCTCATCTGTAAATAATAATAAGCCCATCTTCTTTTCAATCACTTTATCCTCTTTCTAATATCCATGTCTTTTTTTTTTTTTTTTTGAGATGGAGTCTAGCTCTGTTGCCCAGGCTGCAGTGCAGTGGCACAATCTCGGCTCACTGCAACCTCTGCCTCCCGGGTTCAAGCTGAGGTTCTCCTGCTTCAGCCTCCTGAGTAGCTGGGATTACAGGCGTCCACCACCACGCCCAGCTAATTTTTGTATTTTTAGTAGAGACGGGGTTTCACTATGTTGGCCAGGCTGGTCTCAAACTCCTGACCTCATGATCTGCCCACCTCGGCCTCCCAAAGTGCTGGGATTACAAGCGTGAGCCACCGCGCCTGGCCTCTAATATCCATGTCTTATTACATTGGCTTATGTGGCTTAACCAGAACAACATTCAGCAATGCAGTGATAACAGGCACTCTTGTCTTGTTTCTAATTTTTAATGGGAATGTCTCCATGGCTTCATCATTTAATATGATGCTGACCGCTACTCTTACAATAAATTGTCATATAAATAAAAAATATTAGGCCGGGTGCAGTGGTGCATGACTGTAATCCCAGCACTTTTGAGAGGCCAAGGTGGGTAGATCACTTGAGGTTAGGAGTTCAAGACAAGCCTGGCCAACACAGCGAAACCCGGTCTCTACTAAAAAAATAAAAATTAGCCGGGTGTGGTGGCGGGCGCCTGTAGTCCCAGCTACTCGGGAGGCTGAGGCAGGAGAATCGCTTGAACTCAGGAGATGGAGGTTGCAGTGAGCCGAGATCACACCACTGCACTCCAGCCTGGGCAACAGAGTGAGACTCTATCTCAAAAAGAAAAAAAAAGAAAAAAGAAAAAATAGTTTCTAAGTTTTATCACTGTTATTTTTAAATTTTTTAATATAAAGGGAGGATAAAAACAGATCTACTGAGAAATTACTCAGAAATTCTTTCCCAGTCCCCAGATACCCAGTTCACCTTCTCACCTGCAATCTCTGTTCTCGCTTAAACGACAGCAATTTACTTCTCCCAGTTCTGGAGGCTGGAAGTCCACAATCAAGATGGCACCAGGTCTGGTTTCTCTTGAGGCTGCTCTCCTTGGCTTGCAGATGGGGGCCTTCTCACAGGGTCCTCACGTGGCCTTTCCTAGGTGCACACACATCCCTGGTCTCTCTCTCTCGCCTAATAAGAACATCAGCTGTACTGGGTTAGGGACCCTCTCTTACAACCTGATTTACCCTTAATTACTTCCTCAAAGGTTCTACCTCCAAATACAGTCCCATGACGGGTTAGGGCGTCAACATATGAATTTGGAGGAGGGACACAATTCAGTCTGTAATAATTCACCCTCTGGTCCCCCAAATTCATATCCTTCTCACATGCAAATTACATTCAATTCCAATAGCCCCAAAAGTCTTAACGCATTCCAGCGTCAACTCTAGGTGCAGTCTCGTCTGAATATCTAAATTAGGTATGGGTGAGGCTTAACACATGATTCATCCTGAGGCAAAATTCCTCTCCGGCTGTGAACCCGTGAAACCAGACAAGTTATGTGCTTCCAAGACACAGTGGTGGGACCAACATGGGATAGACATTCCCATTCCAAAAAGGAGACATCGGAAAGAAGAAAGGGGTGATAGGTCCCAAGCAAGTCCAAAATCTAGCGAGGCAAATTCCATTTGCTCTTAAGCCTCAAGAATAATCCTCTTCAGCTCAGCATCCTGCTTTCCAGGCCCACTGGGGCAGTAGCCTGTAGTCCGGGCGCCATGGCCCGAGGCAGTGGCCCCACCCCCAAGGCTCTGAGCAACAGTCTGACCCTTTGAAACTAAGAAGGACACAGCTTTGTTCCCTTGTCTGTGGTGGCAGTGCCAGCCCTGCCAACCTCTGAGTTGCCTCCAGCGTCCTCCTCTTTTCTTAAAGGATAGTGCATGTTCACAGATGAATAACTCTACTGTCCTGTCAAATTCCAGGACATCCATCTCCACGGGACACTATGTCCTGTCTCTGTCCCCATTGGTCCAGGCCTGGCAGTGTCTCTGCTGGTATAATCCCATCTCTATGGCTAACTTCTGCTGAAATGACTGATTAAATCCACACATCGCACCCACAATATCTGTATAAAATGAATTTCCAGCCACACCCTTGCTGTTCTCTCCAGAACCTGCTTCCTCACTTTTTGAAATATAAATAGGCTGAGAATTTTCCAAATCTTCAAGGTCTAGTTCCTTCTTGCTTAAAATTCCTTCAGTTTATATTTCTCTGTTCTCTCACATTTTGCAATAAGCATTAAGGAGAAACTAGGCCACACCTTCAACACTTTGCTTAGAAATTTCTACAGCTAAGGCTGGGTGCAGTGGCTCACACCTGTAATCCCAGCACTTTGGGAGGCCGAGGCAGGTGGATCACGAGGTCAGGAGTTTGAGACCAGCCTGGCCAACATGGTGAAACCCCGTCTCTACTGAAGATCCAAAAAGTAGCCGGGCATGGTGGCACGTGCCTGTAATCCCAGCTACTCCAGAGGCTAAGGCAGAAGAATCTCTTGAACACAGGAGGCAGAGGTTGCAGTGAGCCGAGATCACACCATTGCACTCCAGCCTGGGTGACAGGGTGAGACTCCACCTCAAAAAAAAAAAAAAAAAGAAATTTCTTATCCAAGTTCATCATGTTTAACTTCTCCTTTCTCCACAAACACCAGAATACAATCCAGCCACGTTCTTTTCCACTTTATAACAAGGGTCACCTTTCTTCCAGTTCCAATAACATGTTCCTCCTTCCCATCGGAGCCCTCACCAGAATCACCTTTCACATCCATGCTTCTACCAACAGTCTCTTCAAGGCAATCCAGGCTTTTTCTAACATGCACCTCAAAAATCTTCCTCCTCCACCTTTTACTCAATTCCAAAGCCACATCCACACTTTTAGGTATTTGTTAACAGCAGCACCCCACTTCTTGGTATCAAAATCTGTGTTTGTCAGGGCTGCCATTACAATATACCACAGAATGCGTGCCTTAAACAATAGAAATTAATTTTATCACAGTTCTAGAAGCTGGAAGTCTAGGATCAAGGCGTTGGCAGTTGGGTGTTCCCCAAGACCTCTCTCCTTGCCTTGCAGATGACCACCTTCTTGCTGGGCCCTCACACAGCCTTTTCTTCTGTGTGCACACATCCCTGGTGCCTCTTCTTGTGAGGACACCAGCCATACTGGATCCGGGACCCACCTCATGACCTTATCTAGCCTCAGTTACCTCCTTAAAAGCCTTATCTCCAAATATAGTCACATTGGGGTTAGGGCTTTAACATATGAATTCGAGGGGGACACTATTCAGTCCTTAACAACAAGCAAAGAGATGGATAGATGATTGATAGATGCATAGATAGACAGATGGATAAGATAGATAGATAGATAGATAGATAGATAGATAGATAGATAGATAGATAGATAATAGAAAGTCAAAAAATCAATCAGGGCCAAGCTCAGTGGCTCACGCCTGTAATCCCAGCACTTTGGGAGGCCAAGGTGAGTGGGTCACTTCAGGCCAGGAGTTCAAGACCAGCCTGGCCAACATGGTGAAACCCTGTCTCTACAAAAATACATTAGCTGGGCATGATGGCACACACCTTAGTCCCAGCTACTCAGGAGGCTGAGGCACAAGAATCGCTTGAACTTGGAAGGTGGAGGTTGCAGTGAGCCGAGATCGCGCCACTGCACTTCAGCTGGGGGTGACAGAGCAAGACTCTGTCTCAAAAAAATAAAAAAGAAAAAAATTAATCAATAGATAAGTAGATAATAGATTGATAGATAATTGATAGATAATTGATCGATAAATAGATATATTGATTGATTCCTCCTTTCTTCACAAATGGCAGTATGCTATTCACATCTTGCCTTTTATGTTTAACACTCCATCTTGGAGATGTTTCTATGCCAGGATATTAAATGTTGTCTAGTTTTTGATGGATCATAATTTATGAATGGACTTCAGGTTGTTTCCAATATTCTGCTATTAGGAGTAAGCTTCACTATGTAACCTTGTCCAAGTGTTATTTCACACCTGTGCATATCACTGTAGGATAAATTCCTAGAAGGGGTGTGTGCATTTGTTATGTTAACAAATTGCCCCCAGGTGCGGTTGAAGCCCTGACGTTCCTACCAGCAATGGGCCAGCATCCTTGGTGCCCCAGCTTAGGACCCACAGCATTCTCTCTAACTTGCACATTTACCAGCTTGACAGGCAGTGGAAATGGTAACAGGGTCTAGTTTCGATCTTCAATTCTATTAGGAGGAAGGCCAGGGATCTGCTGATAAACGTAAGGGCCATTTGAACAGTATTTTCCTGTGAATTCTGTCCATATCCTTTGCCTTTCTGCCCAGTGTGTTACTGTCTTCACACGGATTCGTCCGAGTGTGACCCACAGCCAGGCATTATTTTCAGTTTGCAGACCCACATTCCTTTCGCAGCTTCTATCGTGCCTGTCTGGGTTTGTTCTGGTTTCTTCTTCAGGATGTCGCCCATTGTTTGGTTCCCATTTTTCTCATTCTTGTCTTATCACCATCTCTTTTTGTTTTCTCTCCTTCTGCATTCTAGGAGAGCTGCTTAAACTTATCCTAGATAGGGTATTTTCTCTATTCTTTCTTTTCTTTTCTTTTCTTTTCTTTTTTTTTTTTTTTAGAAACGGGCTCCCTCTGTCATCCAGGCTGGAGTACAATGTCACAATCATAGAGCATTGCAGCCTCAAACTCCTAGGCTGAAGTGATCCTCCTGCCTTGACCTCCGACATAGCTGGGACTACAGGCTACAGGCAGGCATGTGGCACTTTTTATTTTTTAGGGACTCGAGTCTCGCTATGCCACTCAGGCTGGTCTCGAACTCCTGGGTTCAAGTGATCCTCCTGCCACAGCCTCCTGAGAAACGAACTACAGGCATGCACCACCACACCCAGCTGGTAGATAGGGTATTTTTAGCTACGTACAGCAGGACACCCTCCTGCAAGTGACTAAAACAGTAGGAATATTCATTGTGTCTCATAACAAGGGGGGCAGAGGTAGAAAACTCCAGGACTGGCTAACTCAGTAACATCATAGCTTAAATCCAGGTTCCTTCCCTCTTTCTTCTCTGCCGTCTTTGGTGGATAGAGGGAGGACATAGTTACAGGCATTGTGTGCAGGTAAGATAATGTCTCAGAAAAAAACCACTTCCTCCACGTGCTTCCTCCTCCTGGTGAGGAGACCCTTCTCCACATGTCCTCCTGCAGAGGCCACCTCATGAGTCCTGGGCTGGCTGGGCATCCTATGACCAGGCCTAAGAGGGTCATTGCTGAAGGCGAATGAGAGCATCGTGGTTGACTTAAGCAACAGAGATTCACATCCTGGGGCCAAAGAGGGGCCAGCGCCCGCCCCCTAGAAGGGCTCAGGACTCTGAGGAAGATAAGGATTCCGTTAGCCTGGAAAATGTTGAGGTGGGAACATGGCTCTTGTTTGGCAAACAATAGTTCCCCCTCATTTCTGGACATCATTGATTCAATTTTCTACTGTTTCACTTGTTTCTGCTGCGAATGCCGCCGTCCGTTTTTCAGGTGTATTTCCTCAGGGCCTTCCTAGACACACGGAGCTCCCTGGCTGTTTCTGCCTTCATCTTTGCCATGTCTCCTTTTCATTGCAATCCTGTGTCTTTGCATCTAAGTTTATCTCATTTTAAGGTCACATGTCCTTGAATTTTATTGTGAACACAAGACAGCTTTCTGTAATTTACTTCCATTTCTGGTAGAAAATCTTTTGCAAAAGTATGTTTTTCCTCTTGGGGGCAAAGTTCGCTGTCTTTCCTACTGCAGGATCATTTCCTGCAATCATAGGGCTTTTCATTTTCTGATGCTCTGCCTTGGAGGGATGCTGGCTCTCGGGTGCCCTTCCGCATCCACCTGGTTGCTATTAGAACCCTCCGTTCTGATCTCCACGCCAAAGCCTTGGCTGTGAAGACCCAACCTCGAGCCAAGTTCCCAGCGTCTGGCAGGCATTTTTCTGGAGGGGCTCTGCTGGCTCAGGAGGCATCTTCCACTTCTGCTGCCTGATTGCCTGACGATCCAAAAGGAAATTTATTCATAGATAATTTGAAACAGTCTGAAAGTCCTTCCAATGCCAGAGAGAGTGCATAAGAATCAGCAAGCCCCCGAGGGTAGCGCTCCCACAGCTACCCTGTCTTCACCCTTCCTGTCTTCCAGCTTGACATCCCACAAAGCAATGACCGATGACCACCACCCATCCATGACCACCTCGGCCCAGGTTCATTGCTGGGGATTATTAGAGTCCCCGACTGTCTATGGAAAGGGAGGTATGAATGGAGGGATGAGGTGGGAGATGTCCGTGGCTGTCCCCAGAACACAGCCCCTGCGAAGCTGGAGGTGCTGCCCTCTCCATGGTCAGAAACAGCCCGTGGTGTTGAGCCAAGCGTTTGCAGCCAGTGGAAGCCGCTTCCTGCCTTTCCACTTGGCCTGCCATTTTGCCTGGTGGTGCCATTTAGGGCTTGCCTCTTGGAGTGTTATGGCAGAGGCCAGTATTCCCAGTGGTCACAATGATTGCAGTTCCCTCCAATCCTGCAGGAGCGGGGAAGGGCAAAGCTGATTCCCTAGATGCTCTGTGTGTTTTCATTTTTGTTTCTTAAGAGTTCATTGAAGCTTTTTTTCCCCTTTTGTTTGTTTGTTTTGCTAACATGCTGAGAGAAGAGAGAAAAATAAATCATCAAGACCTTTGTTTTTCTCCATATGAATCTCCAGCTGGTTCCTATTCTGAGATCCTGTTCCTGTCATCATCACCAACTTCTGATGATTCCACAGGCAAAGCGGGTGGTGTTTTTTTCCATTAAAAAAAAAAATAACTCTCTCAAACAGAAGCCCTGAAACTGCTCCCTTCCCTCGGACACCCACAGGCCATCTGAAATACTTGCCATTTGCACAATATCCCAAGGGTGGCCCTCGGATGGCTCTCATTGTCACCAGAAGGACAGCACGCCCGTGTCCCAGCAGCTTGGTGGCAGCTGGAAGTATCTCCTTCGGTCTGTACTTCTTGGCAGTGCCCTTCTCAGCCTGCACCATCTGTGCTCAGCCCAGCCTCATTTCTGGGTAGGGTGGGTTCCCTTTTCTCTTTCCCGTCTCTGTTGGAGGATTTTCCACGGCTGTGCAGTCAGGGTGGGCCCACCGGTCATGAAATCATTGCCGCTGACCTTGCAGGAAAGGTCTTCCACTGGGGCTGACCATTCTTACACATCCTCCTCTGGAACTGGCTGAAGTGGCTGCCTCCAAGCTGGCCGGGTGGCCACGTTTTCCTCTACTGAGTCACCCCCCAGCCCAGGATGCCCCGTAAATGGGCTCTCTGCAAAACGAAGCTGTTGGTTTTGTGCCAAGATGCACAGCATCAGAGGTCAAGGTCAGTTGCACATAGGACAACCATGAAGTCTGTGCTTGCTAGTACTCCGCGGGTAGCTCACACGCCAGGGGACGTGATCAGTGTGTATTATTCTCAAATGGATGGTGACCATTGTGGTTGATCATTAAAAGCTGTAGGCTTCATTTTTTTCCCAAGAAAAACAAATGCTTTTAAAGAGAATGTAGAACATATGTACATCCTGAAAGCTTTTGGAAATGAATACTTTTCTTTTTCTTCAATAATGGGCTATTATACTTGATTTTCCAAAGATCACTACCTTATTTTCTTGAATATCCTTATGAGGTCAGAGAGACCATTTTTTTTCTCATTTTACTGATGAAATGAGGAAACGGAGGCCTAGAGAGATTAATGGCCCTGAAGCCAATATGGGAACACACATTCTCAATATGTCTAACAGGACCTGTTTCCTGTACCACCATAGCTCAACTCTCATGAGACTCTACTGAGTAAATATCTCCCAACAGGAGGGAAAGAAACTAGCACTCACCGATCACCCTCTATGTCCTAGAAACTCCCATAAGCACTTTTTCTCGACTGTTTGCATTTTCAATAATTTAGCACTCAGATCAGAGAGGTTAAGTAACTGGCCCAAAGTCACCCAGCTAGTAAGGAACGGGGCTGGGATTTGAATGCAGGGGTGTTTGACGCCGAAGCCAGAGCTTTGTCCCCGAGCCTTCTGAGCTCAGCAAGCAGGGTAGATTTGGGAGAAAGGAGATGAAGGAAGTGAACAGATGACTAGGCAGATCAAATAAACCAATCGCCAAGATTCAGATCTTTGCCTGGAGTTAGACCATCGTGTCTGCCATTGAGCAACCTGAAAATTCTCCACCTGGCTTCCCACAGCACTTTTGAAACTGGCCCCACAAGTCCACCAAATCTATCAGCACCAGGCATGGTTCTGCAAAGGTGCCCACCCCACCAGGTGCAAAGGGAGGTAGACAATCTTTGGGCTTTCCTTTCTGATTAACTGGTCCTTAGGGGGTTCATTTGCTTGTTTTTGTTGCTTTTTTTTTTAACTAGAATCTAAAAGGTTGATTATTTCAGGCTTTCATTATGAAGTGTGCAATATCACCCCAGTCTTCATATCTTCATACGCCAATACTAAGGTTCTCTGATGGCGATAGCATGATCATAGGACACAGGCGAGGCGCTTTCTTTTTTTTCTTTTTTTCTTTATTTCTTTTTTTTTTTTTTTTTTTGAGACAGGGTCTCACTGTCACCTAGGCTGAAGTGCAGTGGTGGGATCTTGGCTCACTGCAACCTCCGCCTCCTTGGGCTTAAGAGATCCTCCCACTTCAGCTTCCCAAGTAGCTGGGATTACAGGTATGCACTACCATACCCAGCTAATTTTTGTATTTTCAGTACAGATGGGGTTTCACCATGTTGGCCAGGCTGGTCTCAAACTCCTGAGCTCAGGTGATCCGTCTGCATGGGTCTCCCAAAGTGCTGGGATGACAGGCGCTTTATTGGATTCACGTTCACCTCCATTAATTCACATGAGAACCCCAGGGACAGCTTCTCATCCACATCTTAGAGATGGAGACTCTGAAGCCCGAAGGCATTCTGGTGACTCAGGTTGAGGTTCAACTCTTAGTCTCTTGACAGTGAAATTCCCCGGTGGGGCCTCCTCCCACAGGAAATGCCACCACCATCTGGGCATGCCCCCACCTCACTTTGCCCCGCAAATATTTCAGAAGTGTCCTCAAGTATCACCTCTGTACCACCAGATCACACTTACTCGCTGTGGAAGAGAGGTTGTGAGCTGGAATCCATGGCAGGGGAAGACTTCCTCTCCCAACACTGACAGGCAATTGTTGGGATGTCCTGGCATTTGGGGTGGTGAGCCTGAGCCTGGAGGGACAGGCTGAATAACGGCCCCCAAAGATGTCCCCAGAATTTGCAAACATTTGACCTCACATGGTTAAAGGGACTCTGCAGATGTGGTCACGTGAAGGATCTTGAGGTGGGGGATGGTAGTGGGTTATCCGAGTCAGCCCAATGTAGTCCCAGGGCCTTTATAAGAGGGAGGCCAGGGGGTCGGACTCAGAGAAGGAGATGTGACCACAGAAACCCAAGTCAGAGTGATGTGGCTGGAAGCCAAGGAATGTGGCAATCTCTAGAAGCTGGAAGAGGCAAGGAATGAATTCTTTCCCAGAAGCCAGATGTAGTGGCTCATGCCTGTAATCCCAGCACTTTGGGAGGCCAAGGCGGGTGGATTGCTTGAGCTCAGGAGTTCGAGACCAGCCTGGGCAAAATGGTGAAACAACATCTCTACTAAAAGTACAAAAAAAAATAGCCAGGTGTGGTAGCTCATACCTGTAGTCCCAGCTACTTAGGAGGCTAAGGTGGGAGGATGGCTTGAGCCTGGGAGGCGGAAGTTGCAGTGAGCCAAGATCGTGCCATTGCACTCCAGCCTGGGCAACAAAGCCAGACCCTGTCTCAAACAACAACAAATTCTCTCCTAGAGCCTCCAGAAGGAGCAGCCCTGCTAACGCCTTGATTTCAACCCCATAATACCCATTTTGGACTTCTGCCCTCCGGAACTTGGGATAAGGTGACACATTTGTGTTGTTTGAGGCCACTAAGTTTGTGGCAGTTTATTACAGTCGCAAGAGGAAACTCATGCACACAGCATTATAGACTCAAGTCCAGTGGCTGGGGCTCCACCACACAAAGGAAATGCATGGCCTATTGGCCCATGAAGTCACAAAGGTCACTACCAGTGTCAGCTACACCAGATGACATGACAAGTTCCCCTTTGGGGTTGAAATACACCCAATCACATTCACCTGCAGTTTGCTGCTAGCATAGCCTTAGGGTCAGAAATCGGTCATTTCCCCTTATGCAACAATTTCAATCCATTTTAAAATTATTATCATTTTTTAGAGACAGGGTCTGGCTATGTTGCCCAGGCTGGACTCAAATTCTTGCACTCAAGTGATCCTCCCATTCAGCTTCCCGAGTGGCTGGGACTACAGGCGCACACCACCATGCCTGTCCAAGCCATTTTATATGAATTCTTATGAGAAAATACTCCGCACCACCTCATTTTTTCCATGAATGTGGTAAGGTCTTGGTCCAGGAAACAGAAAAAAGAAAAGTATCACACTGTTTCCGAATGCAAGAGAAATTAATTAAATCCAAATTTTCACAGAACATTAAAAGTTGAACACAACTCAAAACATACTTGAGATTCAGATTGGATTTCAAAACACTTTCTGAGAAGACAACCAAAAAAAATCCCAAACGACTTTTCTTTAGATGGTTCTCCCAAAATACCCCGAAGGGAGCGAGAATGGAATGGTCAAAGAAGGCAGGTGGCAAAAGTCTGTGGGGTTTTAGGGGAAAGTGAAAAAAAAAAAAAAGAAAGAAAGAAAAAAGAAAAAAAAGAAAAATTTAGGGTTGTCTCTTGGTTCTCAGTAATCCCGGGGTTAGACAGACACTGCTGGATGAAGTGAACATCAGGAAATACCTCTGTGGAATGTGAAACCGAAGCAATTTGAAACAGGGTATGGGTTAGCCAGCCGGGGAGGTGGCGTTGTTCATTTGGAAGTGCAAAGCAAACTATGATTTCATGGAGGGAGCTTGCTGGGAATAGGCGTTCATGGGCTGGATCTGGGGAGTCTTCTCTCAGGAAAGGGAACCTGTGGAGGCTCATTTTTCTCAGTCAAGACACAATTATCATCTCTGAGACTCTCCTGTGATTGGAAGGTCTCTCCAGAGAACACCCAACCTCATAAAAATGATGCCAATAGACAGAGTGCAGTGGCTTATGCCTGTAATCCCAGCACTTTGGCAGGCCAAGGCAGGAAGATCGCTTGAGCCCAGGAGTTTGAGACCAGCCTGGCCAACCCAGCAAGATCTTGTCTCTACAAAAAATAAAATAAGTTGCGTGTGGTGGCACACACGTCTAATCCCAGCTACTCAGGAGCTGAGATGGGAGGATGGCTTGAGCCCAGGAGGCAGAGGTTGCAGAGAGCCAAGACTGCACCACTGCACTTCAGCCTGGGTGACAGAGCAATACCTTGTCTCAAAAAAAAAAAAAAAAAAAAAAAGTAGAAACAATCCAATATCCAAAAAAAGGAAAGTAAACAAGTTATGGTACATTCATGTGTTTAAATATTATACAGCAATTAAAATCATGTTTCCAAAGACTATTTAAGGACCAGAATGAGTCTTAATAAAATAATATTATGTGAAAAAGACAAATATAATGAAAATTCCATTGGACTCAATAATTATGTATTTGCACAGGTTGACAGTTTTGTGGAGGATGGTCAGTGTAGGGGCTTTGGAATTAGAGTGATTTCCATCGGGGGTCTGGTGCTGTCACTTCTTAGCCATGTCAATGTGGTAAATTATTCCCTCTCTCTGACTTCATTATCTCACCGGTAAGATGGGCTGGGACTGGATGAAGTGATTACAATGCTTGTGAAATATTAAGTGGCAAAGCAGCTGTTCCTGATCTGTTCAGTATTATTACCATCAAGGTTTCTTATCTCTACCACTATTATTTCTCTGTCCTCCAGTTACTACCTGAGCAATTCTGTGCCTTGGCCCCATCCCAGAAGTTACCATATTTTTTAGATGTAACAAAGGCAGCTCCAATGCTGAGTGCTTGTAAATATCAGCCCTGGAGCACGTGGGCCTCCAAGGCAGCCTCCTGATGCTAGTGCAGATGGATCCTGACAACCTGCAGCCTGCCTGGGCTGGGTGAGATATCAGAGGTGTGGAGGGCTGGGGAGCAGGGTGCTGTACGGCCATTAAAGGTCAACACTGAAGGTGTGTGGTAAGTTGAGATAGCCCAGTGCTGCTGGTAATCAGTCAGGCCCCACCCCACCCTTCCACCCAGGTCTGCAAAGCAGAAGATGCTTTTGTCATCAGGGAGGCAAGGAGAGGCTTCCTGTTACTTGTATAGTTTCCCAGCTCTACAAAGGGAATGAGGGTGCAATAAGGGTGATCAACAGTAATAACAGAGTGTTATACATTATATACAAGATGGCATATATAATAGTATACATATTATATGCAATAATTATATGTAATGTAGTATATATAATACTGTATTAGTCTGTTTTCACACTGCTAATGAAGACATACCTAAGACTGGGTAATTTATAAAGGAAAGAGATTGAATGGACTCACAGTTCCACATGACTGGGGAGGCCTCCCAATCATGGCAGAAGATGAAGGAAGAGCAAAGTGACATCTTACATGGCGGCCGGCAAAGCGAGAGCATGTGCAGGGAAACTCTCCCTTATAAAACCATCAGATCTCATGAGACTTATTCACTACCAGGAAAACAGTATGGAGGAAACCATCGCCATGATTCAGTTACTTCCCACCAGGTCCCTCCCACACCATGTGGGAATTGTGGGAGCTGCAATTCAAGATGAGATTTGAGTGGGGACACAGTCAAACCATAACAAATACATAATAGCTAAGTATATTATATATATTATATAGTATATATAGCATATAATTAATAAAATAGTTAATATATTCTATATAGTAGATATAACTATTATGATTATAATTATATTATTCTCTATTAGATAATACATAATACTTATTATGATTATAGTTATATTATTCTCTATAAGATAATATATACTTACGACTAATATTATTACAGTTATCTTATTCTCCATTAGATAATATGTAATAACTGTAACTATTATGATTATTATTCTGTTCCTGAGTTTGTCTTTGGTTATTCTCTGGAGCACTCAAGAGCTTGGCTTCAGCAGATGGGGCCCCTAGATGCCAGCCTCACTCCTGCCTGGTTAGACTGATATATGTATGCAAGACTCTTCCAGCCTCTGCTTCTTTAACAGTGAATGCTGGGAGCAAGCAGCATTTCACAAATGCATGTTACATGCCAGACACTCCCCCTGCATATCCCTTCAAAGCATTGCCACAGCACTGTGGACTGGGTGTCGTTCTGTGATATATGCCAGGATATATTATGTTCTGTGGGAGGCTGCCATCCACTTGTCCGTTCCCTGTACACACTGCCATTCCCCCCGAACACTGGGAACTATGCTACCCCCTTGAAGGTTTTGACTAATCATGTCGTGCCATCCCAGTGCTTACCTTTGAAGAGGTCTAGAAGTTTCTACTTCTCTTCCCTTGAAATATTTGCTCTGGGGACATTCCCTCTTGGAGTCCAGCCACATGGAGAGGCCAGGTATAGGCACTGACGCTAACAACCCCAGCTGAGTTCCCAGCCCACAGCCAGCATCAACCACCAGCTGTAGAAGTGCGCCGTCTTGGACACCAGCCCAGGTGGGCCTTCAGATAACTTTAGCTCCAGCCAATATCTGACTGCAGCCTCAGGAGACACTGTCAGCAAGAACAGTGACAGCCTCGTCTACTCATACCTTGTGATATGGTTTGACTCTGTGTCCCCACCCAAATCTCACCTTGAATTGTATTCCCATAATTCACCTGTGTTGTGGGAGGGACCCAGCGGGAGATAATTGAATCATGGGGTGGTTCCCCCATGCTGTTCTCATGGTAGTAAATGAGCCTCATGAGATCTGATGGTTTTATCAGGGGTTTTTGCTTTTGTGTCTTCCTCATTCTCTCTTTGTCTGCTGCCATCCATGTCAGACAGGACTTGCTACTCCTTGCCCTCTGCCATGATTGTGAGGCTGCCCCAGCCATGTGGAACTGTAAGTCCAATTTTTTCTTTTGTAAATTGCCCAGTCTCGGGTATGTCTCTATCAGCAGTGTGAAAACGGACTAATACACCATAGAACCGTGAGAAATAGTAACCAACTATTGTTTTAACCACCATATTTTGGGGTGATTTTTTAGTGCAGCAATGGATAACTAGAACATACTTGTTTCCCATTTGCAGTTGGGGAAACTGAGATCTCGGAGGTGAAAAGACTTGCCCGATTCAGTTGCTAAGTAGCAGAACCAAGATTCCTGGAGCGCAGGTTCCTGACCGTCAGGCCACACAGCCTCTGCACCAGGCTGGAAGAGGGAACACTGTGGGATGCGAAAGCTTCCCGTGTATTCAGGAAGCTCTAAGATGAGCCGGCGAACGTGAGAGCCTGAAAGAGGGGTGACAAAGAAGCATGGCTCTGCCCGACACTCGCAAGAGGGCAGGGAGATGGGGCCCAACTGGCTTATTGAGTGACTCAGGGAACTATCGAACGGTCACAGGACATCACTTTGCGGGATAAAATCAGACCCACTGCCGGAGCCACGGCTGAAAAACAGACCCGAGTGGGGGAGGCGGCGGAATCTGTCTCCTGCACAGCACAGTCTCCAAGCTTAAGCCATCGTGTGCGACCAGAAACCAGAGGAGGGGCGCCGGCACTCCTGACCTGTCCAAACAGTAGGGCTTTGTGTGCCTTCACATGGAGAGATGAAGGTGCACGATCCCTAAGGCAGCTGTGACAGGCCATAGGTTCCCAAGAACCCCAGCTTCCTTCTTGGGATCAGAGCAGCAGAGAACTCTCAGGAAGAGGCAGTTCTATTGCCTGCCCAGAGCGGGCCTGGAGGAAGCCCCAAGAACGATGGAAAATTGGGACCCAATAAGGGGACACGTGCAGAGGTCCAGGCTGCTGTCCAGGGACACCTGGATTAATCCAGCCCCCTGGATTAAGATGAGGTCTGTTATTTAGCAGCCACTGCCCACCTTCCTCCTGAGAGGAGAGCTGCCTTCTCCCTCCTCTCTGCTTTTAATCTAACCTATGTTTATTATAAGGAAACCTCTGTAAGTGGAACCTCTGGAAGCCAGAACCAAGCCCAGGGAAACAGCTTCAGGCATGTTGGATCGGCTCTAGGGTAACACATTTCTCCTGGTTTGCCCAGGACCTTCCTAGTTTTAGCACTGACAGTCTCAAATCCCAGGAAACCCCTCCGTCACAGACATCAACCCAGGACAATGGGTCACCTTAGTCTACTTCTGCTGCAGACACCAAAATTTGTTCACACTCTGTGGTCAGAACCAAAGCTCCCCTCCCTCCTCCAAATTAAAGAAAAAACTCCAGGCTAGGTGGCTCACGCCTGTAATCCCAGCACTCTGGGAGGCCGAGGCGGGTGGATCACTTGAGGTCGGGAGTTCGAGACCAGACTGGCCAACATGGTGAAACCTGTCTCTACTAAAAATACAAAAATTAGCCAGGGTGTGGTGGCGCACACCTGTAATCCCAGCTACTTGGGTGGCTAAGGCACAACAATCGCTTGAACCTGAGAGGTGGAGGTTATGGTGAGCTGAGATCACACCACTGCACTCCAGCCTAGGTGACAGAGTGAGACTCCATCTCAAAAAAAAAAGAAAAAGAAAAACCCCACTAGTTCATGGTCCCTTCTCTCACCTTGAGTGAGACCACCTTTGACCCTGGAGGAGAAAAGGCATGACCTTGAGTAATAAAAATTGCAACAATAATAACAATGATAGTGGTAGCTAACACAATTAGAGTGCTTCTTGAACACCAGATCATGTTGCAAACCCTTCCCAAGTAGTACCTCTTTCAGTCCTCACTACAACCCAATAAGGGAGGAGCTATTCTTACCACTGTTTCCTGGTGGAGGTTGCTGAGTCTGGAGGAGTGAAGTGCCTCGCCCAAGATCATACAACCAGCTGTGGTGGAGTTGGGATTCTCACTCAAGCAGATTGTCTGAGTTCAAAGCTGACTGCGGCACTTTCTAGCTGGGTGGCTTTGGGCAATTAAATGAAGTCACCTCCTGAGCCTCACTTTGCTCATTGATATGGTTTGGCTCTGTGTCCCCACCCAAATCTCATCTTGAATCTTGAATTGTACTCCCATAATTCTCACATATTGTGGGAGGGACCCAGTAGGAGATAATTTGAATTGTGGGGGTGGTTTCCCCCATACTGTTCTTGTGGTAGTGAATAAGTCTCATGAGATCTGATGGTTTTATCAGGGGTTTCTGCTTTTGCATCTTCCTCATTTTTCTCTTGCCACCACCTTGTAAGAAGTGCCTTTCACCTCCCACCATGATGGTACTGTAAATCCAATTAAACCTCCTTTTCTTCCCAGTCTCAGGTATGTCTTTATCAGCAGCATGAAAACGGACTAATACAGTAAATTAGTACCAGTAGAGTGGGGCATTGCTGAAAATATACCTGAAAATGTGGAAACAACTTTGGAACTGAGTAACAGACAGAGGTTGGAACAGTTTGGAGGGCTCAGAGGAAGACAGGAAAATGTGGGAAAGTTTGGAACCTCCTAGAGACTTGTTGAATGGCTTTGACAAAAATGCTGATAGTGATGTAAACAATAAGGTCCAGGCTGAGATGGTCTCAGATGGAGATGAGGATCTTGTTGGGAACTAGAACAAAGCTGACTCTTGTTTTGTTTTAGCAAAGAGACTGGAGGCATTTTGCCCCTACCCTAGAGATTTGTGGAACTTTGAACTTGAGAGAGGTTATTTAGGGTATCTGGTGGAAGAAATTTCTAAGCAGCAAAGCATTCAAGAGGTGAGCTGAGTGCTGTTAAAAGCATTCCAGGCCAGGCGCAGTGACTCTTGCCTGCAATCCCAGCACTTTGGGAGGCCGAGGCGGGCAGATCATGAGGTCAGGAGTTCAAGACCAGCCTGGCCAAGATGGTGAAACCTTGTCTCTGCTAAAAATACAAAAGTTAGCCAGGCATGGTGGCAGGCACCTGTAGTCCCAGCTACTTGGGACTGAGACTGAGGCAGAAGAATCGCTTGAACCTGGGAGGCAGAGGTTGCAGTAAGCCAAGATCACGCCACTGCACTCCCCAGCCTGGGCAACAGAGCAAGACTCCATTTCAAAAAGGAAAAAAAAAGCACTCCATTTTAAAAGGGAAACAGCATAAAAGTTTGGAAAAATTGCAGGCTAATGATGCAGTAGAAAAGAAAAACCCATTTTTTGAGGAGAAATTCAAGCTGGCTGCAGAAATTTGCATAAGTAACAAGGAGCAGACTGTTAATCCCCAAGACAATGAGGAAAATGTCTCCAGGGCATGTCAGAGGTTTTCATGGCAGCCTCTCCCATCACAGATCTGAGAGCCTAGGAGAAAACAATGGTTTTGTGGGCCAGGACCAGGGTCCCCATGCTGTGTGCAGGCTAGGGACTTGGTGCCCTGCATCCCAGCTGCTCCAGCTGTTGCTAACAGGGGCCAAGGTACAGCTCATCTCATGGTTTCAGAGGGTGCAAGCCCCAGACCTTGGCAGCTTCCAAGTGGTGTTGATCCTGCAGGTGCATGGAAGCCAAGAAGTGAGGTTTGGGAACCTCCACCTAGATTTCAGAAGATGTATGGAAATGCCTGGATGCCCAGGCAGAAGCTTGCTGCAGGGGTGGGGCCCTCAAGGAGAACCTCTGCTAGGCCAGTGCAGGGGAAATGTGGGGTCAGAGGCCCCACAGAGAGTCCCTACTGGGGCACTACCTAGTGGAGCTGTGAGAAGAGGGCCACTGTCCTGCAGACCCCAGAATTGTAGATCCACCGACAGCTTGCACCATGTGCCTGGAAAAGCCACAGACACTCAATGCCAGCCTGTGAAAGCAGCCAGGAGGGAGGCTGTACCCTGCAAAGCCACAGAGGTGGAGCTGCCCAAGACTGTGGGAACCCACCTCTTGTATCAGCATGACCTGGATGTGAGACATGGAGTCAAAGGAGATCATTTGGAGCTTTAAAATTTGACTGCCCCACTGGATTTCAGATTTGTAACCCCTTTGTTTTGCCCAACTTCTCCCATTTGTAACAGCTGTATTTATCCAATACCTGTACCCCCATTTTATCTAGGAAGTAACTAGCTTGCTTTTGATTTTACAGGCTCATAGGTGGAAGGGACTTGCCTTGTGTCAGATGAGACTTTGGACTGTGGACTTTTGGGTTAATGCTGAAATGAGTTAAGACTTTAGGGGACTGTTTGGAAGGCATGATTGGTTTTGAAATATGAAGATATGAGATTTGGAGGGGCCAAGGGGGGAAAGATATGGTTTGGCTGTGTCCCCACCCAAATCTCATCTTGAATTGTATTCCATAATTCCCATGTGCTGTGGGAGGGACCCAGTGGGAGATAATTGGAATCATGGGGGTGGTTTCCCCCATGCTGCTCTGGTAGTAGTGAATAAGTCTCATGAGATCTGATGGTTTTATCAGGGGTCTCTGCTTTTGCATCTGCCTCACTTTTCTCCTGCCACTGCCATGTAAGAGGTACTTTTTACCTCCCACCATGATTCTGAGGCCTCCCCAGCCATGTGGAACTGTAAATCCAATTAAACCTCTTTTTCTTCCCAGTCTCAGGTATGTCTTTATCAGCAGCATGAAAACGGACTAATACACTCATCTGTAAAATGGGGGTAACAACCCTCCTCAGAGGACTATTGTGACAAAGGAATGAGGGAACATAAGGAAACAGTCCAGTTCACGCCTGGTATATAAGGGCCTGATAAATACATATGGTGATGATGATGATGATGATGATGACTATTTTTCCTATTGCAGAACTCAGTGGATATGGAACCTCCAGAAGCCGGCACAAAGTCCAGGGAAACTAGATGAGGTGGTTCTTCCCCCTCCAGGCCAGCCCAACCCAAGCCACACCCAGAAAGCCACTCAGGGCAGGGCACCAGCTGGCAGCAGCAGAGGCTGCACCAAACACATTCCCAAACACCTCACATGTGTCACTCAAAGTCAGGCACAGTCTTTAATGCACCTATAACACTCCAGGAATAGGACATTTCTCCCAGAGGGGATTTGGTAAAGGAGGGTGGGTTCGATGGCTCCTCTGAGACTCATCTGGCCTTGGTACTTGTATCAGTCAGTTATCACTGCAAAACAAACAACTGCAGAAGTTCAGAGGCAAACACCAGTGAGTGTTCACTACCCACACATCTGGGGTGGTTGGTAGGAGGCTCTGTTGATCTTGGCTGGGCTCTCCCAGATGTCTAGGAGTTGGCTGGATGTTGGCTAATCCAGGCTGGCCTCAGCAGGAACCGCTAGATGGCTAACCTGTGCTCCACATGTCTAACTAGGCTTGTTCTCACAACGGTGGCAGAGACTCAAGTGATTAAGTGGAAACAAACAACAGCCCTTGAGGCCTACCTTGGGGACTGGCACATCATCACTTTCTTCTCATTCTCTTGGCTAAGGCAACTCACAGAAGGTGGTGAATACCTGCCACCTTGTGGACTGGAGAAGCTTCAAGGTCACATTGCAAAAGGCATGAATATAGGAGGTGAGAAGCAATTCGCATTCAGGTTCTAATTGAGCCACTTGGTGGTGAAATGTTACTCTTCCAGCCAAACCTCTCCCCTACTCCATTTTTTTTAAAAAGCACCAAATGTGTATTATAACATCCTGAAATCATTATTTCAAACCTCTCCCTAGTTAAGAACCCCTTTTTTTATTATGTCCAAATAGTAAGTACAAACCACATATTTATAAAGACATGAACCTCCTGAACTTAGAGGTGCTGCTCTTGAGAAGTTAACTTTTTATAAATTAGATATTATTTGCTTTAGGTAGGAAAGTTCTGCTATTCAGGTGAATCTTCAAAATTTTAAACAATTGCCGAAATAGACTCCATTAAATTTAGCTTAGGTAAGTCGCCTTAAAAGAGGAATCCAGCAAGGATTCTGGAAATTAGAAGTAATGACCTGGGAGTCCGGGTCTCAACAGTCCAGCCCTGTTTCTCCATCTGTAAAACTGGAATCATAACAATAGTGACTCTAATATTAATGATATTGTATGTTATTTCATTTGAGTTTCCCCACAGTCTCGGAAGCTAGAATAATTACTATCCCTTCATTGTACAGATGAGGAAAATGAGACTCAGAAAGGGTGAGTGATTTACCCAAAGTCACACAGCTCATGTTCAAGGCAGAGTTCGGTTAGAACCTCCATGTTGGCCGGGCGCGGTGGCTCACACCTATAATCCCAGCACTTTGGGAGGCCAAGGTGGGTGGATCACGAGGTCAGGGGTTCAAGACCAGCCTGACCCTGACCGACATAGTGAAACCCCATCTCTACTAAAAATACAAAAAAATTAGCTGGGCATGGTGGCGGGCGCCTATAATCTCAGCTACTCAGGAGGCTGAGGCAGGAGAATTGCTTGAACCCAGGAGGTGGAGGTTGCAGTGAGCCGAGATCGCGCCACTGCACTCCAGCCTGGGCAACAGAGCAAGACTCTGTCTCAAAAAAAAAAAAAAAAAAAAAGAACCTCCGTGTTCCCTTCTACACTGCTGATGGCAATGAAACTAGTACAGCCACTATGGAAAACAGTGTGGAGATCCCTTAAGGAACTAAAAGCAGAACCACCATTTGATCCAGCAATCCCACTACCGGGAATCTACCCAGAGCAAAAGAAGTCATTATATGAAAAAGATATTTGCACACGCATGTTTATAGCAGCACAATTTGCAATTGCAAAATTGTGGAACCAACCCAAATGCCCATCAATCAATGAGTGAATAAAGAAACCATGGCATATATACACAATGGAATGCTACTCAGCCATAGAAAGGAATGAATTAATGGCATTCACAGCAACCTGGATGGGATTGGAGACTATCATTCTAAGTGAAGTAACTCAGGAATGGAAAACCAAACATCCTATGTTCTCACTCATAAGTGGGAGCTAAGCTATGAGGATGCAAAGGCATAAGAATGACACAATGGACTTTGCGGACTCGGGGAAAGGGTGGGAAGGGGGTGAGGGATAAAAGATGACAAATTGGGTGCAGTGTGCACTGCTTGGGTGATGGGTGCACCAAAATCCCACAAATCGCCACTAAAGAATTGACTCATGTCACCAAATACCATCTTTTCCCCAAAAAACCTATGGAAATAAAACTTTTTTTAATTAAAAAAATGAAACAAAACCTCTGTGTTCCAACTCTCAGCCCTAGGATCTTTCTCCCTCCTCAGTTATGCAACCCAGCAAAAAGATAACTAGCGAAGGGGAGGGTGGGATTAACTCACATGGCCTCTGTGCGTTTCTCTTTAGAAGAAACTGTTCTTTCCCTTGCTTTTCCATTGTGGTTTTTCTTTTTTTCTGATTTTACCATGAACCACCTCGTTTGGATATACCCAATCTAGCTTCCTGGAACCGTGCGGAAAAGCTGCTCTCAAAGCCTCCTTCTCCCTTTTTTTCCCTTTTCTTTTTCCAGCTGCAGCTGCAGCCGGGGCCCTGAGTGCCTGCTCTCCAGCAGCTGGGAATGCCTGCATTTTTGGGAATCCAACAGACCAAGGCCCCATTTTTTTCTATCACCAGTAGGCACTTTCCCCAGAAGTCCTGCCAAAGCTGCCTCCAAGGCCCTGACAGTGTCGCGCAGGCCCCGGAGAAACAACTGAACAAGATTAAGACCAATAAAACAGATTTCACTTCCAAAAGATGGCCAAATGCTCCCGATATGGCAGAAATTGGAAGCATCAAGACTTAGAAAATTGTGTCTTAGAAAATACCCCATCATCACTGGAGTGCTGTTGAATTTCCTTTTACTATCATTTTGAAACTGGAAAAAGGCCCCAGGCCCCAGGCTGGAGGTCAGGAAGAGCAGAGCTGTGGCAAGCCTGGAACCCGAGGCCACTGGGCCAGCTGCTTTCAAGGCCATGTGTGCAGGGGAACGGCACAGAGCTGTCTGATTCTGGAATCGTCCGTCTGGAGACTGAGCTAGGCGTGCCTGTTGGTGGCACTGGCTAATTGCTCTCGTGTTTTCTTTCAATAAATAGCACCCTTGTTCAGATCCTCTGAGCTCCTATTAAGGAAGCAGGAAAATGGTCAAGATCCCTGCCCTCTGGGGCTGGCATTTTACTGCGGGAAGCAGGTAATAAAGAATAGATATGGCCAGGCACGGTGGCTCACGTCTGTAATCCCAGCACTTTGGGAGGCCGAGACAGATGGATCACCTGAGGTCGGGAGTTCAAGACCAGCCTGGCCAACATGGTGAAATCCCATCTCTACTAAAAATACAAAAAAAAAGTAGCCAGGTGTGGTCATGCACACCTGTAATCCCAGCTACTAAGGAGGCTGAGGCAGAAGAATCTCTTGAACCCGGGAAGTGGAGGTTGCAGTGAGCTGAGATCACACCACTGCACTCCAGCCTGGGCAACAGAGCAAGACTCCGTCTCAAAAAAAAAAAAAAAAAAAAAAGAGGGAGGTGGCAGGAGGATCAGGTCAGAAGAGAAGTGATGACAGAATCAGAGGTTGGAATGTGCACTTTGAAGATGAGGAAGGAGCCATGAGCTAAAGAATTCAGGAAGTTTCTACATGCTGGACAAGGTCAGGGAATAGAGCCTCTCACAGCACGCCAGAAGGAATGCAGCCCTGTGGACGACTTGATTTTAGCCCGGTGAGATGCATTTTGGACTTCTGGCCTCCAGAACTGTGAGATAATGAATGTACATTGTTTTAAGCACTCGGTTTGTGATCATCTGTTACAGCAGCAACACGAAGCGATCACAGGGATTTAGCCAAGCTGAGGGGGAAAGTGTCCCAGGCACGGCCACAGCAGGTGCGAAGGCCCTGGGGCAGGGAGCATATTTGGAAGGCTCCAGGAACAGTGAGGAGGCGGGGGTGGCTGGGGCAGTGTGCATGAGAGGAGGAGATGAGAGAGGGAATGGGGTGGTGTGTGTGGTGACAGAGACCTTGGAAAAAGCTCTGGCTTTTGCTTGGAGAGAAACAGGAAGGCCCTGCAGTTCTCATCAGAGCTGTCAGCAAGTCGAGTGGAAAGGACCTCCTTGGGACACATTCTTTCCCAGCTCCCACACTAACCAGCATAACATCGGGGATGTCACTGTGCTACAGCATCAGCTCTGAGGGCAGGGGACTTTGTTTTGTTTACTACTCAAGACACGGAACCTAATCACATCTGCAAAGACCTTTTTTCCCAATAAAGTCGCATTCACAGGTTCTGGGTGGACACATTTTTGGGAGAACCACCATTCGGCTTAGTCCACCCCTCTGACCTGTTCACAGCCCGGGGTCTCAGGAAAGAGACCTGCCTCCAAAATATGACGCCTGGACCCACAGGCATGCGTGATCAGTTACAAGCTCTTCTCTTTGGCTCCGGATTAGAGACTTCCTTTTCCCAAGCTCTTTCTCCTGTGTCCAGTCTTGTGTGTTGACTGCCCTCTGGAGCTGACATATCTGGAAGTGGAGTGATGATAGAGAGAGCATCCCAGATAAAATGAGGATGGCAGCTCCTTGGGGACTCAACACCCACAGCAGGGCCCCCGCCATTCCAGTCCTCCCTGGGCAAAAGAAACCTCGCCTTTCACTTTCTGTCCCTCCTGATAACGTGCCCCGCAACCTTCACCGGTGGGCAGGTCTATCCTTGCCTTTTTCTCTCCCTTCTTCTCCCATCTTTCTTTCTCTTGCTTCACTCTTTCAGTTTCCAGGAACTATCACTCACTAAACCATCAATACATCCCATTTTGCCTGGGGCAGCCCAGGTTTACATGGGTTGTCCCAGTGTGATTAGAAACAGCAGTCTTTTCACTCGAGATGCCCCAGTTTGGACAATAAGTTCTATGGTCCTGCTGCACAGGAATACCCTTTTTGAGCCAGAGTTCATCAAACTTGAATAATGTGCTGGACTCCATGGCGAGGCATTAAAATTCCTACAAAGACACCTCAAGCTGTTTATTTAAACTATGCATCAGAGAATGTGATTTACAACACAAAAACCTGAAACCAGGTATAAAGTCGCCATCCAATCTTCCAGCTGTTCAAGTCAAATGTTTTCAAGCCATCCCCAATTTCTCTCTGTCATTTGTATCACACGTGCCATTTGTCAGCAAATCCTATTGGTTCTGCTTTCCGGACGCCTCCAGAATGCAACCCCTGCTGTCCACCCCCGGCAAGGCCACTGGCATCTCAGGCTGAACCATTGCAGGGCTTTAAACAGAAGAGTGACATGCTCCAGCTTGTATTTTAACATGCGACATGATCCTTTTAAAGCATTCACCTGTTCCTGTCACTCTTCTGCACAAAACTCTGCCAGGGCTCACATCTCACTTATTGCAAAAGCTTAAGTTCTCACAATGGTCCAGGAGGCCCTGTGTGATCCCCCATCTCCTCCCAGTTGCTCGGCTGGCTGCCCTTCCTAATGGTGTCCTCGTTCCCTCCACTCCCACCTCCTGGCGGTGCTGCTGGTCCTCACGCACGCCACCCACACCCACCACTCCTTGTCTTGGCCTTTCTAAGGCCATGCAGATGTCCCTCCCAGAGAGGGCCCTCCTGGCCCCCATCTGAGATGGTGCACACAACCCTCCCCAGTACCCCATAACCCCCACTCCCTTGATCTCTTTCTCCAAAGCTCTGATCCCCACTCATCTTCCTATGTGTTTTATTTGCTGACCTTATAGATCTCCCATCTGCTCCCACTAGAATCTCGGCTTCGAGGGGACAAGGATTTGGGTCTACTTTGTTCACTGCTGTGTCATGAGCTACTAAAACATATCTGGCACATAGTAGGTGCTCAACAAATATCTACTGAATGAATGAATGAGTATGCTTAGACTTCTTAAACAATTATCCATCTAAAACCAACTTATAAATAACACAAAGCTACATTTTTTTTTAATTTATAAAAAGAATTACTTGTTTTTACCACTACATACCACTACGCAATGGCTAAAATCTGAAACACACCAAACGTTGCAAGGACGTGGAGCAGCAGGAACCCTCATTGCTGCTGGTGGGAATGCAAAATGGTGCAGCCACTTTGGAAGGCAGTTTGACGGCATCTTCCAAAGATAATTATAATCTTACCATACAATCCAAAAATCATATTCCTAGGAATTTGTCAAACTGATCTGAAAGCTTATGTCTACACAGAAACCTGCATATAGGCTGGGTGCGGTGGCTCACGCCTATAATCCCAGCACTTTGGGAGGCTGAGGCGGGCAGGTCACCTGAGGTCGGGAGTTTGAGACCAGCCTGGCCGGTTGGTGCAACCCTGTCTCTACTAAAATACAAAAATTAGCCGGGCGTGGTGGTGAGTGCCTGTAATCCCAGCTACACGGGGGGCTGAAGCAGGAGAATCACTTGAACCCGGGAGGCAGAGGTTGCAGTGAGCCGAGATGGCGCCACTGCACTCCAGCCTGAGCGATGGAGCGAGACTCTGCCTCAAAAAATAAAAAATAAAAACCCTACACACAAATGTTTATGGCACCTTTATTCATAAATGCTAAAACCTGGGAGTAACCAAGATATCCTTCAAGAGCTGAACGCATAAACTGATACGCCCATGCAATGGAATATTATTCAGTGATAAAAGCAATGAGCTGTCAAGGCACGGATGGACCTAGAAGAACCTTAAATGCATATTGCCAAGTGAAAGAAGCCAATCTGAAAAGACTCCGTATGATTCCAGCTATATGACATTCTGGAAAAGGCAAAACTATAGAGACAGAAAAAGATGAATGGCTGCCAGGGGTTTAGGGTGATAGAGGGATGAGTGGGCGGAGCACAGAGGATTTTCAGAGCCGTGAAACTGCTCTATGTGATACTGTCATGGGGGCTCCGGGACTATGCGTTTGTCAAAACCCATTGTATGCAGAAAGCAAACAGTGAGGGAACCCTAATGTAAGCTATGAACTTCGATTAGTAACACAGGAGTTCCCCCTTATCCGCAGTTCTGCTTTCCGTGGTTCATTACCCACCATCAACAGCAGCCTGAAAATATTAAATGGAAAATTTCAGAAATCAACAATTTGCAAGTTTTCAACCGCGCACCCTGCTGCACAGTGTCATGAAATCTCGTGCCATCCTGCCCAGGACATGAGCCTTCGCCGTGTCCAGCATATCCACACTGTAGACACTACCCACCTGTCAGTCACTTAGTCGCTGCCTCAGTTATCAGATGGAAAAAACATACGATATATGGGGCTTGGTGGCATCCACAGTTTCAGGCATCCACTGGGTGTCTTGGAACATGTCCCCTGAGGATAACAGGGGACCACTGTAATGTATAAATAGTGGCTCACTCATTGTAACAAATGTCCCGTGCCAAATGCAAGATGTCAATAATGGGGAAACTGTTGGGGGAAGGTACAGGGGAATTTCTACACCATTTTGTCAATAAATTTTTTTTTTTCCTGAGATGGAGTTTTGCTCTTGTTGCCCAGGCTAGAGTACAATGGCGCGATCTCAGCTCACTGCAACCTCAGCCTCCCAAGTAGCTGGGATTACAGGCATGCGCCACCACACCCGGCTAATTTTGTATTTTTAGTAGAGACGGGGTTTCTCCATGTTGGTCAGGCTGGTCTCAAACTCCCAACCTCAGGTGATCTGCCCACCTTGGCCTCCCAAAGTTGTGGGATTACAGGCATGAGCCACCGTGCCTGGCCAAAATTTTTTTTAAATTTAAAAAACAGTGATATAATGTGGTAGTTGATGCCATTGTCCTGGAATGGAGTCACTTCTCACAGCTCAAATAAGGTGCTGGCCTCTGGACCCCACTGTGGGGAGCTAAGTCCACCAGAGGAGTAGGAAACCACATTGGCACCATGTGCCACAGCCATTCAGGCCTCACTGGGCAGGGATGGCCATTGGCACAGTAAGTCAACCTCTGTTCTTTGCTTAACATCCAGAGCAATTAAAGTAGTGGTAGTTGGTTCAAATATCATCATAAATGAAAAGGCAGTCGTGGACACCAAAGTCACATGTCCTCGGTTACAAAGCACTCAACCAAGTGATTGGGAATATTGTCATTGTGAGGTAGAGTGTCTCCAAAGACAGCTGCCATCAACGCCTCCCCCACAAGATGTGTGCAGCACTCCCCATCTGGGCGGGCCTGGGACTGGTTTTGACCAATAAAACTGGCAGAAGTGAGGCTGTGTGAATTCCGGGCCTGGCCTTTGAGAGGACTGGCAGCTTCCATGTCCCTTCTCTTGGAGGCAGCCACCATGTGAGAAGTTTGAGCTACTCTGAGAACACAGTGCTACAACAAAGCCTAAGGTAGCAATAAGGAGAGAGAGATGACCGTCCAGGTCCCAACTTGCCATTCATCCCAGCTAAAGGGCCAGCTGCCATCTTGGACATTCTAGACACAGCATACACCACGGGGAACAGAAGAGCCATACAGCTGAGCCCACGATGGTGAGAAATAGACATTGTTGGGTTTTAAGTCACAAGAGAGAACTGAAACTCACTGAAATGGAGACGAGATTAAAACATTCTCAGAGAGAGCTTTCAGACTCTCTAACACAGGGGTCCCCAACCCCTGGGCCACAGATGGGTATCAGTCCTATTAGGAACCAGGCCACACAGCAAGAGGTAAGCTGCAGGTGAGCAAGCAAAGCTTAGCTCCACCTCCTGTCGGATCAGCAGCAGCGTGAGGTTCTCATAGGAGTGAGAACCCTATTGTGAACTGCACAAGCGAAGGATCTAGGTTCTGTGCTCCTTATGAGAATCTAATGCCTGATGGTCTGTCACTGTCTCTTGTCGCCCCCAGATGGGACCATCTAGTTGCGGGGATACAAGCTCAGGACTCCCACTGATTCTACATTATAATGGGTATGTAATAATAATAGAAATAAGTGCACAGCACATGTAATGCACTTAAATCATGCCGAAACCATTCCTGCGCCCTCCAGCCCAGTCTGTGAAAAAATTGTCTTCCACAAAACCGGTCCCTGGTGCTAAAAAGGTTGGGGACCACTGCTCTAACATATAGTCATGTTCCCCAGGTTGAGGGACATTTATTTAGAAGATAGTGCAGCTGTCCCTAGCCTCCCATTCCTAACCATCCCATCTGTTGGGGTCATACTCACCTGCTCTGTGGCTTTACTCACCTTTCCTAAGCTGCATTCCCCCAACAAATCCACAGCACTCTACCCAAGGCCAAACCTCATTCTCTCCCCCAACTTGTCTAGAGAACGAGGCAACTCCCAAATCCTCCCTCCCTCACCACCATTGCTTCGCTGGTACAAAATTCCTTAGTTCAACAGATGTTTCAAATAACTGAAAACTAATCTGGTCCTTTTACATAGGATTTCCTCATATGAGAAAGGAAGTATTTAGGCTGTATGTGTTGGGGCAGGGGAAACAACAGAAATTTTTTTGCCTTTTGTTTTATTCTTTAGGCATGTTTTTTATTTCTACCTTTTTTTCCTTAATAACATGGAAGTTAGGCCAGGCGCGGTGGCTCACGCCTGTAATCCCAGCAGTTTGGGAGGCCGAGGCAGGTGAATCACCTGAGGTGGGAAGTTCAAGACCAGCCTGACCAACATGGTGTAACCCTGTCTCTGCTAAAAATACAAAATTAGCCAGGCGTGGTGGTGCATGCCTGTAATCCCAGCTACTTGGGCGGCTGAGGCAGGAGAATTGCTTGAACCCAGGAGGCGGCGGTTGTGGTGAGCCAAGATAGCACCATTGCACCCCAGCCTGGGCAACAAGAGCGAAACTCCATCTCACAACAACAACAACAACAAAAACATGGAACTTTGTGAAATGTGTTGAGACCCTGAGAAGTGACTTGCACAACGTCACGCAGCAGAAATGAGAACCCCGCTTGGCAGCCTCCCAGTGCTTACTTGCTCCATAATTCATGAAAGAGGCATCTGCAGAACATAACCCTTTCCCAGCTTTCAGCGAAGCTGCAGCTCCGAGAGGAGCCAGACACGTGGCCAGCCAGTCCCATGAGATGTGAATGCTGTAATGGAGGAGTGGGGGCAGGTCGTGGAAGCAGAGAAGTGTTGGCTTGGCATTGCAGGAGGAGAGGATGCTCCTGCTGAGTTTTGAAGGCTGTTGTTCTGGAGAAAAATGTGGTAGAATTTAACCTGGGAAGTGGCCATGTTGACAGGCAGAGAAGGGGAAGGGACTCCCAGAAGAGAGGACTGTGTGACAAACACCAAGGCCAGGAGGAGTGTGGTACATTTGGGAAACCAAAAGGAGGCCAATATGGTTGGCTTCAGGGTGGCTGTGCCTTTATGGGAAGCCAGGAACCTTGGAGATTGTCCTGCCAGGAATGTGAAACCATGGAATGATGTAGAGTTAACAGCATCCATTTGGGGGTCTAGAAAGATCACTCCATATGAATCAGAACTGAGGCAGGAAGACCTCTTAGGATGCCTTGGCTGTTGTTCTGGAGAAAAACATGGAAGAATTCAACTTGGGAAGTGGTCATGTTGACAGATAGGGGAGTCAGGGTGCTGGGGACACTTCAGAGAAGAGTTAATTGGTGGCCTGTGACAGCTGGTGAAAGACTGGGTGTAGGATTTTTGGATTTGGGATCTGCATGTCTAGGGATGCTGTTTGCTAAGAAATGGGAATGTGAGAACATTTTTGAGGGTGAGATGTGGAATTTACAATGTCTCCCGGCACCCAAGTGGAGATGCCTAGCCCACCCTGGAGAGTGTGTCCAGGCTGGGAAGTGAAGCTGGAGCCATCATCACAGGAGGGAGCAGATGTGTGGGCTGCACACGGTTGCTCAAGGAGAATATGAAGAGGGGATAGAAATAGATTATGGTCGGGAGATAGCATCATTTAAGAAGCAAGTGAAGGAAGAAGCCAAAGACAAGTCAAGGTGAGGTAGGAAACCAGCAGGACTTATTTTCTGGTCACAACCCTGTTGACTGAGACAGAATCTGGTTCAGACAGAATAAAGTAAAGAAACAGGCAGGAACAAGCGGATGGCTATGAAAGTGATCCCTGGCTGCCCTCAGTGCTCATTAACCTAGGACACTCCCACCAGCCCCGTAACAGTTTACAAATGCCATGGCGACGACCCAGAAGTTATCACTCCTTTCCATGACAATGACCCGGAAGTTACTGCTCCTTTCTAGAAAGTTCTAAATAATCTACCCCTCAATTTGCATTAACCTGCCCCTTAATTTGCATGTTATTGAAAGTGGGTATAAACACAGTTTCCAGGAGCCCATAGGCTGCTGATTCTGGGCACACTACCTATGAGTTAGCCCTGCTCCACAAGGAGAAATACCATTGAATAAAATATTGCTGTCTAACACCACCAGATCGCCCTTCAATTCTTTCCTGGGCAAAGCCAAGAATCCTCCCAGGCTAAGCCCCAGTTTTGGTGCTCACCTGTCCTGCAACAAATGGTCTTAAATTTTAATATCAAAATAAAACCATAAAAGTGTGGAGAGAAAAATACAGGGAAAAAATATACGTGATTTTGTAGTGGGGACTATTAGGTCTAATTTCTTGCCAGTCAATAACAATTGAATATTAGCAATTTCAACCTAATACATATCTAAATGTCACCAAAGGCAGAAAATATAATAAATGGTATTTGGGTTTTTAAAAAGTATACATATATATGTTTTTTAAAGTATATACAAGATTACAATGGGAAAATTTTTACAACATATATATATACCAAGGGTTCATAATTTAATATATAAAGAACTTCCAAAAATAAATTAAAGACAAACACTCCCTCAAACAAAGTGAGCAGGGAATGTGGACTGGTGTATTAGTTACCTACTGCTGCGTAACAAGTTATCCCAAAACTCAGCAGCTTAAACAACAAACATGTATTATCTCACACTGTCTGAAGGTCAGGAATCCAGGAGCAGCTTAACTAGGGAGGGTCTAATTCAGGGTGCCTCATGCAGTCAGGAGGTAACCTAGGGTTGTGGCCACTAAAAGGCCTGCCTGGGCCTCCAAGGTCACACCTTCTGCTGTTAGTGAGAGCCTCAGCTCCTCCCTGGTTGTTGGCTGGAGATCTCAGTCTCTCACCATGTGGACCTCTCCACATGGCAACTCACTTCCTCCAGGGCAAATGACAGAGAGAGACAGAGACAGAGACAGAGAGAGAGTTAGTTCACTGCCCACTGCCTCGTCTCCAAAGTCACACACAGGCACTTCCACTTAACTTCATTCATTAGAACCTGGCCGTTAAATCCAACCCACACTCCTTTCTTTGAAGGGAAGAGTATCAAAGAATGTGTGCAGGCATTTTTAAAACCCAAAGGGAAATTTTAAAACACAATGGGAACTTTACAAAAGATGAAATATACAATACAAATAAGCATGAAAAACAGCCCCCCTCTGCTTTCAGGGGAAATTAATTACTCCCAGGTCCACAGCACATGGAGTTTTCTCCAGCCTGCCTGTCTTCAGCAGGGCTGTTCCCTCTGCCTGCCGCGCCCCTCCCCTCCCCATCTGGCCTCCTCTTGCAACGGCCCCCTTGTCTCCTGGGAAAAGACTCCCTCCAGCCATCATGCTTAGGCCGCATGAGCCTCCTCTTATTCCTGTTATCTCATTCGTCATGCTGTATTGTAATCACCTCTCTCATTAGCCATCAAGCTCTCTCAACTCAGGGTCCATGACTTCATCATCATTTTACTTCTAGTGCCTGGCATATAGTAGACAAATAACTAGGTCTCACGTGATAAATGGTCTACCAGGTACTTTTAGGGAACACAGAACCCATGTTTCCTGGGTCTGAAAAGAGAAGTCACGAAGACTGGGCTTCACTTCCCAGCCCTCTTGGAATGCAATCCCTCCGAGTGAGGGATTTCTCCTCGCATAGACACGATCGCCTTGCAGACTCTGCAAACCTGGCTCCTCCAGTTCTCTACAGCATGGAGGCTCCACAGTGAGGCTTATTCACCCGGACACACAATTCACATCTGTTCCTAACAACGGGCATCAAGTTGGCAGCTCAGCCCTGCCATGGGCCACAGTGATAACCCCTGCTGTGTTTCACCAAATAAACTCTGGAACTCTGGAACCCAGAGACCCACCGAGCTGGGACACCCTACCTGAGCCGCAGACACCTCTCCGCAAGCAGACAACTCGTCCAAGGACTTTCCCACATGGCAGCAAGCCTGTCAGCTTCTGCTCGTCAGCATGTGTCTTGCTCTCCAGCCCTAAGTGCTCTTCAAGGACAAAAAAACCTCTGCAAACACAATCACCTCGTGCAACACTGTGGTCCGTGAAGACTCTCACCAAGTGCGGCCTGGAAAGGAGAAAAGGTGATGAGGACAAGGTGAGCT
Organism: Homo sapiens; assembly: GCF_000001405.40. Lineage (NCBI taxonomy): Eukaryota > Metazoa > Chordata > Mammalia > Primates > Hominidae > Homo > Homo sapiens. The sequence continues at coordinate 124,149,557 of NC_000012.12, read as the reverse complement.
CAGGCAGCTGCTTTGTCAGTGACTTTTGAGCACCTCATAAGTATCAGTCAGCAGTGGCCACAGTGATGCTGAGTAACAAACGTATGGGTGGACACACAGCCACTGCTGAGACCGGGGGTCCCAAAGCCAAGTGCTGGACCTGTGGCTTGTTGCTTCAACCCTGGGAGGCCCACGGAGTTCTGGATGTTTGGGGGGTGCACTCATAAGCAGAAAATCCAAGCCTCTAGTCTGGCTCCCCTGGTTCTGGCTGTTACCCCATTACAGCTTCCGGACTTCAGCAGAGAAGAGCGAATTCTTTCCTCTCCCCTTACACTCTCTGGCTCAGGAAGCAGTGGAAAGATGTAGGGGTCCCAGAACCTCCCTCAACTGGTCCAGTATTCCTGCGACTGCCGACCAGACATAAACTCACCAAGTTTTTTACAAGCTTGTCCCTTCCTGGTGAGAAGCTCCCCAGATATAACAACAGAAACAGACCTATCAGGTTCTGCCAGGAAGAAAGAGCCATGCGTAAGTCAGACCTTGTGGCTCCTTCAAACACTCGGAGGCAACATTAATCTGGATTCTTGGATGAAAGGTCTAGCTTGCCTTGCCAGTTCATTTGTAAACTGGACAGCCAGAAAGCACCTCCGAGCGTGGAGACCCACTGCTCCACTGAAGCTTTTAGGGCGGCAAGGCCTTCTTCAGTAGTCTTTCTGTCTTTCTTTCAGCTGCAAATTCAGCAGCAGCATTTAATAAGAAAAACAGAAGCCACAGGAAAAAGGGAGCTCCGGAAACAACATACGGTGCAAAACCCTTTAAGTTTCAGCTGCTCCCAGTTAGAGGACACTCAACTGCTCCAGGCAAGAGCCCGACAAGGGGCCAGTTGACCAGGGAATTAATGAGCAACAGGAACACGACTCCCTTGGGAATGTTCTCTGCAAACCAGGGACATAGACGGCTCCAGGGACCAGCTGCCCCTCTCTCCCCTACATTGGCCTCTTTTTCTTCCTGTCCTTATTTCCTCCTGCCCACTCCCCTCCTCTTCTCACTGTTGCTTCCTCCTGTCCCATTATTTCCTTCTTCTCCTTTGTCAGTTCTTTAGTCCTCTTAGGGGACATCCCTCAAGCATTGCAGACTGTGTGCCATTTAAGGCCAAATACATCCCTGTCTAAGACAAAGAGAAGAATAATTAGTTACAACGGGCTGGGCATGATGGCTCATGCCTGTAATCCCAGCACTTTCGGAGGCCAAGGTGGGTGGATCACCTGAGGTCAGAAGTTCGAGACCAGCCTGGCCAACATGGTAAAACTCCGTCTCTAGTAAAAATTTAAAAAATTAGCCAGGCATGGTGGTGGGTGCCTATAATAATCCCAGCTACTCGAGAGGCTGAGGCACAAGAATCGCTTGAACCTGGGAGGCGGGGGTTGCAGTGAGCTGAGATCGTGCCATTGCACCGCAGCCTGAGCAACAAGAGCCAAACTCCATCTCAAAACAAAACAAAACAAACAAAAAAAGTAATTATAACAGCAGCCACATTTGCTGAGTGTTTATTACGTGCTAGGCACTGTTCTAAGCGTTTTGCAGTCACTAGGTCACTCCTCCAAAATGGCCTACAGATGCAAACTTCCCCTAATGCTATCCCCATTTAACACATGAGGCAGAGGGAGAGAGCAGCCTCATTCAGATGAGAAGCTTTGAAGAAAAGAGACTGAGTGCTTCCTGTTCCACCGTTTCTGTAAGGGGCCCTCTCGAAACTCCCCACGGGATTGTTGTAAAGATTCTCATTTCCTTCAGAGGCTGGTGAAGGCGTGTGCTATCATGATGTGGACCTAAAAAGGAAGCAGCATCTCTCGTTTTATAGGCACAGGCCAATGAGGCAGGCAGCAATGGGTTAATAAGCACAGGATTCTCCCTAGACTCAGCTGGCTGACCAGCTGTCCCACCCTTTTCTCGTAGCTGCATGAAATGGAGCATCAAGCATTCTAACAGTCAGGATCTGCTTGGTTGCAAATAATAAACACAACAAAAGGTGCTTCAATGATAAAGACATTTATCCTCTCCCTTTACAAGGCATTCAGAGGTAGGGCAGCTCGAGGGGTGGTTAATTCTGCAGCTCAATTATGACATCGAGGACTCCAGTTCTTTCTGTCTTCACTGCCATCTTCATGTCTCTCTTCACAGCATCAACACAGCTGCCACAGCTCCAGGCAAACATCCACATGCAACATCCCAAGGTGAGAAGGCGGCCATCTCTTCCTTGTATCTCTTTCTAGGAGCTAAGAACCATTTCCCAGAAGCCCCCAGCCAACTTCTCCTGACATCTCATTGGCTGCAACTGGGTCACATGTTCCTACCTAAGCCAAAAACAGGCAAACAGAGTGGGACCATATGTTTGCTTTGGAAACTAAAAATAACATCCTAAGCACCCCCAACCAATTGAGCAGACCCACTCTGGGCCAAGGGAAACCTGAAAAAATGAATTCCCAACCATGACAGGAAGGGAGGTCAGATACACCTCATTATTCCCCCTCCGTGTTGGAGTTTAGGCACAGCTGACCAGCATTAACATTAAAATAGAGATCATAGGCCGGACGCAGTGGCTCATGCCTGTAATCCCAGCACTTTGGGAGGCCGAGGCAGGTGGATCACAAAGTCAGGAGTTCGAGACCAGCCTGACCAACATGGTGAAACCCCATCTATACTAAAAATATAAAATTAGCCAGGCATGGTGGCATGCACCTGTAATCCCAGCTACTCAGGAAGCTGAGGCAGGAGGATCACTTGAACCCAGGAGGTGGAGGTTGCAGTGAGCTGAGATCGCGCCACTGCATTCCAGCCTGGGCAACAGAGCGAGATTCTGTCTCAATAAAATAAAATAAAATAAAATAAAATAAAATAAAAATAATGAAATAGGGATCATAAAGTTGACAGAAGACTTCATTGTGGCCATAAGATACCAAATTCTAACCTGACTCTAATATAACATCACGTGACAGATAGCAGACCCTGAGGGAAATCAAAATTGTTTACCCCAAAATCTATTTCTTGACATATTTTGAAATGACCCTTCAAAGTCGTCTTTTTTTTTTTTTTTTTTTTTTTTTTGAGACAGACTCTTGCTCTGTTGCCCAGGCTGCAGTGCAGTGGCACGATCTCAGGTCACTGCAACCTCCACCTCCTGAGTTCAAGTGATTTTCCTGCCTCAGCCTCCCAAGTAGCTGGGACTATAGGTGCCCACCACCACAACCCGCTAATTTTTTTGCATTTTTTAGTAGAGACAGGGTTTCACCATCTTGGTCACGATGGTCTCAAACTCCTGACCTCGTGATCCACCCACCTCGGCCTCCCAAAGTGCTGGGATTACAGGCGTGAGCCACCGCGCGCCCAGCCCCAAAGTTGTCTTTTGTGGGAGAAATTTGCAACTGAAGGGAATCTTCTTCCTTTTCTAGGTCTCACCCAGATGTAGAAGAGATTAAATGACAGTTTGACACCTTTAAGGTCTGAAAAGAGATATTTACCGTATTCTCCCTAAGGCTGCATCTGGAGGTTTCATCTACATAACAAGAACCTTGGCTTCTGCAACCCCTCTTATCTTAACTCAAGCATTTACCTCAAGTCTGCAGACAAAGCTTAACTTTTTCAACCAATTGCCAGTCAGAAAATCTTTTAATCCACCTGTGACCTGTAACCAGCCTCCCCCCCACTTTGAGATTCCCACCTTTTTGGGGCAAATAAATATATACCTTCCACGTATTGACTTATGTCTTTGCCTGTAACTTCTGTCTCCCTAAAATGTATAAGACGAAGCTACAACCTGTCCGCGTAGGACACATTTTCTCAGGATCTCGAGACTGTTCCTCAGGCCATGGTCACTCATACTAGCTCAGAATAAACCTCTTTAAACATTTTACTGTTTGGCTTTTTTGTCAACAATTTCAACCAATCCAAATTTGAAACAAAGGGTCAAGAAAACCACTATCTCTCCAGGAAATGGTTCCATGCTCTTTTCTTCCTGGCATCTTTACACACCAGTTATCTTCATTGCCTCCATGCACGGCCATTAACTGGATTACTGGGGATTCCTAAACAAGGAATATAAAATCAAATTTAAAATATAAATAAAAATATAAAATTAGCTGGGCATGGTGGCATGCGCCTGTAATTCCAGCTACTCAGGAAGCTGAGGCAGGAGGATCACTTGAACCCAGGAGGTAGAGGTTGCGGTGAGCCGAGATCGCGCCACTGCACTCCAGCCTGGGCAACAAGAGCAAAACTCTGTCTCGAAAAAAAAAAAAAAAGAAGGAAAGAAACAGCCTCTTACGTGATCTTTGCTGCCTGCCACCACCATCCATGCCTAGTAAAATATTCCAATGCTAGGAAGATGCTTGGAATGTCACGGAGGTGGGAATCGCTTTAAAGCAAGCAAATATTGTTAGACTCCTGGCTCTGCCACTTACTTGGTAGAGTAAGTAAGACATGGGAGAAGGGAACATGACTGTTAGATGGAAAACCAACATCTTCTGCCTTTATCAGCTTCTTTCTTGACACATTCTCACCTAAGAGTTGTCATCACACCAACAAAGAGTCCTCACACCAACAAGTTCACACTCAGCTTCTTTGCCGGCTAGGGAAACTACCTGTTCTAAATGCAAAACATGTGAAATTCATCTTTTCCCAGCCCTTTGGTCTTTCGCCTTGACAGACAAAGCTTTGCCTTGCCAGTCTGTGTCTGATCGAGTGCCAATAATGATAAGGTTAAGACAAAAAAGGGCCCAAATTCCTGGCTCGATTCAATTCAGAGATAACCACGTGCAGACGTTCTGGGTGTTTCTGTAACAAATTTTGAATTCAGCCTGTGTTTAGAAAAGACTGGTGTCACATATAAGCAGTATGGGGTCACACAAAGTTTAGCCTGATTCAGAAGTGGGTCTGAAAGAGAGAGGGAGAGAGCCAGAAAGATGACAGAGAGAAAGATCCAGAGAGATGAGCAAGAACTCAAGCCAGTCTTTTGTCTTCTTCCCCTTGCAAAAATACGGCTACATTGCTCCAAAAAAGGACAGTTGAACTCTCAAGACACAGAACACCTCAAATAATTCCCAAATATCTAACAACATCACCCTGTAATCAGTCCTACATCCTAGACTGCAAAATCACGTTTGCAAAATCTCCTGGCTAGCCCTGAATCAGTATGCACAGAGCCTAACACCAAACCTACCATTGTTTTAAAAAATCAGAGGCCAGGCGCTGTGGCTCATGCCTGTAATCCCAGCACTTTGGGAGGCCGAGGCGGGTGGATCACCTGAGGTCAGGAGTTCAAGATCAGCCTGACCAACATGGAGAAACCCCGTCTCTACTAAAAATACAAAATTAGCTGGGCATAGTGGCACACACCTGTAATCCCAGCTATTCAGGAGGCTGAGGCAGGAGAATCGCCTGAAAGCGGGAGGCAGAGGTTGCGGTGAGCTGAGATCGCACCATTGCACTCCAGCCCAGGCAAGCAAAACTCTGTCTCAAAAAAAAAAAAAATTCAGAATAAGAAAAGTCCCCTCTGTGATAGGCTGTCACCCTGTGCCGAGCATCTGACTCAGTATCCTCTATTCCTCACCTCACTGGCCCCTCCCAGGAATGCTGGGAGGTGGGTGTTATCTTTAGTGTTTGGTTTGCAAATACCCATTAACAGCTTGGAGAAGTTGTTCACTGACTCACCTGAGGCTACTACCTAGCAAGTAAGTGGCCGAGCCCGGAGTTTCACTTAAGCCTAACAATAATTATTTGCTTGCTTTTAAGCTATTCCCACCTCTGTGACATTCCAAGCATCTTCCTAGCACTGCAACACTCCATTAGGCATGGATGAAATACTTTATTAGGCACTGGAAGTAGGCACTTTATTAGCACTGGAATACTTTATTAGGCATGGATGGTGGTGGCAGGCAGCAGAGATCATATATGAGGCTGGTTCACGGCATCGTCATCATTATTTAGGAATCCCCAGTAATCCAGTTAATGGCCGTGCATGGAAGCAATGCAGAGAATTGGTGTGTAAAGATGCCAGGAAGAAAAGAGCATGGAAACGTTTCCTGGGGAGACAGTGGTCCTCTTGACCCTTTGTTTCAAAAATCACTCACTCCTCTAAAAGATGTGTACATAAAGGTTTATAGCAGCTTTATTCATAAAAGCCAAAAGGTAGAAACAACTCAAATGCCCATCAATGGATAAATGGTTAGGCCTGGTGCGGTGGCTCACGCGTGTAATCCCAGTGCTTTGGGAGGCCAAGCAGGGCAGGATTACTTGAGGCCAGGAGTTTGAGACCAGGCTGGGCAACATCGTGAGACCTCATTTCCACGAAAACATTTTTTTAAAAGGATACGTGGGTAAACAAAATGTGATCAATGTGATCTCTGCAGAGTGGACTATGATTCAGCTATCAAAATGAATGAAGCACTAATGTTACCGTCTTGCCAATGCACCGCAATGTAGCAGTCTGTCGTTGTTTGAGGTATCATCTGCAGTTCTTTGTCTTGTGAAAATTAAGGAATGTGGACACCAAGGGTGACATTCATGCTAAAGTTTAATAAGCAAAAGAGGAAAGCTCTCTGCTGCAGACAGCAGGCCTGAAAGAGGGTTGCCGTTTTTACAGTAGACTGCAAAGTCTACTTTTTTTTTATACAAAACCGATGAGGGCTGGGTGCCTCCTTTGCATAAGGCATGAATTCCTGGCAGCTCCACCCTGTCCTCCTAATGCGCACGCAGGCCCTTAGCTTGAGTTACTCCATATTGCTTCGCTCCCCTTACTGCACATGTGTCAGGGGATGGAATTTTCCACTGTGGGCCTGTCTGGGCAAGTCACCTGTGTAATCTTATCTGTGCAGCTGTGGGCATCTTAGGCAAGTCCCCCTGTGCAAGTTCCCTCATCTGTGCCTGCAGCTTGATTTTTCAGGCTGTTCTTTGGTTTGAAAGAATTCAACCGAGGACCCACCCTAACTGCCTGCCTGACTGGTTCCTTTTTCTCCTCTCTCACTGACACAGGCTACAACATGGATGAACCTCAAAAACGATGCAGAGTAAAAGCAGCCAGACATAAAAGGCCACGTAGTGCCTGACTCCATTCATGTGAAATATCCAGAATAGGTAAATCCATAGAGACAGAAAGCAAATTGGTGGTTGCCATGGGCTGGGAAGAGGGGGGATGGGGAGTGACTGCTCAATGGATATGGGGTTTCCCTTTGGGGTGATGAAAATGTTCTGGAACTAGGTACAGGTGGTGGTTACAACATTGTAACTGTCCTAAATGTCATTGAATTGTCCACTTTAAAATGGTTAGTTTTATGTGATGTGAATTTCAGCTCAATTTGAAAAAAAAAAAAAAGAAGAAAAGAGAAAGTGACTTTCCAGCTTTATAATATGAAAGGAAAATCTTGGGCCCCCAAAATCACTAAGCTAAAGGGAAAAGTCAAGCTGGAAACTGCTCAGGGCAAACCTGCCTCCCATTCTATCCAAAGTCACCCGTCTGCTCACTGAGATAGATGCATATCTGATTGCCTCCTTTGGAAAGGCTCATTAGAAACTCAAAAGAATGCAACCATTTGTCTCTCACCTACCTGTGACCTGGAAGCCCCCTCCCTGCTTCGAGTTGCCCCCACCTTTCTGGACAGAACCAATGTACTTCTTACATATATTGATTGGCATCTCATGTCTCCCTAAAATGTATAAAGCCAAGCTGTGCCCCGACCACCTTGGGCACATGTCATCAGGACTTCCTGAGGCTAGGTCACAGGTGCATCCTCAACCTTGGCAAAATAAACTTTCTAAGTTAACTGAGACCTCAGACTTTCTGGGTTTACAATAATTATCACATTCTCTGAAAGCAACACAGCCAGTTCCCTCCCAACAGGTGGGGTGAGAGGTGATACTCCAAGGAGTGTGGATGCTGCTGTCAGGAAGCGCTCAGGCACTGGGCTGTCTCCATCAAGTCTTGTTGCCATATGTGGAGCGACCTAATCTAACCATTTATCATCATTTTAAGAAACCAGAGTATTATTGTTTGAGGGCCGAAGTTCTGCAGAACCGGCTCAGGAAGCAGCAAAACACCACCGTCAATGGATATGACCATCAGAAAGGCCGGCTAACTCTCCCTCCTCCCCAGGAAACAGCTATGAAATTAGCATGTGAGCCCAAAATGCCATCATTAGGCTTGAAATAAGCTGCGGTCTCCAGCAGGAAGGAGAATAATTGAATTGGCAATGTGCTCTCTCTGACATCGGTTACCTTTTAGACAAAGCCTCACGTGTTCCTGATTTGAAATTTCATTTCAGGGGTGGGGGGAGAGATCTGGTTTCTGTCTGCTTGGGACGGGGAGGGTGAGAGCAGGCAGAGAAGAAAGGGCCTGTGTGGAGAGCTCCTGGCCACAGACATCCAAAGGAAGGGGAAATTGCAGTGACCCTAACTTTTCACTTTCAAAAGCTGAGTGATCCTTCTGCATGTATGGAATGCTGGCATGTCAATGACAAAGCCACCCTGCAGTGTGGCTCCAGATTTCCTAAGGGGGAGTGGGGGTGGGGAGAAGCCTTCATCTAGTGGAAAGGGGAACCCCAGCGCCCCACGTGAAACAAAGAACTTTTGGAAAATATTTGGATTCTTGGCTTCTGCAGGAGCCACCATTGATAAAACACCTGGAGCACCCTACGCATTGGCTGCCAGTTTGGTCACTGGGCTGTCACCTGCCCTCAGAGATGGTCCATAGATGATGTGACAAAAGACAGAGCCCAGGCCTCCCGACTTCCAAAAAGTTCTTTTTCTTTTTTTCTTTTCTTTTCTTTTCTTTTCTCTTTCTTTCTTTCTCTTTCTGTCTTTCTTTCTTTTTTTTTTCAGACAGAGTCTTGCTCTGTTGCCCAGGCTGGGGTGCAGTGGTGTGATCCTGGCTCACTGCAACCGCCACCTCCTGGGTTCAAGCAATTCTCATGTCTCAGCCTCTGTCTCCTAAGTAGCTGGGATTACAGGCATGAGCCACCACACCCTACCCCAAAGACTCCTTTTTCCATTTGCCCCATTAGCCAAGGAGATGTCACTGAATGATCTTGAAGTGCCTGGATCAAGCTGGGGTTTAATCTGGTTCTTCCCAAAGTCCTCCCCATGGTCCTCCATGGTCCCCCAGCATTCCCTGCATCCCACCATTTATAATGATTTTCTTTTCTCACCTGAAGTCAAGTCATAATTATCACCCAATCCTTTTTTCCACCTATTTATTCACTTTCTGAAGCTTCCCCACTTGGTTCTGTCAGCCTCTGTGGATTCATCCTCCCCTCCTTGAAACTACCTTCTATCTAGTGCCTCCCTGTACTGGGACCCCAAAACTTTAACTCACCTGCAGTGACACAGAGGTGTCACTGTCATTCCAGTTCAACACACGTATTGAGAATCACTCTTATCCACACAGTGAACTGAGTTTTCACCTCATTTTCACATGTATATGAGAACTTTGGAAGACTGGAATGAACCATGTTTTATCAACAGTATGGAATATTATGCAGTTGCTAAAAAGAGTGCACTAGGGCAGGGTGTTCACCTGAAGGGATAGCTGATATATTAAGTTCAGAAACAACTGGCGTTTGATCAAGGTTAGCATCGTCAGTGACGTCAATACCATGTTCTACTGATATGATGTGATGGAAATGGCACTTTACCCCTGGTATCTTCCTCCCCAAAACATATACCCCTGGTCTAACCATGAGAAATACATCAGAAAAACCCAAATTGACATTCTACAAAATAATTGGCCAAAAGTATCAAGGTCATAAAAGATAGAGACTGGCCAGGTGCGGTGGCTCATGCCTATAATCCCAGCACTTTGGGAGGCCAAGGTTAGTGGATCAACTGAGGTCAGGAGTTCGAGACCAGCCTGGTCAACACGGTGAAACCCTGCCTCTACCACTGCACTCCAGCCTGGGCAATGACAGTGAAAATCTGTCCTAAAAAAAAAAAAATCCGATATAGACTAAAGAACCATCTCAGATTGGAGGAGACTAAGAGACATGACAACTGAATGTCCTGTGGTGTCCTGGCTGGTTCCCTAAAACAGCAGGGAAATATTGGAGAAAACTGGTGATGGCTCAAAGAAGTGTGGAGCTTCTTTAATAGTAACGTGCAGCCGGGAGCAGTGGCTCACGCCTGTAATCCCAGCACTTTGGGAGGCCGAGGCAGGCAGACCACCTGAGGTCGGGAGTTTGAGACCAGCCTGACCAACTTGGAGAAACCCCATCTCTACTAAAAATACAAAATTAGCCAGGCGTGGTGGCACATGCCTGTAATCCCAGCTACTCAGGAGGCTGAGGCAGGAGAATCGCTTGAACCTGGGAGGTGGAGGTTCCTATGGGCTGAGATCTCACCATTGCACTCCAGCCTGGGCAACAGGAGCAAAACTCTGTCTCAAAAAAAAATAGTAACGTGCTAGGGTTGATCTCCTGGTTTTGACAAATGTACAATAGAGGAAACAGGGTGAAGAGTAGATGAGAACTCTCTGTACTATTTTTGCAACTTTCTTGTAAAAATAAAACTCTTCTACACGGTGTATTTTTAAAAAGAGCAGCAAGTTGTAATATGAATAGTATACTCTTATTTACTTTAAAAAACCAAAGCCTATAATACGTCCATATGTATAAACATGGCATAGCAGGGCACACACTAAATTGTTACTATTTGTTACCTGGGGGTGGGAGTTAGGGGGATTATTAATATGCTTTTTATTTCTAAGTTATCTAACTGTTGCAATGAGCAACCTGTTTCTATGCTATCTAGCCTGTTGTAAAGAGTAAAATATGCAATTTTTAAAAATCTAATGAATTTTGGGCAAAAATACTTGCTTCCCTATCTCCAAAAGCAGTGGCAAGAAAACATGTATTGGAGCTCTAACAAAGAGAGTTAAATTACACCCTGCCATAACCCCCAAAAGAGTTTCTCTCTCCAGAAACATGGTGGTTTATTTCACTGGCCCTGTTAGACAGTTAAACTGGATAACAAGTATAAGAATAATTACTACCCTACAGTATGGCAGCTTGTAAATGACAGCCTTCAATTTATTCGACAAAGAATTTTATACATTAAGGGAAATGTGGGGGAAACTATCCACTTCATACTACACACCAAACCTGAAGGTGTTGAATGTTTTTGACTCATTGAATGGAACCGTTCTTGGGGAAGGAAGGTAGTGTAGGATGGAGGAGGCAAAGTAAAGAAGGAGAAACTATAAGAGAAGGTTGAGGGAGCTGACAATTAAGGAACTACATATGATTCCAAGAGGAGAGAATGAGCCAAACTGCAGAACACAGAGGAGGAAAAGGAGGTAAAGACTGCTTGGAGGAGAACCAACTGAAAAAGCATTATAGCCAATAAGAGGTTCAGTCAGTGGCCAGATATAAGATAAATATACAAATACCAGTAAACTTCCTTTACAGCAGCCTCAACCAATTACAAAATGCCAGGGGCAAAAAGATCCATCTTATTAACAACAAAAAAACGAAGAATAATGAGGTATAAAATTAACAAGAAATTCCCAAGACCTATGTGATGATTACAAAACTTCATTGGATACCATGAGTAGATCTGAATAAACAGGAAGATTTATCTAGTTCTTTAGGTAAGAAGGTTCAACCTTGTAAAGATGATGATTTCATGTTGACTTGAATCCAGATCTTCAATGCAATACCAAGAAAACTCCTAGGAGGATTTTATTTATTTATTTACTTATTTATTTATTTTGAGACAGAGTTTTGCTCTTGTTGCCCAGGCTGGAGTGCAATGGTGCAATCTCAGCTCACTGCAACCTCTGCCTCCTGGGTTCAAGCGATTCTCCTGCCTCAGCCTCCCGAAGTAGCTGGGATTACAGGAACCTGCCACCACGTCCAGCTAATTTTTTTGTATTTTTAGTTGAGACGGGGTTTCACCATGTTGGCCAGGCTGGTCTTCAACTCCTGACCTCAGGTGATACACCCGCCTCAGCCTCCCAAAGTGCTGGGATTACAGGTGTGAGCCACCATGCCTGGCCAAGGATTTTAAATATAACTTGAGAAGCTGATTCCAAAATCCATCTAAGATGAAAAGCTATAAAATTGTGTAAAAAAACAACAGTACGATGTTAAAACATACTACAAAGCTGTAACCATTAAAACAGTGTGATACTGGTACATGTAGGTGCTTTGGCGATTCCTTGCCATCTCCAGCATCTAACCCCCTCTTCCTGCTCCCAAAGAATACCCTGAATATCCCAGCCAATGGATGAATGTGTGGTTGACCCCATCCCCAACACTAGCGGGGATTTGATTGGCTTAAGGTAGTCAGTGTATTCCATTCTTCCAACCATAGTTCTTGGATCAAAACAAGTCAAAGGACAACAAGACCCAATTCTGGAATTTGTTTAGGTAGACTCCCCCTTTTTCATGTTGGATATGATCAAGGAAGCATGTAGCCTTGGAAGCTCCTGGCTTCAGACCAAGATGGCACCAACAGGAAGGAGGTGGAGCCAATAACACAGAGAAAGGAAGCAGGTCCTTATTCTATCACCTGAGCTGCTGGATCTTGCCTGGTCTGAGGCCCTGAACATCTCAGCTATGAGCTGCACATTTGTTTTATTGTTTTAATCAGTTTACATTGAATTTTTAGTTGTTTACAACTTAAAGTATCCACCCTGTGTCAATACAGATTGAACACATAGATAGATGGAACAGCAAAGAGTGTCTAGAAAAAGCTGTGTGTGTGGAGGATGCACATGTATACATGTGCACCATATGTGTGTATGTATGTAAATGTAAATTTAGTATATAAGATGACATTTTTAAATCACAAGGGAAAAGATAGATTAATAAACAGTATGAGGAAAATTAACTACCCATCTTGAAAATAAAATAAAATTAGATTATTGCCACATACTGTTCACAAATGGAAATTTCAAATGCATTAAAATGCCAACATTTTTTAAAAATCCTATACAAGTATTAAAAGAAAATAAATGAGATAGGTTTCAAGGGGGCATGGTTGTTGTGTTTTTTTAAAAAAAAATCTTGGGGTAAATAAGATTTCTAAAACAAGACAGGAAACCTAGAAGCCATAAAGGGAAAAAACATAGAAATTAAAATGTAAAATGTTTACACGATAAAAGAGGCTGGGCGTGGTGCCTCAAAGTGCGTGGTAATCCCAGCAATTTGGGAGGCCAAGGTGGGAGGATCACTTGAGCCCAGGAGTTCAAGACCAGCCTGGGTAACATAGTGAGACACTGTCTCTATAAAAAATATAAAAAATTAGGCTGGGCGCGGTGGCTCACGCCTGTAATCCCAGCACTTTGGGAGGCCGAGGCGGGCAGATCACGAGGTCAGGAGATCAAGACCATCCTGGCTAACACGGTGAAACCCCGTCTCTACTAAAAATACAAAAAATTAGCTGAGCATAGTGGCGGGCGCCTGTAATCCCAGCTACTCGGGAGGCTGAGGCAGGAGAATTGTTTGAACCTCAGGAGACAGAGGTTGCAGTGAGCCGAGATCAAGCCACTGCAGTCGAGCCTGGGCTACAGAGCAAGACTCCGTCCCCAAAAAAAAAAAAAAAAAAAATATATATATATATATATATATATATATATATATATATAAATTAGCCAGGCTTGGTGGTGCACGCCTGTAGTCCCAGCTACTCAGTTAGGCTGAGGCAGGAGGATCACTTGAGCCCAGGAGGTCAAGGCTGCGGTGTGCTGTGATCACACTACTGCACTCCAGCCTAGTTGAGGGAGTGAGACTCTGTCTCAAAAAAAAAAAAAAAAAAAAAATAGAGGACACAAAGTTCACATTACAGGTAAAGTTAGTTACAACATACATAAAAACAAAAGATTCACATTAAGATTTTATAAAAGACTCCTACACAAGATTAAGGAACACACAGAAAGTGAGCAATGAATATGAACGAATAATTCACAAAAGAAGTAAAGGTGGTTGCCTAACATTTGACCAGCTGCTCCACCATGCTAGTAGTTAAGACAAATGCAAACCATGGCAACAACAAGGTTTGTTTTTTTCACCCTTAGGTTTTCACAACTAGAAGTTTGACAATGTTCAATGTGGGAAAGGTCCGGGAAACAGGCATTCTACACTCCTGGTTGGAGGCCACAATTAGGTTTTAAACGCAGACACTTTAAGACAAGTAGTTCTTACCCTGGCTACAAATGAGAATCACCTAGGGGGCTCTTGAAGAAATTCTGAGGACCAGCTCCACATCCCAGAGATTCAGACTTAATGGGTCCAGTGGGCCTAGCGCAGTGGCTCATTCCAGTAATCCCAGCACTATGGGAGGCCGAGGTGGGCGGATCACTTGATGTCAGGAGTTCAAGACCAGCCTGGCTAACATGGTGAAACCCTGTCTCTACTAAAAATACAAAAATTAGCTGGGCGTGGTGGTGCATGCCTGTAGTCCCAGCTACTTTGGGAGGCTGAGGCAGAAGAATCGCTTGAATCCAGGAGGTGGAGGTTGCAGTGAGCCAAGAGCGCACCATTGCACTCCAGCCTGGGCGACAGTGTGACACTCCGTCAAAAAAAAAAAAAAAAAAAAAGGGCCTGGGGTGTGGCCCTGACAGGGTGTTTGAAAGAGTCCCCAGGTATTTCAAATGTACAGCCAGGTCCACAAACTGCTGCTTTAGAACCAGAAATTTTACACCTAGAGGTCCATCTTTGAAAAATATAAGCAAATGTGTGCAAAGAGGTACCACAAGGACGCTCACTCCAGCATCTGCGGCAATCGCAAAAACTCGAAAACAATATAAATGCCATCCATTGGGGAACAGTGAAATAAACTATGGTACAAGCACACCATGTAATCTAACTCCTGAATCAGTCAGAAAGAACGCGGGGGGTTGATCTGTTATCTACTACACAAATTGAAATGAGAATACATCCAAAACATCATATCATTGAACAAAAACGCAAGTTACAGAATGATATGTACATATGATCCCATTTATGTTAGACAATACCAAATACTTCTATGAGTACTAATACATGTATATAAATGTTAAGAAAAGACAAGAACATGGCTGGGTGCAGTGACTCATGCCTGTAATCCCAGCACTTGGGGGACCACGTTGGGAGAATCACTTGAGGCCAGCAGTTGGAGACCAGCCGGGGCAACACAGTAGATCCCATTTCTACCAAAAGTAAAGCAAGTTATCTGGGCATCGCCACACGCTCCTCTCGTCCTAATTACTCGGGAGGTTAAAGCGGGAGAATTGCTTGAGCCCAGGAGCTCAAGGCTGCAGTGAGCTATGACGGCACCACTGCACTCTGGCTGGGTGACAGAGTGAGACCCTGTCTTTGAATAATTAATAATAATAATAAAACATACATCAAGCTGGTAACAATACTATAGTTAACTTCTAGGGAAAGAAGAGATTGAAAGGTGAATGGAAGGCAAGACATGTTTTACTTCTTAGTCTACAGTATTCTCTGAATTTTCATAAGAACATCATGTATTTATTATTTGGGAAATTAAGCAGTTTCTTATTTTATTTTATTTTACTTTTTTGAGATGGAGTCTTCCTCTGTTGCCCAGACTGGAGTGCAGTGGTGCGATCTCAGCTCACTGCAACCTCCACCTCCCAGGTTCAAGGGATTCTCCTGCCTCAGCCTCCTCAGTAACTGGGATTACAGGTGCCCGCCACCACACCTGGCGAATTTTTTGTATTTTTAGTAGAGACAGGGTTTCACCATGTTGGCCAGGCTGGTCTTGAATTCCTGGTCTCAGATGATCCACCTGCCTCAGCCTCCCAGAGTGTCGGGATTACAGGTGTGAGCCACTGTGCTGGGCCTCTTTTTTTATTTTATTTACATGCTACACAGAGATTGGACTGCCTTGAGCAAAGTTTTGTTGAGGAAAGGAAGACGAGATGGAAGACTTGCCTTCACCCCTGGCAAGCCACCCATCTGCCCCTCTTTTTTTTTTTTTTTTTTTTTTGAGACAGAGTCTCGCTCTGTCGCCCAGGCTGGAGTGCAGTGATGCGATCTCAGCTCACTGCAAGCTCCGCCTCCCGGGTTCACGCCATTCTCCTGCCTCAGCCTCCTGAGTAGCTGGGACTACAGGTGCCCGCCACCACGCCTGGCTAATTTTTTGTATATTTAGTAGAGATGGGGTTTCACCATGTTAGCCAGGATGGTCTCGATCTCCTGACCTCGTGATCTGCCCGCCTCGGCCTCCCAAAGTGCTGGGATTACAGGCGTGAGCCACCACACCTGGCCTCCATCTGCCCCTCTGTAGGCACAGCAAGCAAGGCCACCTCTTAATCACCACTGTGTCCCAGAGATGAAGCATGAGGGCTGACACACAGTACGTGCTCAATAAAACTAGCTGAGTTAATGCATACGTGAGTTAATGAATGGAGACAATAATGTGTGCAGGATGGATTACAGTTTGAGCCAATTTTTCCTAATTTGTTCTGGGTTGCCAACTGGTCTACTCTGTTATGTGGGGTCTACCCATAATTCTTGGCTCGGTGAGTGAACCACATCCTACAGTTGAAAATTCCTCTTCCCCACCCAGTGCCTTGAGAAGCAGCACTCAGAGCACCAGATGACTATCAGGTCAGAGGCACAGGTGAATCCCAGGCCTTGGAGATAACCTTGCCCAAAGACAGTTTTTATGGCAAAAGCCATCAGTGTTGTCACTAGGAACAACATGCCTTGTGCTGAGCAGGTTCAGTTCTAAGGAAAATGCAGCACTTGGGATTATGATTATACTTGTGCTTTTAGGAAAAAAACCAAACCAGAGCCTTTCAGCCAGGAAACACCCTTCCATCTGGAGTCGCTCCTGAACCACCTGCATCAGAATCACTTTGGGGTCTTCAAAAATGCAGGCTCTGGGCCAGCAGAATGAGAATGGAGGATCCACATGTCTAGCAGACTTCCCCAGGTAGGTCTCAGGCACTGAGCAGTTTGAGAGCTACCAGATCACAGCAGTGTTTCAAACTGGCCGAGACCAATTCATGGTTATTAAATCAATTTAGCAAGTCTAGGTTAGCTTTCTTATTTTTCTTTTCTTTTCTTTCTTTTTTTTTTTTTTAAGACAGTCTTGCTCTGTCTCCCAGGCTGGAGTGCAATGGCGCGATTTCAGCTCACTGCAACTTCCGCCTCCTGGGTTCAAACGATTCTCCTGCCTCAGCCTCCTGAGTAGCTGAGACTACAGGCACCCACCACCATGCCCACCTAATTTTTGTACTTTTAGTTGAGACGGGGTTTTACCATGTTGGCCAGGCTGGTCTTGAACTCCTGACCTCAGGTGATCTGCCCGCCTCAGCCTCCCAAAGTGCTGGGATTACAGGCGTGAGCCACCATGCCTGGTCAGCTTTTTTCTTTTTTTTAATGACAGAATGAGTTGGCATAGGATGGAACAGAACAAAACAGAAGTAGACAAAACACCTCAGAATGTGTCACAGACGTAAAAGTTAACCACCCAATGGGCTCACCTTGCCCGGTGCCTAGACAGGGGAATGGCAATGGATAAAGAGTAATTCACACAGAGCCGGCTGTGCGGGAGACCAGAGTTTTATTATTACTGAAATCAGACTCTCCGAGCATTCAGGGATCAGAGCTTTTAAAGATAATTTGGCCGGTAGAGGCTTGGGAAATGGGGAGTGCTGATTGGCCAGACTGGAGATGGAATCAGGGGTTTGAAGTGAGTTTTTCTTGCTGTCTTCTGTTCCTGGGTGGGATAGCAGAACTGGCTGAGCCAGATGACTGGTCTGGGTGGTGTTAGCTGGTGCATCAGAATGCAGGCTCTGCAAAATATCTCAAGCGCTGATCTTAGGTTTTACAACAGTGATCTTATTCCTAGGAGCAATCTGGGGGGGTTTAGACTCTTGGAGCCAGAGGCTGCATGACCCCTAAACTGTAACTTCTCATCTTGTAGCTAATTTGTTAGTCCTGCAAAGGCAGACTGGTCCCCAGGCAAGCAGGGGGTCTTTTCCGGAAACGGCTATTATCAATTCTGTGTCAGAGTCAAACCATGAACTGAATTCCATCCCAAAGTTTGTTCAGCCCATGCCCAGGAATGAACAAGGACAGCTTAAAGGTTAGAAGCGAGATGGAGTCGGTTAGGTCTGATTTCTTTCACTGTTGTCATTTCCTCAGTTATAATTTTGCAAAGGTGGTTTCAAAAGTAGGTATTGTTTTGTGAAACTTTGGTTTCAGCCTTACATATGCAAAGCTGAGATTCAGCTGGTGCTCAGCCTTACAGTTCTACTGGTTAAGAGATCAAAATGCATTTTTACAGGTTGTTAGACAGCTGCTGCCCACCTGCTGCCCCCCTACTGCCTTGGGGCACCCCTCCCCAAACTCTCATGTTGATTCTGGCACAGCAGGGGACTTCCAGGACACAGCTCAGCTTTGAGACCAGATCTGATGGGTCAGCCTCCTGGCCTTCCCAGATGTTAAATATTTTGACTCTCACCCCTGTGCACATGGGTATGTGTAATGGATTGGAACATTAAAATGGATTGAGATTATGTATAAGGTTTGAAAATATTGTCAAGGGGCAAGGTTTCTGAGGGGGCGGTGTGGGTGGGGGGTGGGTGCACTGGCTGTGGGAGAGGGAGTTGACCCCCTGGGCTGGCTTTCACAGGGCAAAGTAAACACACAGAGGCCTTTGCTTCCTTCTCACGGATTCAATCTGAAAACAAACAGTGCGAGGTGAGTAAATACACATGCTGAGCCCCACACTGGAAGCGGAGAGGGCGAGGACAGAAGATCAGAGGAGATGATAATGACCTTGCAGCTGAGGTCCAACTTCCAGCTAACATCCAGAGATGATCCAGAGACGTCTGGGCTTGGGAGGAATCCTGCTTAACAGCAGAAGGAAGAGAAAAGCTCCTGCCTGTGTCCACTAAATCAGCATGATCAACATCCAGTAATGAGGAAAATTTAAATCGACCAGCTCTTTAAGCACTAAATAAGAAGCAAATTCTGGCCGGGCATGGTGGCTCACATCTGTAATTCCAGCACTTTGGGAGGCCAAGGTGGGAGGATTGCTCAAGCCCAGGAGTTCAAGATCAGCCTGGGCAACATCCAGTGAGACCTCATCTCTACAAAAAAAAAAAAAAAAAATTCAAAAAAATGAGGCAGGGGAGGTGCGGTGGCTCACACCTGTAATCCCAGCACTTTGGGAGGCCGAGGTGAGAGGATCACCTCAGGTCAGGAGTTCAAGACCAGCCTGGTCAAATTGGTGTAACCCTGTCTCTACTAAAAATACAAATATTACCCAGGCATGGTGGCACACACCTGTAATCCCAGCTACTCAGAGGCTGAGGCACAATAATCGCTTGAACCCGGGAGGCGGAGGTTGCAGTGAGCTGAGATCACACCACTGAACTCCAGCCTGGGTGACAAAGCGAGACTCTGTCTCAAAAAAAAAAAAAAAAAAAAAAAAAAATAGGCAGGAAGATCACTTGAGCCCAGGAGGTCAAGGCTACAGTGAGCCAAGATCACGCCACTGCACTACTCCTGCCTGGGTGACAGAACGAGACCCTCCCTCAAAAAAAAAAAAAAAAAAAAAAGCAAATTCTGTTGTTTGAAATAAGATTCAACAACAACCAGTAATTTCATGAATTCCAAGTGGCAGGTATCATTCAACCCTTAGATCTAGAAAAAACCCATTTCCTACAATGCTGCCAGCCTTGTGTTTCTCCATAATTTTTCAGGAATAATTTTTAGTGTAAGTATAACCCATGCAATATATGGGACATTCTTATACCAAAAAATTATTTAAATGGGATATACTTATGTTACACAATTATTTGTTGTTCCTCTGAAATTCGAATTCACCTGGGCATCCTGTATTTTAATTTACTAAATCTACACAGTCCTAGGAAGCAGAATCTGCAGGAAAAATAGGAGAGAGGAGCTTATTTTCCGTGTTGGATTTTTCTGCACTGTTCAAATTATCAAGCATTAAAAATTTTAGTGGATTTTAAAAAATATAAACAGGGCCAGGCATGGTGGCTCATACCTGTAATCCCAGCACTTAGGGAGGCCGAGGCAGGCAGATTGCTTAAGCCTAGGTGTTTGAGGTCGGGTTGGGCAACATGGTGAAACCCTGTCCCTACAAAAAAAATTTTAAAACAATTAGCCAGATATGGAGGCATAAACCTATAGTTCCAGCTACTCTGGAGGCTGAGGTGGGAGAATCGCTCGAGCTTGGGAGGCAGAGGTTGCAGTAAGCCACAACACACCACTGCACTCCAGCCTGGGCGACAGAGCAAGACCCTGTCTCAACAACAACAAAATGTAAACAGGGATTATGGGAGATATGGACCATTTTTGTTTATTTTGTTTTCTTCTTTGTTCTTCGTAATTTATAAAAATCTCTTGGCCAGGCGTGGTGGTTCACGCCTGTAATCCCAGCACATTGGGAAGCCGAGGCGGGCAGATCACCTGAGGTCGGGAGCTCAAAACCAGCCTGACCAACATGGAGAAACCCCGTCTCTACCAAAAATACAAAATTAGACAGCCGTGGTGGCACATGCCTGTAATCCCAGCTGCTGGGGAGGCTAAGGCAGGACAATCGCTTGAACCAGGAAGGCGGAGGTTGCAGTGAGCCGAGATCGCGCCATTGCACTCCAGCCTAGGCAACAAGAGCGAAACTCCGTCTCAAACAAACAAACAAAAAATCTCTTAAATGTTATGTACATATTTTTGAAGTTTAAACAATTCAGCCCAATACCAGTAGAAAAGAAAGGCAATAAGGAAGCACTTTTCAGGCTGATGGGCAGAGAGAAGAAAGGGTTAAAGTCTTACGTGGAAAATGACCTGAAAATGAAGCCCTTTGAATAGTCAATGAATTGAAAGAAAATCCCAGAGATGGAAGCCAAGCCAAAGCATGGCAAGAGAGAAGTGGAAACGGGGGAATACTTGTCAGGTGGCCTGCGCGCTGGACTCCACGTTTCATTTTAACCATCCCTGCATGCTCCCAGGTTGTTGGGGTTTTTTTTAAAATTACTCTTGTGCCACAAATGAAATTCCTCTCTTTTTCAAAGTAGAAATCATAAGATGTGCTCCCATTCCTATCATTCTGGTTTTAATACTATTATTGCACAATTAATCTTAATTATTAATCTTCATATTAATCTTAACTATTAATCTTAATAATTAATCTTTGGAATAGAGACAATAGTGAATCAATGACACTTTTAGTGACTGTGTAATCCGTACATTTATGAATTAAAAAAAAATTTTTTTTTTTTTGGAGACAGGGTCTCACTCCAGTTACCCAGGCTGGAGTGCAGTGGCACATTTATGAATTAAAAAAAATTTTTTTTTTTTTTGGAGACAGGGTCTCACTCCAGTTACCCAGGCTGGAGTGCAGTGGCACAATCACGGCTCACTGCAGCCTCAACTTCCTGGGCTCAGGTGATCCTCCTGCCTCAGCCTCCTGAGTAGCTGGGACTACAGGCACACACCATCACGCCCGACTAATCTTTTGTATTTTTAGTAGAGATGGGGCCTCACTATGTTGCCCAGACTGGTCTGGAACTCCTGGGCTCAAGTGATCCTCCTGCCTCAGCCTCTCCAAAGTGCCAGGATTACAAGCGTGTGAGCCACCACACTCAGCCTGGTTCACACTTCTACTCCGTTCCCTGTAGCTCGGAACATGGCCCGGATCCTTCCTGGAGACCTCCCGGGGCCAGTGCTGACACCCAGCAATGAAGAGGTGGAGAGCCTGCTTCAAACCACAGACAGGGCTGGGCATACCCAGCTTGCCTCTCTTCAACACCAGACACATCAGTTTCTGGCTCCATCAGCAAACTACAGGCATCTGAAAAAGGGAAGAAAGTGGCCTCCGGGTTGACATACCCAAGGTAGAGAAGAAGTACTACACCAGCTTAAGAGCCCAGACCCTGAAGCCAGGCCTCCTGGTCCACATCCTGCACCACCATGACTGGCCCTGTGACCTCGGGGAGGTGAAATTAATAGCACCTGTCTCATAGGGCAATGGATTAATCCATGGGGAGCTATTAGGACAAGGGTGTGTTCTGAGCGCTGGATAAACGTTAGCTGTTCCTATTATTGAAGCCAAACAGGCCATCTTCTTTGGCAATCCTCAACAGAAAAAGTCAGAGGAAAATTGGATTATTTTCCATGCTGGGCTCGGCAAAGCAGCACTTCTCGTCCCGCCAACACTGCAGCACAAGGAGTCCGCTTGAGGAATATGTGCCATTTCCTTTAATTTGATCATTCATGGCCCTCGGTCACCTTCCACTTCTTATTCATTTGGTAACCAGGAGGCTTCCATCCACCTTTGGGAGGCAAGTGAAGGGGTAGGAAAGAGACAGCTGCAACTAGTTTGTGCCGCGCAGCTACTGGGGAAGCAGAAAGGCCAAGCTGACCATCGTTTGGTTTCCTCTTATGACTCACGCCAGGTGCTAAATGAAAACATCCAAGAAACGTGGCCAGAACCCACGTGTTCTTAAGAAGGGGTTAAATAAGGGTGGTGTGGCTGAGATGTAGAGTAGTTTTACCCAACATATGGCAGATTTCAAAGCTCCCAGATGTGGTCAGAGAAATGAATACTGGACGTCTGTGTAATAGGGTGATTCCAAGACAAGGCTCTAAGCCTAAGGCACCAGGTTCTAATCTTGATTCTCCCACTTTCCAGTTATGTGATGTTGGGACCCATATTTATCCTCTACAACAGCCCTGTCCCAGAGAACTTTGCGGTGATGGAAATGATCAGCGCCTGTGCTGTCCAATACGGTAGCCAACAGCCACATGTGTATGGCTTAAGGTGTTGTCTAATGCCACAGTTTGATTAACTCATCTTAATTAGTCAATGTATTTAAACATCAATGGTCACATATGGCTCGAGGTTACCATATTGAACAACACTGCTCTATAAGCTTCTGTTTTCCCTCATCTGTAAAATGAGGAGAGTCATAGTATCTACTTCATAGAGTTAGATGAGACCAGAGTAGGTACTGGGCAAAGCTACTGGTGAGCACTTAATACATGCCATTATCAAGAGTAATGGTATTTGATACACAATAGTCTCTCTCCTCCCTGCCCACATCTTCCTTCTTCTCCTATGGCCAGCTCACTCCATATCTTTGGGATTCACCCTGTGGTAGGCAGAATACTGGTCCTACCCCACAGATATCCACATCCTAATTCTGGGAAGCTGCAAATAGGTTACATGGCAAGGGGCAATTAAGGTTACATGTGAAATTAAGGTTGTCAATTAGTGGACATTAAAGTGAGGAGATTGGCCAGGTGCGGTGGCTCACACCTGTAATCCCAGCACTTTGGGAGGCCAAGGCAGGTGGATCACCTGAACCCAGGAGTTTGAGACCAGCCTGGGCAACATGGAGAGACCTCATCTCAACTAAAAATACAAAAATTAGCCAGGCATGGGGGCACACACCTGTAGTTACAGCTATTTGGGAGACTGAGGTGCTAGGATCACCTAAGCCTGGGAAGTCGAGGCTGCAGTGAGCCCTGATCATGCCGCTGCACTCTAGCCTGGGTGACAGAGAGAGAGCCTGTCTCAAAATAATAATAATAATGAGATTATTCTGGAGTATGCAGGTGAACACAATGTAGTCACAAGAGTCCCTAAAAGATGGATGAGGGAGGCAGAAGAGAAGCTTAAAGTGATGAGGCATCAGAAAGACTCAAATGGGGGAGGGGGCCACGAGCCGAGGAATGCAGGTGGCTTCAAGAAGGGGGAAGAGGCAAGAAATAGGTCCTCCTCGGGAGCTTCCAAGGGGAATGCAGCCCTGCTGACCCCTTGACTTTAGCCCATGAGGCCCATTTCAGAGCTCACACCTCAGACCTCCAGCACTCTGAGATAATAAATGAGTGTCGTCCGAAGCCACTAAGCTTGTGGTGATTTATTACAGCAGAAGCAGGAAACCAGCACAAGCCCTGGCTTGCTCATTCTGTGAAAACCGTGCTCATCAGGGCCCGGTGAACTCCAGCCGTGCATGCTTTGTATTTGACTGCTCAATGCCACGGTTAATAGCAAACCTATAAATCAAAAAGCCTGAAAGACTTATTCAAAATATCTTTTCTGCAAAGGAAAAAAAGAAAGGATCTGTGTTCCATGCTATTTTCAAAGTCCTATTTATATGTTTCAATTCTGTTCTTCTCTAAATGGTGCACAGCAAATTATAGTACTCAGTGAGCACCCTCGAGAGGACTCTGGGGTTACAATGAAAATAAACTGACAGTGGGCGTATATTTTTCCTTGCAGTGGTGTGTCTCTTTCATTGCCAAACTGCTCTCCCTTTCTGAGCCACCCCTCTAAGGAAATAAGGCCATTTTGGGGTATCTTGGCTGCCCAAAAATGATATCCTCAGGATGACAAGCGAGATGGTGGTGTTTGTAGCCAGCCCTACGGAACCTGGCCGGACTCTGGGGAAGGGGAGGTCAAACCCATGCAGAGGTTCCAGTTTCCTGCCTCTCCCCACTCACCCACATCCCACAGCACAGAGGCCTCTCGTGGTCATCTGCACTCCTGTCTCCCTCCCCAAAAGCACACCTTGGCTTACAAAAAAAACAGGGAAGCAACTTTTGTACCAGATTCTGGTTGGTCTGATCAAAGATGTTGATGCAAACTTTTCCAACAAAGAGGAATAATACTGCAGGCTTCTCTGGGTCAGCCTAATTTCTAATGTCAGGCTAGAAAGGAGAAATAGGTCCACAATCCCTTACCCATATCCACACATCCAGAATCAAGAAAGGTCTCAGGCCGGGTGAGGTGGCTCACGCCTGTAATCCCAGCACTTTGGGAGGCCAAGGTGGATCACCTGAGGTCAGGAGTTCCAGACCAGCCCAGCCAAGATGATGAAACCCTGTCTCTACTAAAAAAACAAAAAATTAGCCAGGCATGGTTGTGCGTGCCTGTAATCCCAGCTACTCGGGAGGCTGAGTCAGCAGAATCACTTGAACCTGGGAGGCAGAGGTTGCAGTGAGCCGAGATCGCACCACTGCACTCCAGCCTGGGCAACAAGAGTGAAATTCCATCTCAAAAAAAAAAGAAAAGAAAAAATAAAGAAAGAAAGAAAAGAAAAAAAAGAAAGGTCTTAAAACCACAAGTTTTCTTATAAATCATTTGGTACCAAAACCTGAACTGAGGTGATGTGAGTTGACTTAGAGCCTTTATTGATCCAGCTTAGCGTGACTATTCCTGAAATTTACTACAGAAAATAACGTGCTATTACAGAGTTCTTCCCCAAACCCTGCTGGGTCGGGGGTGTTCTGTAATATACAATATATGTAACATATTACTTTCCAAAGTTTAGAAAAAATGCCGCATCTCCAAACATACCTGACTTTGGATAACACGAAGGTTTTGGGTAATGGAGTGTGAATTTGTTCTAGATTTGCATCTCTCATTACATATGCATTTTCCCCCCTTTGTCCTCCTAGGAATCTAAAATTGAAAAAAAAATATTTTTTCCCTCAAGAATATTTTTAGCAGAAAATGATATGAAAATTTCAAAACTGGGAAAAGGCTCAATGGGAAGAGTGGGTCAATCTCTGTTTTATCCACATCCCTGACCCTTTTTTCAGGCAGATGCCTGACCTGAGCCCTCCCAAACTGCCTGTTCACCAGCAATCAGTGGCTGGGGGAGGGAGGGGGCTGGAAGAGGGAGGGGGACCATCTAGTGGTTTAATCTGGTGTGTTGATCCACTAAGCCAAACACTACCACACATCCCCCCAGCCACGCTTCCTAGACACCAGAGATCAGGACACCACGTGTCTCTGAAATCAGAAGCTAGATGTTCCAAAATCTGTGAAATTCACTGATTTAAGCTGGTGCCAAAGTCTATCAGCCACCATTTAGCTCCAAAGCCTTTGTTTTGTCAACCCCTCGGCTGCCTACAATGTAAGACAGCACCTTGGGCTATTCACAGCTCCATCAGTCTCTGCTGGACATCCTCGGTCCTTCTGGAAAACAACCTCAGCATGCAGTTGTGTGGGAATCCCAGGCTGGTCACAAGAAGTTGAATTTACATTGGCAATTTTGTGTAAAAATAATCGCATTTTTCAGAACATTCTGTTGGGTGTCTTCCAGAGGCTCTAAAGCACAGTCTGTTCAGCTGCATTCATTTAGGTAAAATATAGGGGAAACGTTCACAAAGAAAAGAGGCTGCTGGGGAATAGGTGGAATAAAGGGTTCATTCAGATTTTGGATTCGACCTCAACCCATTTCACGGTGGAGCTGTTCCACTAGCCACGGCTCTCCCTGGAGTGACCTGGTCTCCGTCCTTGTCCCATCTGTGGGGGTGGGGGGAAGTGCTGTACTGTGAGAGGGGCTGTCTGGGTTTGGACTATCCAAGAAGCAGATCCTGAGTCAGGATTTAAGTGCAGCGATGCTCTTTGGAAGGTGTGGGATGTATCCCCAGGGAGTGAGCAAATAAGGCAGGGAGGGGAAGAAAGCCACAGGGGCGTCCTGTGTTTCAAGCAAGCTACTCTTGCGGGCCATGGAGTTGACCCCACGAGGAAACTGGGCAATGGTGCAAAGTCCACGACCTGGAATTACCCCACCCAGAAGGGACATCCTCCCTAAAAAAGGCATTCTAATTAATAAATGTAATAAATTAAATAATAATCACATCAATAAATTTAAATACAAATAGATAAAATTAAACAATAAATTAATAAATTCAAAGTAAATAAATAAAGAAAATAGAAAATCGTCACACAGGCAAACACCACACTAGCCATTGTTGCTCGCAGGGCCCACCAGCGGATGCCAAAATCAGTAGGCGAAAGTTCGAAGAAAAACAAGATATTTGCAAGGTCTCAAAGTTCCTCCCCCAAGGAAGTTATTCATTACAAAGGAAAAAAATAGAAATTTTACAGAGGAGAATATCAGCAGGCACTACTTTAACTGAGTGATTGAGGTTTAACGTTGACACAACGCCATCGAGACAGATACAACATCACCTCTGTGGCATTCTTGCCAAAATGCATAACCTCGTCTTGAACACAGGAGAACGGCAGACAAATCCAAATGGAGGGCCATTCTCAAAATCGTTGACCAGTGCTTTTCACAAATGTCAAGGTCATGAGAGACTGAAAAACCATGACAAGGAAGAGACTCGAGACATAACAGCTAAAGGCAGAGGAGGACTCTGGATTGGATCCTGGGACAGAAGCAGGACGTTCATGGAAAAGCCTATAAAATGTGGATTCGGTCTGTAGTTTCATTAACAGTATCATATCCATGTCAGTTCCCTCACTGTGATCATCGTACTGTGGTTGTACAAGATTTCGACATTAGAGGAATCTGGGAAAAGGGTATATGGAAACTCTCAGCTCTTTCTTGCGATTTTCTGTAAGTTTAAAATTATTACAAAATAGGCCAGGCACGGAGGCTCATGTCAGTAATCCCAGAACTTTGGGAGGCCAAGGCAGGCAGATCACTTGAGGTTAGGAGTTCAAGACCAGCCTGGCCAACATGGGGAAACCCTGTCTCTACTAAAAACACAAAAAATTAGCCAGGCATGGTGGCACACACCTGTAAACCCAGCTACTCGGGAGGCTGAGGCAGGAGAATCACTTGAACCCGGGAAGCGGAGGTTGCAATGAGCCGAGATCATGCCACTGCACTCCAGTCTAGGCGACAGAGCGAGACTCTGTCTCAAAAACAAATAAATAAATAAAATAAAGTAAAATAAAATAATTACAAAATAAAGAAGTCTTTTTAAAGAAGAATGATGCCACCTGAGGAACAAGGGAACTGGGGTATTTATACACCAACTGCTTAGGGCCATTGGTTGAGGGTTTCTTGGGGGCAGTGGAACCCCCAGCACTTCCAGCTGCTGGCTGGGAAAAGTGGTCTTCCAGGGTGCAGGTGTTTGGGAGTTGAGTTGAGCATGATGGCCATTGGAGAGATATGGGTTGGACCCTGGCAGTGTCCACTACAGACTCTCACTCTGAGAAGCAGCCTAGGAACATTCTAGAGACCTGAAGATTCCTTCCTTGCTGTAGAGCCTTCCCAAATCCATTTCAATATAACCCCAATGCACTCAACCATCCAACAATGACCCCTTCCGGAATGTGTACATCAGGAGGCAGAGAATGGAGTCTTCTCTGTTTTCAAAATAAAATTCAGTATAATATTCAGTCGATGGCCAGGCACGGTGGCTCACACCTGTAATCCCAGCACTTTGGGAGGCCGATGCAGGCGGATCACTTGAGGTCAGGAGTTCAAGATCAGCCTGGCCAGCACGGTGAAGCCCCGTCTCTACTAAAAATACAAAAATTAACTGGGCGTGGTGGCACATGTCTGTAATCCCAGCTACTCAGGAGGCTGAGGCAGGAGAATTTCTTGAACCTGGGAGGCGGAGGTTGCGGTGAGCTGAGATCACGCCACAGCACTACAGCCTGGGTGTCAGAGTGAAATTCCATCCCCCACCTCCCCCGAGAAAAATCCTGTAGATAATGATTGGCGAGTTAAAAACAAAAAGCAAAAAGTACCTCCATGCATTAGTAATTCCATATAAGCATATGAGTTTGACCTAAATTCAACTGTAATGATCTGTGACAAGAAATTGGTGTTTCCTTCCACTATAAATCAAAGAAACAGCCCTCATTTCATTCTCGCATCCACAGACAGTAACACACTGTGCTATCGGCTTACCTCACACAGCATCAGGGGCCCCTGGCTCCCAAACGTACAGTCCTTTCTTAGGAAAAGTCACCTCTCTTGTGGATCCGATGGTACATTTATTTTGGAAAAGAGAGGGAGTTCATTATCCATACTCCCAACTTCTGTTTTAAATTATTGCTCCAGCCTTACTGGCAAACCTGTCAGGTATAAAGGGACTCACAGCTAAGTGTGTAAATAATTTTTTAAATTCCACTGGTAGTGATTTGGAAATAAGAGGGGTTTTATTTTCCCTTTTCTTTTTTCTTACTTTTTTTTTTTTCCTTTCTGCTAGGATTACTAAGGAATTTAACGTTGTTTTAATTTGCAACACAAGTCGAGTCTATGAAAACCCCTCATGCCCAGTATATGAAACCTGCACTTTACAGCATCAGAAAGCTTTAGGGTATTAAGTAATTGATTTAATTAATCAAGCAAGTAAGTTTTTTCCTCCTCTAGCCCCACTCTGAATGTGGAAAGGTTCTTATAAATATCCAAGAATGTGGAGACATGGGGTAGATCCATGAACCTAGAAAACCAAGGTGACTCATACAGAGGCACTAATGGGCAAACACCTGGGGTGCCCAGGTTTAGGCAAATTTGAGAGTTCTCGATATTTTTATTTTATCATAATCGGGTTCACTGATCCAGCAGACATTGGGCATGTTGATTTTCTTCCTAAACAGCCCCCAGTTTCCCTCCAGGGACCCACACCCAAGAGCTCTCAGAGAAGGGGTTCAGATGGGGCCCCACCCAGGCAGCAGGAACCCAGGGACCCACAGCCATGTGATTGGCTCAAGGGTTGACACATGACTCCACAGGAGCCAATGAGAATGCTGGAACCCAGGCGCCAGTTTTCTTTCTTTTCTTTTTCTTTTTTTAAACGGAGTCTCGCTCTGTCGCCCAGTGTGGAGTGTCAATAGCGCGATCTCAGCTCACTGCAACCTCTGCCTCCCAGGTTCAAGCGATTCTGCTGCCTCAGCCTCCTGAGTAGCTGGGACTACAGGCACATGCCTCCATGCCCTGCTAATTTTTTGTATTTTTAGTAGAGACGGGGTTTCACCATGTTAGCCAGGATGATCTCGATCTCCTGACCTCAGGTGATCCACCCGCCTCGGCCTCCCAAAATGCCGGGATTACAGGCGTGAGCCACCGCGCCCGGCCCGGTTTTCTCTTTTCTTCCAAGAGCGGGCACTGGTGCTGCCATCTTGTGAGCGCCTGGTGAGACTGGTGCTGCCGGTGGCCACAGGAGAAGCCCAAGAACAGACTCAACATGGAGAAGATGGGGACAAGAATTCGAGAGAGGCTTCAAACCACATCCTGATGACACTGTTGAGGCCCCTACATCCAGCTGCACCCAAAGCCTGCAACTTTGGCCAAATAAGGCAATAAATTATGTTAGAGCTTAACCTCGTTGGATATTCTGTCACTTGCAACCAAAAGAGACATAAGCTAATTTGTCTGGAAAATTAACAAAGCAGCACCACGTAACTTTAAAAGTTATTCTTTAGAGGCTCTTCTGGCAACTTTTCTATTTCTCTGGTCAACCACAGATGCAGTGACAGGCTCATCTGTCAGCGCTGGGGGGCGAGAGCCCTGGTATCTGACTCGAGTGGCTGTGGACCACCCGTCCTCTCTCTGGCCTCAGTTCCCAAGTGAGAGAGAGGATAGCATGGTCTTTAAAATCCCAGCTCCGTGTTAATTTGTTTGACTGTTGCAATCATGTTACTATACATATGTATATCAAAACATGTGGTACACCACGTGCACGCACACATACACATACACACACACACACACACACACACACACACACTAAATACATCACCAAAAAGAATCTAGCAGCTGGGGGATGGGGATGAAAACACTTATTATCTTGATTACAGTGCTGGTTTCCTGGGTACATATATCTGTCAAAACCCATCACATCGTATACTTTAAATACATGCAATTCATTGTCCATCAATTATGCCTCACTAAAGCTGGAAAGAAAAAACTATTTCTCAAATCTACAGATATCTATGGATATCTAGATGCATATAAGTTCTATAAGAAATTGAAAATGTAGCTGGGCGCGGTGGCTCATGTCTGTAATCCCAGCACTTTGGGAGGCTGAGGTGGGCGGATCACCTGAAGTCAGGTGTTTGAGACCAGCCTGGCCAACATGGCAAAACCCGGTCTGTACTAAAAATACAAAAATTAGCTGGGCATAGTGGCGGGTGCCTGTAATCCCAGCTACTCAGGAGGCTGAGGCAGGAGAATCGCTTGAACCTGGGAGGCAGAAGTTGCAGTGAGCCAAAATCCTGCCACTGCACTCCAGCCTGGGAGACAGGGCAAGACTCTGTCTCAAAAAAAAAAAAAAAGAAAAAAAGGAAATCGAAAATGTATAGTTTTTATTTTAATGGTAATGGAAAAAAATAAATGTAAGCATAATCTGGAAAAATAAATTTGTTAAATAAATTAAAAAATAGAATCCCACCTCCAGAATGATGTAATCTGTTATTTTAGTGACTGTGAAGACAGACCACAAATCTCATGGTAGCTACACAAACACACACACACACACACACACACACACACACACACACACACACACACAATGGCTCTTCCCCAGGATACCCCATTACCACACAGACTATTCCAGCTCCTCTCATTGGGGTCCGCCTGTCCCTGGAACCTGACAGCCAGGTGCCCCACTGGACCCTGCAACTGAGCAGAGGCCTCACCTGCTTACTTATCCACACAAAGTCCTGCCACCATGTTGTAGGAAGCCGGATGGAAGAGCAGAGAACATGGATACCTAAGTGTTCCACGCCTGGATTCCTGAGTTGCCACGATGGAAAGTTAAATTGTGAACTTCGAGAAAAAGAGTTCTCGTTTTTGTGCACAAGAGTAATTGCAGCAATAGCAGCACTTTACATGTGGGTGAGACTCAATATCTATCCAAGTGCGCTCCGGTTTTCCTACTCTGGTCATGTCTGGAGATGCAGCAACTCTAATACTAGTAACCGCTCAGCTTCCAAATATTTATTATGTGTAAAATGAGCTCAAAAGACATTGGGAAGGGTGTTAGAAAAACTCGATTCCTGATGTAAATTTTCTTAAACTGAGCAGGGTGGGAATAAAAGGATACTTCTTCAGGCCGGGCGCGGTGGCTCACGCCTGTCATCCCAGCACTTTGGGAGTCCAAGGTGGGTGGATCACCCGAGGTCAGGAGTTTGAGACCAGCCTAGGCAACATGGTGAAACCTCACCTCTACTAAAAATGCAAAAATTGGCCCGGCATGGTGGTATGCGCCTGTGATCCCAGCTGCTTGGGAGACTGAGGCAGGAGAATTGCTTGAACCCCGGAGGTGGAGGTTGCAGTGAGCCGAGATCATGTCGCCACACTCCAGCCTGAGCGACAGGGTGCAGTCTCAAAAAATAAAGGATACTTCTTCAACATTATACACACATTGTACACACATGCACCTACCCCGCATATCCCACATACCCCACGTGTTGTGTCTACACTGTGTATCCTACACAAAAGGAGCCTCATGCACGCAGAGTGGACACTCCAGCCTGTGTGTCCGTGCTCCCCTCATGCTCCCTGTATCAGCCACCTCACCCCAGCAAGGTGGTCTCTCCCAGACTCTAGCCATTTGGGCAGAGAATTCTGGGGTCCTAAAGTATCAGAAGTTGTCTAGGGCCAGGGCTGGGATGAGGGCAAGCAAAAGAGCCGCCCTGGGGAGCCCAGTTTAAGGGGGCACCCACTCACAGATTCCACCTCTGCGCCTGCACCATCTGGAATGTGAGTGCCTCCTTAAAGTTTGCACCTGGGGCTCTCTCTAGTCTGACCGTGCCCTGCTGGGACTTTTGTAAGCTCTGGGTGGACTCCACGCTCTCCTGGGGAGGGGCACAGCCAAAGGAGTTACAGAGCGTGGCTCTGTGAAGCACAGTCCCAGGGCAGCCCTCCACCCTGCCGGCCAAGCTTAAGGGCACTGCTGGCCCCCAGATACCACGTCCTAACCACCCTCATAAAACAGGGTTTAGAAACCGCAGCCCCAGCCGGGCGCCATGGCTCACGCCTGTAATCCCAGCACTTTGGGAGGCCGAGGCGGGCAGATCACCTGAGGTCAGGAGTTGGAGACCAGCCTGACCAACATGGTGAAACCTCATCTCTACTAAAAATACAAAAGTTAGCTGGGCGTGGTGGCAGGCCTCTGTAATCCCGGCGACTCGGGAGGCTGAGACAAAAGAATCTCTTGAACCCAGGAGGCAGAGATTGCAGTGAGCCGAGATCGTGCCATTGCACTCCAGCCTGGGCAACAAGAGTGAAACTCCGTCTCAAACAGAAAGAAAGAAACTGCAGTCCCCAAATACACATCTCAATCCCCGCCCCCACAACATTCCCCAAATACCCTTTCTGGGAGCCCCATTTTTGTTTTCCTGGGCAGAAGCCATCCTCCCTTTCCTCTGCTCTCCAAAACACAGCTCTTTTCAGGACCAGGCACCAGCAGCACAGGGGTTTCCTCCCATTTGGAAAAACAGAATGGCAGCCTCTTCTATCGCAGCCGGCTTCAAAGGCATGGGGACAAATGGATTTTTCCCGTGCTTCATTAATAGTCGCAGAGGAGCCCTTGCACCTCTTCCGTCCTGTTCTATTTCCAGGGATCTGTTTCTCCAGGTGCCTCTGACCCTCACCCCCAAGACCCCAAGGCTGGGGAAGCCACGGAGGAGGAGATGGCCCCTTGGGACTGACAGGACTTGGGGTTTTTCAGGAGGAGGACCGGGGTACACAACGCCCACGCAGTCAGCTGCTCCTGTCTCAATGCGACTCCTGATCACGACCTGGGTTTGTAAAATCCTATCCTTCCCAGGAACTTGAAGCCGCTCCTGTGTGTATCACTTTTATTTACCTGCCTAACAGTCACAGGGGGGTAATGCATTTTTAACTGCGATTTGTAGATGAAGGACAAGAACCGGTGAAGCCAAGGAGATCACGAGTCTCACGGGCCAGGTTCTGGTTGGCCGAAGACGCCAGGCGAAGATGTGAGGCAAAGGCCCTGTGTGTCTCTAGCATGTTTTAGTGAGCTGTTCTGGGACAGGCACAAATTGAGTTTTTTTAAAAAAACAATTCTTTTCTAAGCCAAATCCCAATGCCACTGTCATGGGACTTTTAAAAGCATTTTGCACCGTGACAGCAGTCAGGAGACAGAGGCTGGGGCTGGAGGCCTCGAGCCGGCCACAGGGGCCGAAGGGAGATGTCCAGGCGGGACACGGTCCCGATTGTGCTTCACCATTTTTAAGGGAGCAGACAATTATTTCCACTGGAATCCAACGAGGACTGAGATTTTCAATTTTCCTACAGCGCAGGAAGGAAATTGAGAGTTTTAGTTCTGGTTCATTCATTTCAGTTCAGAACTGCTCTCTGGCTGGAAAACTCCAACGGTTTTCTTCTGGGTGAATTTTTCTGCCTTCATTTCTTCCAACTCCCCATACATTGAGCTCCAGCTCTTTCTTTTGTCTCTTTTTTTTTTCTTCAGCCTCCAAACTGTTGTAAAATTATCCTTCTATTTGGGATTTATGATGTCTCCACCTTTCAGTAATCTTTCATCGGATTTTACTTCAGCCGTGAGAAAAGGGTGGTTGTTTCCAGACCCATGTTAAAATTTCCTTCATCACAATTTATGGACTTAGGGGTAAAAATGTCTATCCAAATTGTCCCTTGGTGGAACAGGAATCCGAAGTCACTTATGTAGTGCGGCACTGGTGTGTAGTGGGGAGCATAGCTGCCTTCCAAAGTCACTTAGGTAAACGGTGCTGTGTTTTGGGGGAGGAATAAGAAATAGGACTGCTCTGCAATGGATTAGTACATTTGCTTTAGATCCACACATATTCCAAACCCTGAGGCCATAGGCCACCCTTCATAAACCTCCAAATGCCTACCCCTGTGGAACCCCTGATCCTGACCCCCCAGAGCCCAGTTACCCCCCGACACAGAGCAACTCAACAAGGAAACATTCGTGCCATGCAACCTGGCTCCTGCCCATCAGAAGCCAAGTGAACAGTAGGAAAGACTTATTTCTCTTCATGCCAATCCTCTCCTTATTAAAAATATAAAATAGGAAAAGAGGATTTTTTAGAGGGCCTGGAGGTGGGAGAGGTAGGGTGGAAACTGTATTGCCAACAATTGCCATTTCCTGGAACAGAACCCCAGACCCTGAATGTCATTCTGCATATTGTCAAACCCATCCTTCCCTGGACCCAGCATTCCCTGGCAGCCACCCAATAGGAATACTGTCCTGTCCAGTCTTTGAAAACTTCCTTTAAAACACTCTTGGTGTTCTACTTAAATGTGAGAAGGTCACAGGTTGGCTGGCCTGGAAAGACAAAGAGAGGCTATTTAGGAAGGTTCATATCACTTCCCCCTCCAAGCACTCAGTGTCTCCCCACCAGCTCTGAAACAAAGCGTATCTGTAGTTCCTGTAGGGACACAACAGTCCACATTGTAGGCCCTTGACGCATCTGTTAAAGTGAATTAACCTGTGTTCATTTCCTTATTTGGAAAAATTAGCATAAAAATGTTTGCTCTGCCAATCTGGAACTGCCTGGGGGGGTGGCAAAGAGGCAATTTTGGTGACTTTTCATAAACACCAACTTTAACAAGATACCCTTTTGTCACCAGCTCAGTCATAGTGTGCTGCAGTGAGATACTGCTGCATAACAAACAAGTCTAAAACATAGGGACTTAAAATAAGAGCCCTTTTAGGCTGGGTGCGGTGGCTCACGCCTGTAATCCCAGCACTTTGGGAGGCCGAGGTGGGTGGATCATGAGGTCAGGAAATCAAGACCATGCTGGCCAACATGGTGAAACCCCATCTCTACTAAAAATCCAAAAATTAGCCGGGCGTGGCAGCGGGTGCCTGTAGTCCCAGCTACTCGGGAGGCTGAGGCAGGAGAATGGTGCGAACCCAGTAGGCGGAGCTTGCAGTGAGCCAAGATCACGCCACTGCACTCCAGCCTGGGCGACAGAGCGAGACTCCATCTAAAAAATAATAATAATAATAATAAGAGCCCTTTTATTATATTTCACAATTCCCTGCATGCAGAAGCCAGGCAGGGCTTGGCTGGGTGATTCTTCTGTTCTATGCTATCAACAGAGATCATTCAGTAGTACCTCACTAGCTGATAGGCTGGTCTAGGGTCCAAGATGGCTTCATTCATACACCTGGCACCTTTGGGAGGATGGCTGAAAGGCTGGACCCTGATGCATTGTCAACTGGAAGGTCACATGTGGTCACCCCAGCATGGCAGGCACAGGATAATTGGTTTTCTTACATGATGGCTCAGGGCTCCAAGTGTGAGTGTTCCAGTGAACAAAGTAGATGTTTCATGGCCTTTTATGACCTAGCTTTGGAAGTCATATGGAGGCACTTCCACGCTAGTCTATTGGTCAAAGCAGTTCAATGCTGCCTAGTTTCCAGAGAAGAGCACCTACCCTCCATCTCTCAATGACAGGAATGTCTAAGAATTTGTAGATATGTTTTCAAAAGATCAGAATTTTTAGCATCACAGATAATCACAGTAATGCCCAACCTTTGTTCCATTTTTTCTTTTTCCTTCTTTTTTTTTTTTTTTTTAATTTGAGATGGAATCTCACTCTGTCACCCAAGCTGGAGTGCAATGGTGTGATCTCGGCTCACTGCAACCTCCACCTCCCAGGTTCAAGCGATTCTCCTGCCTCAGCCTCCCAAGTAGTTGGGATTACAGGTGCCCACCACCACGCCTGGCTAACTTTTGTATTTTTAGTAGAGACGGGTTTCACCATGTGGGCCAGGATGGTCTCAATCTCCTAACCTCAGGTGATCCACCCACCTCAGCCTCCCAAAGTGCTGGGATTACAGGCACAAGCCACTGCGCCCAGCCTCTCTTTCTTTCATTCTCTTATTTCTTCTTTTTCTTCATTTATTCAATGATATTTACTGAGCAACTGCCAAGTGCTGAGCACTGGAAACATGGAGTCATGGGGTGAACAAGACCCTAGCTCCTGTCTGCTTGGAACGCAGAGTCTAGAAGAAGAAACAGATAATCAAATAATCTAATGATAAGTGTATCATTACAAATCAAGACCAATGCTCTGGGACAGAGATTGCCAAACTTTTCTATAAAGAGCCGGACAGAAAGTATTTTAGGTTGTGTGAGCTATACAGTGTCTGTTGTAACTACTCAACTCTGCAAGAAGCAGCCATAGGCAATACAAAAAAAAAAAAAATGAGCATCACAGTGTGCAAATAAAACTTTATTTATGCTGGGCACGGTGGCTCACGCCTGTAATCCCAGCACTTTGGGAGGCTGAGACAGGTGGATCACGAGGTCAAGAGATCGAGACCATCCTGGCCAACATGGTGAAACCCTGTCTCTTCTAAAAACACAAAAATTAGCCAGGCGTGGTGGTGCGCACCTGTAGTCCCAGCTACTCAGGAGGCTGAGGCAGGAGAATTGCTTGAATCCAGGAGGCGGAGGTTGCAGTGAGCCAAGATCACGCCACTACACTCCAGCCTGGCAATAGAGCAAGACTCGGTCTCAGAAAAACGAACAAACAAACAAAGAACTTTATTTACAAAAACAGGTGGAGGGCCAGATTTGGCCCAATGGATGTAGTTTGTTTACCTCTATTCTGGAGGAAAGGAACATTTTTCTATCAAGATGTGTAACAAAGAAGCTTGATGTACTTTGGGATGGGGAGTCTTTCCCTGAGGAAGTGACTTTTGAATAAGTAGGCGTTAACCAGGTGAAGGGGTGCATGGATGGTGGCAGGCAAGTGGAGGGAGAATCATCGAACACTGGAAAAAGTTTTAAAGAGTCAGTTTAGACAGAGGGGAGAAGGCTCAGGGGAAACTGCCAAGAAATGAGACTGGAGAGAGGTAGACTGTGGCCAAATCACACAGTAATCATGTTAAAATGTCAGGGGTTTTGATCTCAAAAGCAATGGAAAACCAATGAAGGATTTTAAGGCTTAAAAAAAATGATTTATGTGTGATTTTTTTTCCCTTAATTAGGACACATACTGACCTAACTGAATGGACTGGGGTTGCATTTTCTGGCAAAAAATGAGTTGAAGATGGGCTGGGCACAGTGGCTCACACCTAAAACAACTATAATCCCAGCGCTTTAGGAGGCCGAGGCGGGTGGATCACCTGAGGTCAGGAGTTCGAGGCCAGCCTGGCCAAAATATAGTGAAACTCCATCTCTACTAAAAATACAAAAATTAGCTGGGTGTGGTGGCCCACGCCTGTAGTCCCAGCTACTTGGGAAGCTGAGGCATGAGAATCACTTGAACCCAGGAGGCGGAGGTTGCAGTGAGCCAAGATCGTGCCACTCTACTCAAGCCTGGGTGACAGAGCGAGACTCCTATAAAAAATTCTCTTAAAAAAAAATTAAAGATGAGAGTGTGATGGCAATGCTGGAGAGATGAGGTATCACATTTTGGTGGTCTTTATAACCTCGCAGGAAGGTCACGGGAATAGTCACACATTCCAAGGGATCAAAAAGTGTGGAAAGTACTTTTTCACGCTATTATCGTGCTATTCATACATAAGGTCTTACTATTATTCAAGGTCGGTGCCCCAGAGGGATTCCTTGCATAATTAACTAATTGGTCTCACATTTCTTGCCGTGGATTTTGATTTTTTTTAAGTATTTGGCTCCAAAGGTTTTTAAACTATTCTGTTTCATGGTGTTAATTTTTCCATTGTCTAGACAGCTGGAGAGTCAGATAGGATTATCAAGAGGAAACAGCCGATTTATGACCAAAAGTCAACCTTTTCAGCCAATGGAATTTACATATTAATGACATTGTGGCAGCTGTCATAAGAAAACTTGTAAAAACCAAACCTTTCACATTTGTGCATTTCTGAAACTGGCATTGGGCAGATGTTTTGCATTTTTAATACACATGAAAGACCCTTTAATAAAACCACGGAAGAAAGAGATTGATGAGCGTGTGCCTGGTGGTGGGACAGTGGCAGCTCAAGTTTAAAAGACACATCAACCAACTTTCTGGAATCTTATAAGACATAAGATGAAAGGGGCCCAGGAGTCCTATGGCCACTTTTCAAGCTTTGACAGAATCAAAATACAGAAAGATGAGCCCATTAGAGCTGGGTCATAAAACCAAATTCAGAGTAAGAGGGAGCCTCAGAGGCCACACTGCTTCCTGGTTGTACCTGCTTCCACATTCCTCCCAAATGGGCAATCCACTTATGTAAATATCTCTGTTGACAAGGAATTCACTGACTTCCTAAATGAAACAACTTCTTCCTTCTATAGACTCACTGTCTTCTTTGAAATTCTTACTCACTGGTCCCAGATCTGGCCTCTGAGGTCAGTAGGATATGCCTGGCCCCTCACATAGTGTTCTACTGTGATACCCTCTGAAACAGGTAAAATATTCTTAGTTTCATTCACAATTTGTCTTAAGACACAGCCTTTTCATCAAGAAGACCCTCTCGGTTGGCACTGAGTTTGGCTGCATGGATGGACACTTGCGCCCAGTGGTTGCCACTCTCCTGCTAAAAACTTCACTTTGTTGTCCATTGCAACAGGATAAACTCCAAACTCAGTAACCCAGACTGACATTATGCATGTGAAATAGGCTGCAATAGGCTGCATAGTAAGTGCTCCATAAGCATTAGTTCTC
Organism: Homo sapiens; assembly: GCF_000001405.40. NCBI lineage: Eukaryota > Metazoa > Chordata > Mammalia > Primates > Hominidae > Homo > Homo sapiens. The sequence continues at coordinate 124,110,229 of NC_000012.12, read as the reverse complement.
ATCCATTCAGTCATGTATTCATTCATTATGGCATGAATGTGAACTAACAAGGGATTCTCTTTCTTATAAAATGAGTTTAGGCAGTTACTTCATGATCCTATCAATATCTCAGGCCCCTTCTATCTTTCTCCCTCCCTATCTATTATTGAGAATGTCCCTTCAAAGTCACAAGATGGCCGTTCCACCTCCAGCCTCATGTCCCTGCTTGAAGCAAGAAAAAACAGTGACAAAAGGAAGAAGTGTTGCTTAAATAAGGAAAGCAAAACAATCTCAGAAGGCGCCTTTGGCTTTCCACTTACAGCTGATTGGCCAGAGCTGTGCCATGTGATCACCCCTAGGCACAAGGGAGCCTGGGAAATGTAGTTTCACTAGCTAGAATAGGGAAGAACGATGTTGGGTAGGCAACTAGTAGTTCCATGTTTGCTAAAACCTCTTCTGATAATATGCCTCTAGAAGTCAGGGGTCCAGAATTGGGCAACATGTCCCAGACATGGTCTACACAATCAGAATATAAAAATGAGATGGCTCGGCCGGGCGCGGTGGCTCACGCCTATAATCCCAGCACTTTAGGAGGCAGAGGCGGGCGGATCACGAGGTCAGGAGATCGAGACCATTCTGGCTAACACGGTGAGACCCCGTCTCTACTAAAAATACAAAAAATTAGCCGGGCGTGTTGGTGGGCATCTGTAGTCCCAGCTACTCAGGAGGCCGAAGCAGGAGAATGGCATGAACCCGGGAGGCAGAGCTTGCAATGAGCCGAGATCGCGCCACTCCAGCCTGGGCGACAGAGCAAGACTCCGTCTCAAAAAAAAAAAAAAAAAGAGATGGCTCCTAACTCTGGACTTGGATTAATTCATAGGGACTTGGACTGGAATTCCAACTCTAGTATTTACTACCTGTGTGACCTTTGTCAATTTACTTCTTCTTTCTAAATACCAGTTGTTTCATTTATAAACTGAAAAGAATCGTGAAACGTTGCAAAGCCACCATGGGAATTAAACAAGATTGATTATAATCAATGACTAGCACATAGTAGGTACTCAATACATGTTCGTTTTCTTCCTTTATCTGGATCCAGACAAACTATGTCCAGGAAGTGGCACAGGAACTTCCTTGTTTGGTTGCATCTTTTCTCTTAATTTGGCACCAACTCCTGTCCTGTCATCATCTCTCCTCTATTTCTTGTTGAACTGTCTCATGGGAGCTGATAGTTAAATTTTCAGAAATTTTGCAAGCTGGCTACTAAGCACAACCATTAATCAAAATTTAATAAATATAAACTTAAAATGAAGTTATATTAAAATGAAGTTATATTAAAATAAAGGTAATAAATACTGAAAACTCATGTCTTCATAATTATTTTACTACATTTTATTATTACTTATGCTTCTGAAGTTATTTACATCTATGGTATCTGACTGGTAGAAATATTATATATTTATAGTATTTCTACCAATCTATTTATTCAATCCACTATTTAATTCATTATGGAGTGTGTGCTAGATGCAGCCCTTCCTAATTCTACACCCAGTGACATCACATTGCTAGCTTGAAGTTGACCTTGGTAGGTGCATTTACACCATGGAAACTGACAAATATTACAAATCAAAGGTTTGTTTATTGTTTTGTTTATTGCCTAGACTTAAGAAAGACATGGAAAATATGACAATACTACAGATGAAACTTTAAAATATATCATGTCTATAGCTGTCACACTGTGAATAGCACAAAAAATGTTGAAGAAATACTCTTCCAGTATTCCAAAACTATTATCCAATTCAACAAAGCCACTCACATCGCTGATGAATGCATGAAGTTTCAACACATCTTGGTAATTTCACTTTCATCTTTCTCACTAATGTAAACAAAAATACCAACCAACATTCACATGTAAACTATACTTGTCAGTCAATTACAACCATAGGTTGGGTATAGATGCAAGTTTGACAAAAATCAAAGAATGCATTCTATAAGAATTCATTGGGTATATGAAATTTATATTTAAAATATTATATATTTTATTATTATTTGCAAAGTATGTGCCACACTTTCTTTACATTAGTGAAACTTATAAGAGAAACACACACACACACACACATTCTCTCTCTGTCTCTCTCTCTTTCCCTCTCCCTCTCTCTCTTTCTTTCTGGAGAGCTGACTGTTATACAATTACCAGCACACTACTGGTTCTAAGTACAGCCATCCCTCAGTATCTGTGGGAGGTTGGTTCCAGGGCCCCCACAGACAGCAAAATGTGCAGATGCTCAGGTCCCTGATATCAAATGGTGTGGTATTTGCATATAACCTATGCACATCCTCCTGTATACTTTAAAATATCTCCAGATTGCTTATAATACCTAATACAATGAAAATACTATGTAAATAATTGTTATATTGTTCAGGAAATAATAACCAAAAGCTCTGTACATGTTCAGTACAATTTTTTCCTGAATATTTTCTATCCGAGGTTGGTTGAATCCCCAGATGCAGAACCCACACATACAGAGAGCTGTCTGCAGTACTAAATCTCATGCAGCCCAGCTCTGAGGCAAAATGATTCTGTGTCCTTTGCAATTTTTAGAGGAAGCTGATGATGTCACACAACCAATGGGATACAGAGCAGAAGCCCCCAGAAGGAGGTGGCCAACAGGGAGGAACTGGAATCTTGTTGAGAGAGGTATGGGCTTTCGCTGATGTTAGCTCCCGCCTCTGGGTGCATGTTTCTGTCAGGCCTCTGAGCCCAGGCCTGCACGAATACATCCAGATGGCCTGAGGCAACTGAAGAACCACAAAAGAAGTGAAAATGGCCGGTTCCTGCCTTAACTGATGACATTCCACCCTTGTGATTTGCTCCTGCCCCACCCTAACTGATGAATTAACCTTGTGACATTCCTTCTCCTGGACAATGAATATCAGAGCCTTCTCACCAGCACCTTGTGACCCCCACTCCTGCACCTTGTGAACAACCCCCTTTAACTGTAATTTTCCACTACCTACCCAAATCCTATAAAACTGCCTCACCCCTATCTCCCTTTGCTGACTCCCTTTTCGGACTCAGTCCGCCTGCACCCAGGTGATTAAAAAGCTTTATTGCTCACACAAAGCCTATTTGGTGTTCTCTTCACACAGACGGGCATAACAGTTTAATGGCCCCCATGTCCTTTGAAACGAAGGCAGAGAAGGAAGAGAAATGCCAGTAGGTCTTGCTGGTAAAATACAAAAGAAGCGATGTAAGACTGAAGCCTCACTGTGGCCAGTACTTCATCGCCTCACTTTGTCCCTGCTCTGCCCCATGATCACCACTCAACATGAGTTCACTGTGGCTTATCCGACTGGCTCAGCCCATTCCCAGGGCCTGTCCCCAAGCAAAGCTCAAACTAGACAGCCGGATTGATTTTGCCCTTTGTGAAAGGACTCTCAGGTAGGGTAGCTGTGTTGCACGTGAAACCCAGGAGTCCCAATGGCAAAGCCAGGTACAGAGAAATTACAATTAAACCCTGGCATGGGCAACTGGGCCGAGATGGGACACCCCAGTCCTTTGTTGCTTTGCCTGGTGCTCTGTGTGGGCACCAGAGACTTTGGGCGGCGCTGGTTTCATGGATGAATGACAAATACCCTCTAGCACGGCCCAGACAGAGCTCCACAGTGGGAGTTTCATCATCAGGTGTCACCAAATTTAGAAATTCTGTTGCCAAAGCTTTAACAAGCTTCCAGATGTAAGGCCTAAAAACAAAGTGCCGCCACACCTCTCCCCTGCCCCTTCCCCTCATCTCTATAACCCAGTTCAGGTTAGCCCTAGGATCTATACCCTAGATACTAAGGGACAGCACTAGCTGGATTTCCTAGGCAGACTAAGAATCCCTAAGCCTAGCTGGGAAGGTGACCGCATCCACCTTTAAACACGGGTCTTGCAACTTAGCTCACACCCGACCAATCAGGTAGTAATGAGAGCTCACTAAAATGCTAATTAGGCAAAAACAGAAGGTAAAGAAATAGCCAATCATCTATCGCCTGAGAGCACAGGGGGAGGGACAATGATCAGGATATAAACCCAGGCATTCCAGCCAACAAGGGCAACCCCCTTTGGGTGCCCTCCCATTTTATGGGAGCTCTGTTTTCACTCTATTAAATCTTGCAACTGCACACTCTTCTGGGCCGTGTTTGTTATGGCTCGAGCTGAGCTTTCACTCACCCTCCACCACTGCTGATCGCCGCTGTCACAGACCAGCCCTGACTTCCACCCCTCCGGATCCAGCAGGGTGTCCGCTGCACTTCTGATCTAGTGAGGAGGTGCCCATTGCCGCTCCCAATCGGTCTAGAGGCTCGCCATTGTTCCTGTGCGGGCTAAGTGCCGGGGGTTCGTCCTAATCGAGCTGAATAGAGCCATAATGCTCACCGCATGGCCCAAGATTCCATTCCTTGGAATCTGTGAGGCCAAGAACCCCAGGTCAGAGAACGAGAGGCTTGCCGCCATCTTGGAAGCAGCCCGCAGCCATCTTGGGAGTTCTAAGAACAAGGATCCCCGGTAACAATACAACTCACAACGATAATTTGCCAAGATGCGGATTCTTTCAAATCAGTGTGTTGGTTTAGTGTAAATCAGTCAAGACTCTTTATGGAATTTTTTCAGCCTTTGCAGAATAATTCTAAAATTCATCTGAAAACTTGCCCTGGCAAGAGTAGCTAACTTTAAAGAAGATGTAAGAGAGAGGGGATCTAGGTATTAAACTGTCCCCCCATGTATTAAAACTGTCTCAGTAAACTACACTTATAAAACTGCATTAATGACCAGGTGTGGTGTCTCATGCCTGTAATCTCAGCACTTTGCTCATGCCTGTAATCCCAGCATTTTGGGAGGCCTAGGCGGGTGGATCACTTGAGTTCAGGTGTTTGAGACCAGCCTGGCCATCATGGTGAAACCCCATCTCTACTAAAATACAAAATTAGCCAGGCATGGTGGCACACGCCTGTAATCCCAGCTACCCGGGAAGCTGAGGCCAAGAGAATGGCTTGAACCTTGAACCTGGGAGGTGGAGGTTGCAGTGAGCCAAGATCACGCCACTGCACTCCAGCCTGAGGGCGACAGAGGGAGACTCCGTCTCAAACAAACAAACAAAACACCCTGCATTAATAAATGTTAACAGTTGACAGAAATTCAAGAATTGATGTATGACAAAGGTAGTGTTAACTGGGGGAAAATACAAATTATTTCATGAATAGTGCTGGGACAATTGGGAGGTAGCAATTGGGGAAAATAAATGAATTTAGATTTTTACCTCAAACCATATACCAAAATAAATTACAGATGGTTAAAAGCGTAAACTAAAACTGTAAAAAATACAACAGTTCTTTAATCTTGGGGTATAGGAGGGCTTTATATGATTTAAGACAATGAAAGAAATTCACAAAGAAACCATCAAAAACAATAGACTGGCTAGATAATTTTGTCATTGACATTGAATCGAGAAGCATCATCTACAAAACCAATCCACTATATCAAATTAAGGGAAATACCTGAAACAAACACGACAAGGAGTTGATAGCCTTCATAGAGGAAGACTTCATACAAATACATGAGAAAACACTGTCTCTGGCCAGGCGCAGTGGCTCATGCCTGTAATCCCAGCACTTTGGGAGGCTGAGGCGGGTGGATCAGGAGGTCAGGAGTTCGAGACCAGCCTGGCCAATATGGTGAAACCCTGTCTCTACTAAAAATACAAAAATTAGCTGGGCCTGGTGGCACACACTGCAGTCTGAGGCAGGAGAATCGCTTGAACCCAGGAGGCGGACGTTGCAGTGAGCCAAGATCACGCCACTGCACTGCAGCCTGGACGACAGAACGAGACTCAATCTCAAAAAAAAAAAAAAAAAAAAAGAAACAGAAAGAAAGAAAAAAGGAAACGTCTCTTTGATAGGTAAGTGGGTAAAGAAAATTAAAGTTATTTCACAAAAAAGAAATATAAGAGTCAAACATATGGGGGAAAATGTTCAGTCTCTCTTCAAAACAAAAAAGCAAATTAGAATAATCTCTGCTCCATTGGAATAATTCTTCAAATCATCCAATTTGCAAAAGATGAAAAAGCCAAACTCCTCCACACTGTTGAGATGGCTGATTTAGGCTCTTTTATACACATAATGTACAGAGAAAGAAAGGTGGCAGTGTGTGTGTCAAGAACCTTTAAAATGTTCGGAGCTTTGATTTTGCCATTTGCTTTTAAGCATCTCTCCTGGACAAAACTTTGCGTATAAGGATGTTTATCACAACAGACAAACCTAAACACCTGTGAATAAAACAGCCATTCAGCACAATTCTTAAAGGCACCCTATGAATGAGGCAGGCATTAAAATTGTGACGTTTGGCCGGGCGCAGTGGGTCACACCTGTAATCCCAGCACTTTGGGAGGCCGAGGAGGGCAGATGGCTTGAGTACAAGAGTTCAAGACCGGCCTGGGCAACATGGTCAAACCCCGTCTCTACAAAAAATACAAAAATTAGCCAGGCGTGTTGGTGCACACCTGTGGTCCCAGCTACTTGGGAGGCTGGGGAGGGAGGATCACTTGAACCTGGGACGCAGAGGTTGCAGTGAACGGAGATCATACCACTGCACTGCAGCCTGGGCAACAGAGCAAGACACCATCTCAAAAAAAAATTGTGAAGTTATTAGAAACACAGAAAAGATTTGTAACATAACTAAGTGAAACATCCATCAATAGGAGAACAAATGGATAAACTTTTTACTTATTTGTTTATTCATAAAAAAAGTTATATTTATAGTTTGTTTAGTCATCCAATTGGATGGTAGTCAGCGACAGAGAACAAGCCTGCAGACCCAAGAAGGAACACAGGGGGATCAAAAAGGTACTGCTGAGTGAAGAAAGATGGCCACAAAACATCCTGCAGGATCCCATTGATTTGCAGTTCTAGAACTTCACAACTAATAGACATCAGAACAGTAGTTGCCCAAAGGTGGGAGGGGCAAACTGACTGCAAAAGGACTGGAGGGAACTTTATGGGGTGCTGGAAACATTTCTAAGTCTTGACCAGGGTAGAGGTTACACAGGTGTATTCATTTGTCAAAACCCATCACCCTGTACATTTAAAGTGGATACTTTTTATCATGTGTACATTATACCATCATCATGTTGGTATAAAATAAACTTTTTAAAAACTAAGTGACTCACTGAAATACCAATTAGGCTAAAAGCAGGAGGTAAAGAAATAGTCAATCCTCTCCCTCTCCCTCTCCCCACGGTCTCCCTCTCCCTCTCTTTCCAGGGTCTCCCTCTCCCTCTCTTTCCACGGTCTCCTTCTGATGCCGAGCCGAAGCTGGACGGTGCTGCTGCCATCTCGGCTCACTGCAACCTCCCTGCCTGATTCTCCTGCCTCAGCCTGCCCAGTGCCTGCGATTGCAGGCGCGCGCCACCACGCCTGACTGGTTTTCGTATTTTTTTGGTGGAGACGGGGTTTCACTGTGTTGGCCGGGCTGGTCTCCAGCTCCTAACCGCGAGTGATCCGCCAGCCTCGGCCTCCCGAGGTGCCGGGATTGCAGACGGAGTCTCGTTCACTCAGTGCTCAATGGTGCCCAGGCTGGAGTGCAGTGGCGTGATCTCGGCTCGCTACAACCTCCACCTCCCAGCCGCCTGCCTTGGCCTCCCAAAGTGCCGAGATTGCAGCCTCTGCCCGGCCACCACCCCGTCTGGGAAGTGAGGAGCATCTCCGCCTGGCCGCCCATCGTCTGGGATGTGAGGAGCCCCTCTGCCTGGCTGCCCAGCCTGGAAAGTGAGGAGCGTCTCTGCCCGGCTGCCATCCCATCTAGGAAGTGAGGAGCGCCTCTTCCCGGCCGCCATCACATCTGGGAAGTGAGGAGCGTCTCTGCCCGGCCGCCCATCGTCTGAGATGTGAGGAGCACCTCTGCCCTGCAGCCCCGTCCGGGATGTGAGGAGCGTCTCTGCCCGGCCGCCCCGTCTGAGAAGTGAGGAGACCCTCTGCCTGGCAACCGCCCCGTCTGAGAAGTGAGGAGTCCCTCCGCCCGGCAGCCGCCACGTCTGAGAAGTGAGGAGCCCCTCCGCCCAGCAGCCACCCCGTCTGGGAAGTGAGGAGCGTCTCCGCCCGGCAGCCACCTCGTCCGGGAGGGAGGTGGGGGGGTCAGCCCCCCGCCCGGCCAGCCGCCCCGTCCGGGAAGTGAGGGGCGCCTCTGCCCGGCCGCCCCTACTGGGAAGTGAGGAGCCCCTCTGCCCGGCCAGCCGCCCCGTCCGGGAGGGAGGTGGGGGGGTCAGCCCCCCGCCCGGCCAGCCGCCCCGTCCAGGAGGTGAGGGGCGCCTCTGCCCGGCCGCCCCTACTGGGAAGAGTGAGGAGCCCCTCTGCCTGGCCAGCCGCCCCGTCCGGGAGGGAGGTGGGGGGGTCAGCCCCCCGCCCGGCCAGCTGCCCCGTCCGGGAGGGAGGTGGGGGGGTCAGCCCCACGCCCGGCCAGCCGCCCCGTCCGGGAGGTGAGGGGCGCCTCTGCCCGGCCGCCCCTACTGGGAAGTGAGGAGCCCCTCTGCCCGGCCACCACCCCGTCTGCGAGGTGTACCCAACAGCTCATTGAGAATGGGCCATGATGACAATGGCGGTTTTGTGGAATAGAAAGGGGGGAAAGGTGGGGGAAAGATTGAGAAATCGGATGGTTGCCGTGTCTGTGTAGAAAGAGGAAGACATGGGAGACTTTTCATTTTGTTCTGTACTAAGAAAAATTCTTCTGCCTTGGGATCCTGTTGATCTGTGACCTTACCCCCAACCCTGTGCTCTCTGAAACATGTGCTGTATCCACTCAGGGTTGAATGGATTAAGGGCGGTGCAAGATGTGCTTTGTTAAACAGATGCTTGAAGGCAGCATGCTCCTTAAGAGTCATCACCACTCCCTAATCTCAAGTACCCAGGGACACAAACACTGCGGAAGGCCGCAGGGTCCTCTGCCTAGGAAAACCAGAGACCTTTGTTCACTTGTTTATCTGCTGACCTTCCCTCCACTATTGTCCTGTGACCCTGCCAAATCCCTCCCCCTCTGCGAGAAACACCCAAGAATGATCAATAAAAAACAAAACAAAACAAAACAAAATAATAATGGAAGAAAACATGCCAAAAAGTAAACAATTGTGGTTGCTGGACAGAGAGAAAAAAAAAAAAAGAAATAGTCAATCATCTGTCGCCTGAGAGCACAGGGGGAGGGACAATGATAGGGATATAAACCCAGGCATTCGAGCCATTAGTGGCAACCGCTTTCGGGTCCCCTCCCGTTATATGGGAGCTCTGTTTTCACTCTATTACATCTTACAACTGCACAGTCTTCTCCGCCGTGTTTGTTCCAGCTCGAGCTGAGCTTTCACTCACCATCCACCACTGCTGATTGCCGCCGTCGCAGACCCGCCACTAACTTCCACCCCTCCGGATCCGGCAGGGTGTCCGCTGCGTTTCTGATCCAGCGAGGCACCCATTGCTGCTCCCGATGGGGCTAGAGGCTCACCATTGTTCCTGTGCGGCTCAGATTAGGGTTCGTCCTAATCAAGCTGAACACTAGTCGCTGGGGTCCGCGGTTCTCCTCCGTGACCAACGGCTTCTAATAGAGCTAAAACATTGACTGCATGGCCGAGGTTCCATTCCTTGGAATCCCTGAGGCCAAGAACCCCAGGTCAGAGAACAAAAGGCTTGCCGCCATCTTGGGAGCTCTAAGAACAAAGACCCGCGGGTAACAAGCCCAGGAAGTTGAGGCTGCAGTGAGGTATGATCGCACCACTGGACTCCAGCCTGGGTGACAGAGTGAGACCCTGTCTCAAAAAAAAAAAAAAAGAGAGACAAAAGAAAAAAAAAGCCGGGCGCGGTGGCTCACGCCTGCAATCCCAGCACTTTGGGAGGCCGAGGCGGGCAGATCACGAGGTCAGGAGATCGAGACCATCCTGGCTAACACAGTGAAACCCTGTCTCTACTAAAAAATACAAAAAATTAGCCGGCCTGGTGGCGGGCGCCTGTAGTCCCAGCTACTCGGGAGGCTGAGGCAGGAGAATGGCGTGAACCCGAGGGGCAGAGCCTGCAGTGAGCCGGGATCGCGCCACTGCACTCCAGCCTGGGCGACAGAGCGAGACTCCGTCTCAAAAAAAAAAAAAAAGAGGAGGGGTCTTGGTGACTTCTAGTCCGTACTAATCATCCTCTGCTGTCCCGTGTGTCCTCTGAATTTTCTGCAGGGAGCACACATTGATGTTATAATTATTAATCGAATCAGAGTCGGCTTCCTATGGGACACACGGCCCGAGGGAAGCTTCAGGCACAAAGGAGACAAGTCCATGAGTGCTTTCTGCTCCCCAGAGTCTCACAGCCAAGCCCCCGCCACCGTCGCAGCACTAGAGTGAGGCACATCCCCCCGCCACCGTCCCGGCACTAGAGTGAGGCACATCCTCCCGCCACCGTCCCAGCACTAGAGTCAGGCACATCCCCCCCGCCACCGTCCCAGCACTACAGTGAGGCACATCCCCTCGCCCCTTAGGGTCCTTCTGCCTCCCAAAGGCCAGCTGAGATCTTTCTGATGATCTGTAAGGTGCAATGTACATTTCAGACATTTCCCACAGAAAATGGAAACACAACAGCCCAAGCTCCCTGCCTGGATACTGTAGGGCCAGCCTCCTGAGTGGAGGTTGGCCAACCTGCCTGTGTCCTTGGAGGGTTAGGCAGAGTTGAGGCTAATGGGGGCGGGGATAGCTCTGGTATTTCAGCAAAATGTCACGCAGCTGGGAGACACTGAGGGGCTTCTAGATCTGAATTAGGAGCCTGGGGACCATGCTTTGCATGGCATTCCCGGGGAGAGCCCTTTGTAAGGGGTCGGATCATCCCAGCCCAGAGTTCCATGGGATATGGACTTGGTCCAAGCAGCCTTCAGTGGCAATCAGCTCCGAGCAGAAACCCAGCGGATCCGCAGGCCTAACGGCAGCTCCAAATTCTTCATTCCTAAAAGCTTTGGGGTGAGGAGTGGGGGTTATGATCTTGGCAAAAGCAGCTCAGTGTCAGCAAGCATTGCCCTGCAGAAAAACATGAATTCCTACAAAAGGGGCATTGTGTGAGCCACGGGAAGCCTCTATGGAGGCATCAATCTTGTGTCACCCAGAGATGTTTATTATGAAGACAGTGTCATGCAGCAAAGAGGTGGGGGCCGCAGGCAGGCATGTCCACCCTGGAGGCGGGTGACCGGGAAGGAGGACCCAACCCACATCCCGGGCTATTCATAAGCAGCCATTCAAGACGCTTGTTCGAGATCTCACAGGAGAAGGAAAATGAGGAAGCCAAGGGCAGAAAGATGGAGTAAGACCCTTTCTTTTGGCTTCCTTAGCAAGGACAAAACCTGAATCAAGTTCAGGATGACAGGAGGCGAGGGGCCCTGGTCAGGCAGGCTGTCGGGAGTTAGCAGCAACTCAGAATTCCTCCAGAGCAACCATTCCTGTCACTTACAGAGAACCCTGGGGTTGCTTCCCAGGGATAGGGAATTTCTCGGAAGCTTAGGACACTTTGTTCCTAAGTAAAGCTCTGACGGATTGGTAGGAAGAATGCAGCCTTTTTTCCTTTAAAGACAAAAAGACCCTGAATTTATCCTCACATCCAAAAGCCAAAGCTGAGATCCAAGGTGGATCTCCCACCCTCACACAAATGCAGAGTCAGCATCCAAAAAGGGCAAAGTCAACACTGCAGAGGCCGATGGGCAATTCCTGGAGGGTGATGCCCCTGAGTTAGGACCAGAGGCTGGAAGCACCAACATATGGTAAGTGGAATACCCAAGGGGATCAGGACTGAGCATCTGGACCAGACTGATGATCCAGGGCTGTGAGACACTCTTCCTTCTCTCCCTCCAACGAGAGCGTCAGGACAGCCTCAGCTGGTTGAGGACAGGTGTGCGCCCAGCGTCAGAAGTCTTAGCTCCAGTGCAGCCACGGCTGCTTCCTATCATGTAACGCTGGGCACTTAACCTCCCTGCGCCCCACCATCCTCACAGTGTCCTCAGCATTCATTGAGACAAGCCGTGTCAAAGCCTCTCAGAATCCATCAGAGGTCACACACGCAAGCGCCGCTGTTGTGTTTCCTTTGTTTTCAGCATCCAGCAAAGAAACAGTCCCCCATGGAACAGCATAAACCTCCAAGGGGAGCTTTGGTTTTTGCAAAATAGAAAGAGTCCTTTTAATAGCTCAAATGCAGCACCTTTCAGCCAGAGAGAAGCCAGCAGGCTTATGTTCTGAGAGCTGGATTTTTCCATTTGGGGGCATCGGGGTTTATTTGGAAAGAGAAAACACTGGGCTCGACTTCAAGCATCCTCATTTTACACGCCTGGCTCCAAGTAATACATTGTTTCAGTTTGACTTGCTGGCCTCCTTAGCCCAAAACAGGCTGAGCCGTACCACAGAAGGGAGAGAACACTGCGGAGGCAGAAAGGGAGAGAGTGGGTAAGGTATTTCCTGTCATGAAATCCAATCGGATGGAACTTTCAGCAGGAAAAGCAACACCTCCGAGGCCCACTTTTAAAAGGGGAACAGGGGAGAGAAAAGAAAGAAAAGAAACCTCTTGTGTTTGGCCCACGAAATGCCAAGATCTTATTTGTCTGAGTTTTGGGTCAGAAGCCAGTGAAGGAACATGGGGCTGCCCTCAATTTGGTGGCAACAGGAAAAAGATGGGGCTTGGATTTTGCAGAGCAAAAAGAAATAGGGCTGAGGTTTCTCATCTCCTTGTCTTCTTTCTTGGGGAGGGAAAGAAGAAAAATAGAGCCAGGCACAGTGGCTCACGTCTGTAATCTGAGCACTATGGGAGGTCCAGGCGGGAGGATTGCTTGAGGCCAGGGGTTCGAAAAAAACCAGCCTGAGAAACATAGCAAGACCCCATCTCTACAAAAAATTAAAATTAGCTAGGTGTGGTGGTGCACACCTATAGTCCCAGCTATTTGGGAGGCTGAGGTAGGAGGGTCGCTTGAGCCGGGGAGTTTGAGGCTGTAGTGAGCCGTGACCATTCCACTGTACTTCAGCCTGGGCAACATCCAAGACCCTGTCTCTAAACAAAGAAAGGAACAAAAGGCTCTGAGCTGGGAAGGACTGTTGATCAGTTGTTGTACGCTGCTACCAGCTGGCAGGCTGGCTCCCCTCACTAAGGGAGCATAAGGGAGGATTGCACACAGAGGTGAGAGAATGGAAGGGCCAGGCGTTCAAGGTCGTGAGGTTGAAGTCTAGATCAACCCACTAAACCTGGGAATGGCCTAGCCCAGCCGTGGCCCTCTCCTCCTTCTGGGTGAGACGGACAGACAGGAACAGGTAAGAGAGTCAAAATAAGAAGGCAGTGATGGTGGCTTTCCTAAACCTCTGTCTGAAGCTGAGGCACTAAGAAAAAATGTTGATTTCTCAGCACACTTGAGAGAGGAGCAAGAAGTGAGATTCTGAACAAGAGAGGAGGAATTTCTCCACGTTTGGGTTGAACATGAGGTTCTGGTGGTGCCCCTCAACGCTGATCTTAGAATCGGTGATTTGCAAAGGATGCTCCAGCCCCAAAAGATTTAGGGGAATTCAGAGAATATTCGCCCTTTCTGGATGGGTACGTAGACATGCTGGAACCACACCTCCTCTGAGGACAGTCTCTATCAGCAACAGTGTTGATGTTACAGACACAAAGTCTGGTCTAAAGTGAACTGATCCACGGAGAAAGGTAGGAAAGAAACCGCCCGTTTATCTCGTCAGGGTGGAGAGTCGAGAAGAGGGGAGAGCTCTGTCCAACAGCTGCCCCTGAGGTCCTTGGCAGGATTTAATTTAATTCCCCCCAGGACATCCTGGGATTCCAGTGAGGGCATCTGGAGGGAAGCCGTCACAGCCGGAGCGACCGTCACTAGGGGCAGCGTCCCTCCGGTGCCGGGAGCGCGCCAAGCTGGTGTTCCTGAATGCTTGGTCCAATTGTGTGTGTCTCCGAGGCCGTTGTGTGTGCAGGACCTCACTCCAGTGACCCACACTCCACTTGGCGGTGTCCACATCAGCAGGACGTTCACCAGCCTGAAGAGAAGTGGGCACTGTCCCCAGAGGGGGACACCATGAAGACCTGGGTTTTCCCTCTCTCACTCACTTACAGAAGCTTCCAAGCCACTATGAATGGAAACGACTCTCCCTGGCTCTCAGCTGTGTGCTGAGACACTTACATACCATTATTGAGTCTTCACAATACCTCGTAAAGGGTCCTGCCATCTTCCTACATTAGTTTGCTCCCATAGCCAAGCACCAGACTGAACAGCTTCAACTACAGAAATGACCTCCTCACTGTTGTGGAAGCTACAAGCCCAACATCAAGATGTCCGCAAGGCTGGTTCCTCCTGAGATCTCCCTCCTTGGTTTGTAGACACACAATCTTCCCTCTGTGTGTCTGTGTCATAACTAATCTCTTCTTCTTCTTTTTTTCTTTTGAGACGGAGTTTTGCTTTGTTGCCCAGGCTGGAGTGCAGTGGTGCGATCTCAGCTCTCCACAACCTCCGCCTCCTGAGTTCATGCCATTCACCTGCCTCAGCCTCCCGAGTAACTGGGACTACAGGCGTGCGCCACCATGCCCAGCTAATTTTTGTATTTTTAGTAGAGACGGGGTTTCACTCTGTTGGCCAGGCTGGTCTCGAACTCCTGACCTCGTGGTCCACCCACCTCAGCCTCCCAAAGTGCTGGGATTACAGGCGTCAGCCACCGCGCCCGGCCTCTAATCTCCTCTTCTTATGAGGACCCACGTCATGCTGGATGAGGGCCCACCCTAATGGCCTCATTTTAACTAAATCACCTCTTCAAAGACCCTGACTCCAGATACAGTCACATTACTGTGACTTAGGGCTTGAACATATGAATTGCGGGGTGACATAATTAAGCCCAAAACACCCCCTAAGGAAACTTGGGCTCACAGGGGTTAGGTCATCTCCCCAAGGCCACACAGCAAGTGAGTAGAGGTGCTGAAATGAAATACCCACCAATGTCTGGGTCTGTGACTAGCCATTGCCCTCAGCATGGAGCAGCAAAGCACCTCCTTGGCCTGACTTTCCAGCCCCCAACTCAAACTGGAAAAAGAGGTTGGTTAGGGTCAAAGAGCACAACACATTTATTTTTGCCTTTGATTTTCTATTCTTTGGCATTTGGGCTGCAATTGCTTTTATCTGGGCTTTGGGGACTTTCCTATCGTGGCCTCACTTGGCCTACATCCTGCCCATCCCAGTGAGCCCATGCCTCCCCACTCCTCTGTGACGTGTTCTGTGCAAACACACTCATTTTCCTCAGCCAGCTCCAATTTCCCCTTCTGCAGCAAGTCCTCTCTCCCCTCCTGACTTCCTAAACACCTGTTAGCTGTGCTGTCCTCGGAGGCACCCGATTCCCCTTCATTTGTGCTTTGAGACACCGTTTTGATGAGTGTGCTAATTGTTTAATTTATTTCTCACCTGTTCATTCTCTCCTGGTCCTCCAAGGTTAATTCCTGCCCTGACCTTAAATCTCCTTCCTGCCACTCTCGCGGCACTCTCTTCCATCAATTCACCCTCTCGCTCGTCGATCTAATCTCTCTCTCCACGTTAGTTCCCTCTCTTTGGATTACAAACTGCCCAAGTCTCTGCAGGAGAATGTATAATGATTTTTAGCCCCTTCCCTTTTTTCACCAGCATTGTCAACCCTCTGCAGCAAGCAGTCCTCACCTTGGCTTTCTTATGCCTCTACTGGCCCTGGTCCTTAAATATGCCTTCCCGCTGGGACAGTTCCGTGTTCTCTCTGTGTTCCCCATGACCTAGATACCACACCCAGAATGCCCTGCACAGACCTTGAAGAGCACCTGGCTTTACAAACAAAGGAGACAGCAACCCAGAATGCACAAAGGACTTGGCCAAGGTCGCGCCTATATTTAGTGGCACAGTCAGGCCTGGCATAGTGCTGTCCAGTAGCAAGAGAATGTGAGCTATGGATGCCATGTTAAATTTTCAAGTAGTCACATTTCAAAAAGTAAAGAGAGGTGAGATTAATTTAAGAAATAGGTTTCATTTAACCTGATATATCCCAAATCTTACCATCTCAGCATGTAACCATCATAACAAATTGTCACCGAGATCATTTTAGAGAAAAACACCTTGTTTTCCTCTAAGTTTTGAAACCCAGTGAGTATTTTACACTTCTAGCACATCTAGATTCACACTGGCCCCATCTCAAGTGCTCCATAGCCATGTGTGGCTGGTGGCTGCCAGGCTAGACAGCTCACCTCTAGTGCTTAAGTGCCAGACTCCCAGTCCAGTGCTCTCTCTCTCCCATGCCAAGCTTAGTGAGGCCCTTCTGGTCTCTGCTTGTCATGCCTTCCCCACTTGACTTCCCCACACAACTTGACCCTGGGCCATCGCCACTTCTGTCCACTCTCACCTCCCATGATCCTGCAACCCTGCATCCCTTGGGTTTTCGTGTTCACCCCTCTTCCTGCTGCCTTCCCTGACTCCCCTTTCCTCTTAACACTCTTAAAACGTGGGCATCCCTCAAGGTAAGTATATCAATGATAATAGTAATGATCTTCTCCATCACTATCATCACCATCACCATCATCACCATCACCATCATCATCACCATCATGATCACCATCACCATCATTATCATCACCATCACCACCACCATCATCATCACCATCACCATCACCACCATCATCACCAACACCATCACCACCATCATCATCACCATCACCATCATCACTACCATCATGACCACCATCACCATCATCATCACATCATCACCATCATCACACCACCATCACCATCACCATCATCACCATCACATTCATCACCACCACCATCACCATCATCATCACACCATTACCATCATCACCATCACCATCACCATCATCACCATCACAATCATCACTACCATCATGATCACCATCACCATCATCATCACACCATCACCATCATCACACCATCACCATCACCACCATCACCATCATCATCACAATCATCACTACCATCATGATCACCATCACCATCATCATACCATCACCATCAACATCATCACACCATCACCATCATCACCATTACCATCACCATCACCATCACCATCATCATCATCACTACCATCATGATCACCATCACCATCATCACCACACCATCACCATCATCACACCATCACCATCACCATCATCATGACCATCACCATCACCATCATCACACCATCATCACCATCACCATCATCACAATCATCACTACCATCATGATCACCATCACCGTCATCACACCATCACCATCACCATCATCACACCATCACCATCATCATCACCATCATCACCATCACCATCATCATCATGATCACCATCACCATCATCACCATCACCATCATCATCATGATCACCATCACCATCACTATCATCATCACCACCATCACCATCACCATCATCATCACACCATCATCATCACCATCATCACCATCATCATCACCATCACCATCATCACATCATCACCATCATCACCATCACCATCATCATCACCATCATCATCACCATCACCATCATCATCACCATCACCATCATCACATCACCATCATCACCATCACCATCATCACCACCATCACCATCATCCATCACCATATCCACCATCACCATCATCACCATCACCATCATCACCATCACCATATCCATCATCATCACCATCATCACCATCATCACCATAATATCCATCATCATCATCACCCTTACCATCATCATCATTGTCATCATCATCATCACCAGTGCTGATGTTATATTGAGCCATCTACTGTTATTTTTTTTATTTTATTATTTATTTATTTATTTATTTTTAGATGGGGTCTCGCTTTGACACCCAGGCTGGAGTGCAGTGGCGCGATCTCAACTCACTGCAAGCTCCACCTCCCATGTTCACACCATTCTCCTGTCTCAGCCTCCCAAGTAGCTGGGACTACAGGCGCCTGCCACCATGCCTGGCTAATTTTTTGTATTTTTAGTAGAGACGGGGTTTCATCGTGTTTGCCAGGATGGTTTTGATCTCCTGACCTTGTGGTCCACCAGCCTCAGCCTCCCAAAGTGCTGAGATTACAGGCATGAGCCACCATACCTGGCAGAGCCATCTACTGTTCTAAGTGCTGCCATGTCATAATTCATGTAAAGCTCACAGCCACCTCAAGAGGAAGGCACTATTATTGCCCTTCGTGTATTAGGTTCCTTTTGCTGCTGTTAACAAATTACCACAAGCTCAGGGACTTAAAACAACATAAACGTATTATCACTGTAGTTCTGTAGATTAGAAGTCTGATGTGGGCCTCACTGGGCTAAAATTAAGGTGTTAGCAGTCTACACTCCCTTCTGGTGCCTCTAGGAGAAAATCATTTTCTTGCCTTTTCCAGCCTAGAGGCTGCCTGTATTCTTTGGCTCATGGCGTCTTTTTTCTTCAAAGCCAGCTACAGCAGTTGATTCCTTCCCTCATCCCATCTCTCCAATCTCCTCTTCTGGCTCCTTCTATTTTTTAAGGACCCTTGTCATTACATCAGGCCCACTAGGATAATACAAGATAACCCCTCACCTTAAAATTACCTGATTAACAACCTTTTAATTCCAGTAGCCATATTTTAAAAAGTAAAAAGAGGTGAAATTAATTCAATGAATAGGTGTCATTTAACCTGATATATCCAGTCTTACCATCTCAACATGGTAAGATTGCTGTTAAGCAATCTTAATCAATATAACAAATTATTAATGAGATCATCTATATTCTTATTTTCCCTAAGTGTTTAATTCCTTTATCCAACACTTTACTGGGTAACCTAACGTATTCACAGTTTCTGTGGATAAGGACATGGACCTATGTGGGGGGACATTATTCTGCCTCCCACATCCCACTTTACAAATGGGAAAAAAAAAGAGCAGTTAAGTAACTCATGTGAGGTCACATGCTTAAATCCCATGGACTTTCATTCCTTGACATCTTTTAGACCCAGCTCTTCTCTGTTACTCCCACCACCGAGATCCTGGTGCAGACTCTGTGACCTTAGGCTTCTTACTGGTCTTGGCTCCCTCCACACCAGTACACCCACCAAAGCCGTTCTTTCTGGCTCCCAGGCTTGTTTGCAGCCATTATTTCCTGGATGCCTTATGCTGTGTTAATGGATTGATTCAGAGAATATGAAGAAGGATGGCCTCTCTGAAGTATCATTTAGCTGAAATAAATGTTGTCGGCAAACAATTTGATTGAGATGTTATGCTCTCCATGAGCTATGCACACACGTGGATTTGGGCTCTCATAAGAGATTTTTCATCCTCACCTTTCCCCGCTCCTG
The DNA here is from genome assembly GCF_000001405.40 of Homo sapiens. Lineage (NCBI taxonomy): Eukaryota > Metazoa > Chordata > Mammalia > Primates > Hominidae > Homo > Homo sapiens. The sequence continues at coordinate 124,090,922 of NC_000012.12, read as the reverse complement.
ACAAGGGCAGCCTTAGGTGAACTGTGCTCCTCACTCATGGCAACCATCCCATCCTGCAGCCAAGAGAGACACTGCAGCTTGTCTTGAAACCATCAAGAACTGTCTCCCAGGCAGCCAGGCTTCCTTTGTTTTTATAGACAGCCTGTTCAGAAGGAGACAGAAAGCTTTGAGCCCATTCACTTTCTGCAGCTGAATGTTCCAGAAAGTTCTACATGGGACAAACTGTGGTCGGCAGTCTTTTCTAGCCTCTGTGGCTCCTCCTTCTTATCCATTGGTTTGGAAGCTCTCGGAGCCCCACCTGGATGGATGAACAAGGCATTGCTCTCTCTCCTGCTGACTCCAGCTAGTTCCTGGGGAAGAAAGTAGAGACAAGTGCAAAGAGAGCCCAGATCAGCCCAAGCCCCTGTCTGAGTGCCCCTGTCATATCAGGCCTGGGTCCCCAGACCATGGTCTCCTAACCAACTGTCCCATGCTCCATGCAAAGCCACCGTTAGAGGTGAAAAGGGCGAGAAGCTGCACATTCACTGAAGTGAAGTCATCAGAGCACCCACAGATCCAACTTCTCAGCCGGACAGGAAAACATGGAGTCCATCTACTTCCCAGCTTACCAGCAAATTCCATGCTGGTACCAGCCCCGGCCAGGTGACCAGGCCAAGAGACTGAAGAGAGGGCTCCCCTGGCCCCTGCAGGAACCAAGGCTCCCTGAAGCTCAGCCAGCCTGCAATGACCCACGTCACAGAAGGCTGCCCACCTGACAGCCATGTGCAGATTGACCACGGAATGCATCTCCATGCACAGTTGGAACAGCTTTCTCATCAACTCTGTAATCACAGCTCTGCACCAAGAGCAAGGCAAGTCCATCTCAATTTCATCTCCTTTCACTCATAAATGAAAACAAATGGAGACTGAATAAGACAAAGGACATGTGAGCACTTCAAATGGTGCCTAGCAAGGTCAGGACCCCATTCTTCAAACTCCCCTTTTCTCCCATAGGTGTGTCTGGCGGGAGGACCCGGGGCCCTGTCACATGACTCAAAAATGAGCAAATGGAGAAAAGAGGGCGCCTCTATCTGGAAGAAAATACATATTAGATACATGTTCTTTGAGCAAGTTAAGAAGCCTGAAAATGGAATAAGCTTACATGAAAGAGTGAGCACTAGAAGCTGAAGGGCTTGACGACAGAGGCATACCTGTGTCTGTGCTGATTTCCTGGTTGTGACATGGCGCTATTGTTGACATACCTGTGTCTGTGCTGATTTCCTGGTTGTGACATGGCGCTATTGTTGACATACCTGTGTCTGTGCTGATTTCCTGGTTGTGACATGGCGCTATTGTTGACATACCTGTGTCTGTGCTGATTTCCTGGTTGTGACATGGCGCTATTGTTGACATACCTGTGTCTGTGCTGATTTCCTGGTTGTGACATGGCGCTATTGTTGACATACCTGTGTCTGTGCTGATTTCCTGGTTGTGACATGGCGCTATTGTTGACATACCTGTGTCTGTGCTGATTTCCTGGTTGTGACATGGCGCTATTGTTATGTGAGATGCAACTATGGGGCAAGCTGGGTGCAGAGTACACGGGGACCAGCTCCACTACAGATTTTTTGCAACTTTTGTAGAGTCTATACTTATTGCAGGCCAGGTGTGGTGGCTCACACCTGTAATCCCAGAACTTTGGGAGGCCAAGATGGGCAAATTACCTGAGGTCAGGAGTTCAAGACCAGCCTGGCCAACATGGTGAAACTCCGTCTATACTAAAAATACAAAAATTAGCCAGGCATGGTGGCAGGCACCTGTAATACCCGCTATTCAGGAGGCTGAGGAAAGAGAATCACTTGAACCCAGGAGATGGAGGTTACAGTGAGCTGAGATCGTGCCACTGCACTCCAGCCTGGGCGACAAGAGCAAGACTCTATCTCAAAAAAATAAAAAAATAAAAATGTAGATACTTATTGCAAGATTAAAAAGGTTTTTTGTTTTGTGTTGTTTTGTTTTTAGGTAAAGGACTTATGGTTGAAAGAGGAGGAGGTCAGGAAGAGGAGGAAGGCAGAGAGGGAGGGCAAGAAGAGGATGGACAGAGCCAAAGAGGCAAGAGGGGTGCAAAGGCAGAGAGGAGGAGAGAGGTGAGAGGAGAAAGAGAGACACTGCACTCTACCACTGGGTCACATATGACACACTTGGGAGCGACATTTCTTGGTGGAGCACGTGAGGCAGCCTGCTGATGCTGGCTTTGGTCCTCTTTGCTCTAGTCTGCATCTATCAGTGGCTTCCAACCAGTCTGAATTAAAACGTATCTCCAAGAAGCCGCTTGGATGAGCGGATTTTCTTTTGATTATTTATTCTGGACCCACACCCAGTGGAAAAAATGCCTTCTACGGCATTCACCTCGGCTCCAGGGCCTGTTTTATTGGGAGAGCAATTGAAAATGATAGCAGCATTACATGCAAATTCTACTTGGCAGCTCTCTGACTCCAAGGCAGCGGGGCTCCATATTCCATATGTCCGGCCACGTGCAGGGAGCAGCTGCCCAGGTGCAGGCCTGGGCTCCCGGGGTCTGAATCCACACGGCGAAGAAGCTACTGGGTTTCTTCGTTGTTTTCCAGTCATGAGGTGGATTATCCAAAAAGCTCCTGGACCGACTTCCAGCAACACCGATCTGAGAAGATTAGTTCCAAATTCCTCAGCACAAGGTGAAACATTTGAATGTTCTCAGCAGAAACTAGTTTTACATGACTTAAAAGAACACAGGCCATGGTGACCCAGGGGCTCCGTGTCGTGAGCAATGAAAAATATTTATTCCAAAGCTCCATTTCTCATTTAAAAAAAAAAATGCTTTTAAGCCTAAGGAGACATACATTTCCCTGACAGTGTGGAACAGAAAAAGGCAGCAGTACCCAGCCTTAGCTCTCAGATCCTATCCGCAAGGTAAATAAAGCATAAATTAACCAATTACAATAAAATACCAGATAAATGCCTTTGACAACTCTGAATTTCCCATGAAAATGCTTCCAGCTGTGACCCCTGGCTTGCAATGCACGGGCTGAAGGAGGCTGGAGTTTGTATATAAAGGATGTTTCAAACACACAGTCCCAGACAAGGAATCCTATACTATGGGCCAGCAGGAGCTGGGTCTCCATCTTCATGTCCCATGGGGCCTCTGCCTCTCTCCGACAGAATTGGATAGAAGCAACCGTTTTAAAAGTCACTGGCAAGGAGAGATAAGCCTGGATAGTTCCAGCGCTTCCTATTACTACACATTAATCAGAAATCTGCTTTTCATACATTGGAAATAGAATCCTAAGGATGAGGCCAAGAGATTCCCAAGGGTAGCAACCTGGATCTGGTGACAGTAATGGTTCCCTGGACAGAGGACAAGAGGTGGAGAAGGAGCCCGAAGGGTGGGTGGGCCCGTATTTCTTTCTTGTAAATAAAGTTTTATTGGCGCACAGCCATGCTCATGTGTTTACATACTGCCTATGGATGCTGTCTGGAAGGGCAGAGTTTTGTTCTGACAGAGACCATATGGCCTGCAACACTGAAGATGTCCACAACTTATAACATGGGGAGCCAAGAGACTGCCTGTCACGGCTGGAATTGGAAAGGGACGTGGCAAGGCACAGTTGGAAGTTGCAGAGGAGGTTAAAGTAGCAATACGGCCAGGCTGGCCCAGGCACGGCGGGGTGATGAACAATGGTGTGACAGCTCAATCCTTACACCATCTGACACCACTGTGCTAGCTACCTGTTCTGCATAAAGAACCACCATAGGCCAGGGCAGTGGTGCACGCCTGGAATCTCAGCACTTTGGGAGGCTGAGGCAGGAGGATCGTTTGAGGCCAGGAGACCAGCCTGGGAAACATAGTGAGATCCCATCTCTAAAAAAAAAAAATAAAATTTAGCCAGATGTGGTGACGCACACCTATGATCCCAGCCACTCGGGAGGCTGAGGCAGGAGAATTACTTGAGCCTGGGAATTCAAAGCTGCAGTGAGCTATGATTACGCCACTGTACTCCAGCCTTAGCAACAGAGCAAGACCCTGTCTCAACAACAACAACAAAAATCATCAGAAGACTAGGTATAGTATGGCTGGGTTCTGTGCTTAGGGCCTCACAAGGCAGAAATTGAAGCTGCTCTGTGGTCTGAAGCATGGAGTCCTCTTCCATGGTCACATGGCTGAGTCAGAATTCGGTTCCTTGGGGCTGTAGGACCTCAGTCCTTGTTTCCTTGGTGGTTGTCAGCTGGGGGCCACCCTCAGTCCCCAGAGGCCACCCACAGCTCCTTGCCATGTGGCCCCTCTATCTTCAAGCCAGCAACAGGGCACCTCTCACACTTCAGATCCCCCTTGTGCTTTGAATCTTTGACCTTCTCCATGGCTGCCCTCCAGCCGCAGGTGTAAAGCACTCCTGTGATTAGGTCAGGCCCACTCAGGCCCACTCCCTATCTTAAAGTCCAGTGATCTGGGCTGTTATCAGCTGCACCCAGAACCGTGTTTGAGAAGTGCACGGGAGCGGGGAGGTAGCTGTGCACCAGGGGCCAGACTCTGGGCCATTTTATAATTCCGTCTACTACTCCATCCTTCATCGCAGCAGGTCAACAGACAATATCTGAGGCTGATAAACTCCAAATAACCACAGCAGCTGTCATTCAGAGGCATGGGGGCAACCTCCAGAGCCAAAGCCTAAAACTGCTCAAAGGAGGTTTTACCTTCAGGGAGCAGGCAGGAGCTGGAGGCGAGAGGTAGCGCGAGGAGCTGTGCCTTCACTAGACCACTATTCTAGGCAGTTTGGTTTTTTTTTTTTTTTTAACTATGCGCATATTTTACTATGATAATGATTGTTTAAAGAGTGCAAAGAAAAGAAATCAGCCCTATTGGACTTCTTGCCCTGGAGGTTCTTTTCTTGGGTTTCTCATTGGTTAAATCCCCTCTGCCTCCCTTATTTTCTCTACTCCAAGAGTGCTTTTTCCTCCTCCAGACCCATGCTCCAGCTCCCGCACCTCCCTCAGGCTCAGGTTCCCTGATACCTTGCTCCCTCAGACAGGCCTTGTTCATCCACCATCCACAAGCTCTCTGTGTCCGTCTAGGCTGCCCCAGAAGCAGACACCGAGATGAGAGAGTGAGTGCAGGTGTTTATTGGGGAGGTGACCCCAGGAAGCACCAGCCAGGTTGCAGGGAGGGGAAGGAAGTCACTAAGGGTGTGTGTGCAGGCAAATACCACTGAGGGGGCAACTGGAGCTCGGCCCCACCTAATTCACACCCCGGAGTTAGCCCAACCACGGCTGAGGACACAGATGTATTTATCGTTGTTGGTGGAGGCTGCGGCTGGGGCATCAGCTCTCTGGCCTGCCACGTGCACACAATGGGCGGCTGCAAAGGGAGCTCTCTGCCTTCCACACATGGACATGGGTGCCGAAGAGAACACAGGCAGCAGTGTACCTGCAGCCCCCATCACCCTGTTCCCCCAGTCCAGCGTCACCTGGAACAGCCGTGGCACTAGGGTTTGTGGACCCCGGTAGTTATTTCCTGTGGCTGCTGTCACAAATGACCACAAACTGCAAATTTAAAACAACAGAGCCTAGAAGTCCAAATCCAGGTGTGAGCAGGGCAGGGCTGCCTCTGAAGGCTCGAGGGGAGGATCTCTCCCCATCCCTGCCAGCACATCACTTCGGTGTCTGCCTCGGTTGTCACATGGCCTTCTTTTCTGTGTGTCCAAATTTCCTTCTTTTTATAAAGACAAAGTCATTGGATCAGGGCCCCCACCAAACCCATACAACCCCATCTTAACTCAATCACATCTGCAAAGAGCCTATTTCCAAGTAAGGTCACATTTGCAGGTACCAGGGGTTAGGGCTCGACTGTAACTTGCAGGAGCACGCAATTCAACCCACAAGCATTGACTCGGGCCAGGCTCTATCCTAAGTGCTTTATACGCATTCACTCATTGAGGTCTCACACAGCACCCCATGAGTAGGTACTAGTATGGTCCCTGATTTACAACTGAAGCCCAGAGAGGTGAAGTAATTAGCCCAGGGTCACACAGCTAATCAGTGGCAGAGCCCAAAACCCAAACCCCACCAGTCACACCCACCCCAGCTCTAACTACTGTGCACACTGCCTCTCCAGCTTCTCCTACCAGCTTCTCCTTCTCAGCCCTCAGTCCCTTTGTCTCCGTGCCTTCAACTTCCTTCCCCTTCTCATCCAAACTCTTCATTCGGTCAGTTCACATACACATTTGAAGGTCTTCCAGGTACCAGGTCCTGGGCGAAGTGCTAGGAAACTGCGCAAAAACAGGCCGGGCACGGTGGCTCACACCTATAATCCCAGCACTTTAGGAGGCCGAGGTGCGTGGATCACCTGAGGTTGGGAATTCGAGAACATCTTAGCCAACACGGTGAAACTCCGTCTCTACTAAAAATACAAAAATTAGCCGGGTGCGGTGGTGCACGCCTGTAGTCCCACCTACTGGGGAGGCTGAGGCAGGAGAATCACTTGAACCTGGGAGGCAGAGGTTGCAGTGAGCCAAGACCGTTCCACTGCACTCCAGCCTGGGCGACAGAGCGATACTGTCTTTAAAAAAAAAAAAAAAGAGGCCGGGCGCGGTGGCTCACGCCTGTAATCCCAGCACTTTGGGAGGCCAAGATGGGCAGATGACGAGGTCAGGAGATCGAGACCATCCTGGCTAACGCAGTGAAACCCCGTCTCTGCTAAAAATACAAAATAAAAATTAGCCGGGCGTGTTGGCGGGCGCCTGTAGTCCCAGCTACTCAGGAGGCTGAGGCAGGAGAATGGCGTGAACCCGGGAGGCGGAGCTTGCAGTGAGCCGAGATCGCGCCAGTGCACTCCAGGCTGGGCGACAAGAGCGAGAGATTCCGTCCTCCCCCTAAAAAAAAGAAAAAGAAAGAAAGAAAGTGCCGGGACTCTGAGCAAAAACAGGCACCTGCATTCTCCCCGTGCTGTGTTATGTTTCCCTCTAACTGCCTTCAAATGCTTTGGGGAATGGAGCATTCTGTCTGGGGTAGAGACAGATGCTAATCGAATGTGTGCCAATAAAACTTTATTCATGGACACTGGATTGCATATAATTTTCAGATGTTATAAAATGTTATTCTTCTTTTGATGTTTTCTCCCCAACCATCTAAAAATGCAAAAATCATTTTTAGCTGGCAGGGCCGTTCAGCTGGCTGGCTTTGGCCCATGGGCCTTCGTTGATGGACCCCACATCTGCAGCTCTTGAAAAATCTCTTCAAGCTGCTTTGTTCTTGCTACACTGCAGTCCCTTCTGCCACCCTCAGATCTCAGCCGTGTTGTTTTTTTTTTTTACAAATCACCGCCTGCTCTTCACAGTGCTCTGGGGAATTAAGGGATGGGCCTGTATGCTAGAGTCAGAGGCCAACTGTTCAGCACCAGATGATGAGAAGTGATGTACTAAAGAACAGGGTTCTGGGCCGGGCACGGTGGCTCATGCCTGTAACCCCAGCACTTTGGGAGGCCGAGGCAGGAGGATCACCTGAGGTCAGGAGTTCAAGACCAACCTGGCCAACATGGCAAAACCCCGTCTCCACTAAAAATACAAAAATTTGCTGGACATGGTGGCAGTCACCTGTAATCCCAGCTACTTGGGAGGCTGAGGCAGGAGAATCACTTGAACTCTTGAACCTGGGGGCGGAGGTTGCAGTGAGCTGAGATGGTGCCACTGCACTCCAGCCTGGATAACAAGAGCGAAATTCCATCTCGGGGAAAAAATCAAAAGAGAATGGCATGGAATGTGAGGGCAGACACCCTCCAGGCCATCTGAAAGGGGACTTGGATGGGGCAGCTTCCCCAGCAACAATATCATGGTTCAATGCATCCTACTCCCCGCAACCCAGTAAAGGCAATTAATTACAGGTTAATCGCAATCCCCTATGCTAGGTCATGTGACTGAATTAATTCTAAAGGGTGACATGCCACAGTCCCAGGACAGCTGTCACTGCTATCCAGCACTAGGCTATACTGTCCGGAGCACTCTGAGATCAACAAACTATGGCCCACAAGCTGAATCCAGCTCACAAACTGTTTCTGTAATTAAAGTTTTATCAACACACAACCACACCCACTCCTTAATGTGCTGTCTGTGGCTGTGTTGGAGCTACAGAAGCCTTGCTAAGTAGTTGCAGCAGAGAGTCTCTGGCCCACAAAGCCTAAAGTCATTACCATCTGGCCCTTTATAGAAAAAGCACACTGGCAGGGGTGCGGTGGCTTATGCCTGTAATCCCAGCACTTTGGGAGGCTGAGGCAGGCGAATCACCTGAGGTCGGGAGTTCGAGACCAGCCTGGTCAACATGGTGAAACCCTGTCTCTACTAAAAATACAAAATTAGTCAGGCGTGGAGGCATGCGCCCATAATCCCAGCTACTCAGGAGGCTGAGACGGGAGAATCGCTTGAACCCGGGAGGCGGAGGTTGTGGTGAGCCAGGATCGCGCCATTGCACTCCAGCCTGGGTGACAGAGTGAGACTCTGTCTCAAAAAGGAAAAAAAAAAAAAAAAGAAAAGAAAAGAAAAGCCAACCCCAGGTCTAGAAGAGTGGGGAGACCACTTGTCCTTCATGTCACCCCTCCATAAGGGCTGTTTTCAGCCAGGTTCCCAGTAGATACGCGGCAGCAACGAGCCAAAGATCGCATCTCCTGATGAGTACCGATGTGCCACTCCACACTGGCAGTTATAAATGGAACCACATGCCTGAGCCAACATTGTATGTCAACCTTGAGAGTTGCGACAAGGACAGGTGCCTGCATAGGAAACCTCTGCACCATCACTCAGCAGTGAGAGAAGAAAGCTTCCATCGACAGAGCCAAGTATATCTTGTAAAAAAAAAAAACTGCATCCACACTCACGCATAGGTAACGAACACCCTACACCTCACGTTTCTGTCTGTGGGGCATGGCCACACTTGTTATAGCCCAGACATTTCTTTTTTTTTTTTTTTTTTGAGACAGAGTTTCGCTCTTGTTGCCCAGGCTGGAGTGCAATGGTGTGATCTCGGCTCACTGCAACCTCCACCTCCCAAGTTCAAGCGATTCTCCTGCCTCAGCCTCCCGAGTAGCTGGGATTACAGGTACCCACCACCATACCTGGCTAATTTGTGTGTGTGTGTGTGTGTATTTTTAGTATAGATGGGGTTGGCCAGGCTGGTCTCGAACTCCTGACCTCGTGATCCACCCACCTCGGCGTCCGAAAGTGCTGGAATTACAGGTGTGAGCCACCGTGCCCGGTCCTAGCCCAGACATTTCTTAAGATCCATGCACCAGTGGGCAGGTGCGGTGGCTCACACTTGTAATCCTAGCACTTTGGGAGGCCGAGGCGGGTGGATCATGAGGTCAGTTCAAGACCAGCCTGGCCAAGATGGTGAAACCTCATCTCTACTAAAAATACAAAAATGAGCCGCACGTGGTGGTGGGTGCCTGTAATCCCAGCTACTCAGGAGGCTGAGGCAGAGAATTGCTTGAACCTGGGAGGCGGAGTTTGCAGTGAGCCAAGATTGTGCCACTACACTCCAGCCTGGGTGACAGAGCGAGATTCCGTCTCAAAAAAAAAAGAATACATGTACCCAAACCAAACTCCTCAATCAAAAAAAAGCCTGGAGGATTGCTCAGCACTGAGACAGGTGCTCTCCGGTGCGGGGTCTCAGTACCTTGAGGCCCCACCACTGTCCCCTGGCTCACCTGGGTTGACTGCAGCTGCGCTGAGCACTAACTGTGCATGCTGACAGCGCTTCTCCAATGCCTGCCTCTCTGCTTCTCACCCACTCAGGGCCTTCTCTGGAGGCTGCTCAGCCTCTCTCCAGGGCAGCCTGTAGGACTAGGCATTTAATGCCTCCAAGGCAAACCATCAACCAGTAAGAAATGACAGTCAGCAGACAGCTAGGCCAGCTTGCCTGCCACTCCGTGGGGCAATTCCGAGGCCCGGTCTGCACAGTTCTTCAGAGGACCCCTGGGATTGAATCTCAGTTGCCCACTGGTAACCAGCTGCTTAATGCACTCAGTTGGAGCTTTCTCCCTTCCCCAGGCCACAGTCCCCATTCGCCTGTACTTCCTGGAATCACCTCTAAGATGAACTACCCGCCCCCAAGTGCTTGTCTCAGCATCTGCATTAGGGGAATGCAAACTTGGCATATACCCTCCAAAGACAGAGCATTTACAATTCTACAATGAATGCATTAACTCACATGTCCTACCATAGGGGTTTGCTATTTATTCACCTATTAAAATTGGTGAAAAAAAAAAAAGTTTGTGACCAAGCGCAGTGGCTCACACCTGTAATCCCAGCACTTTGGGAGGCCGAGGTAGGTGAATCACAAGGTCAGGAGTTCGAGACCAGCCTGACCAACATGGCGAAACCCCATCTCTCCTAGAACTATAAAAAATTAGCTGGGCGTAGTGGCGGGTGCCTATAATCCCAGCTACTCGGGAGGCTGAGGCAGGAGAATCACTTAAACCAGGGAGCGGGAGGTTGCAGTCAGCCAAGATCATGCCACTGCACTCCAGCCCGGTCAACAGAGTGAGACTCTGTCTCAAAAACAAACAAAACAAAACAAAAGTTTGCTATTTATTCACCTGTTAAAAGTTACTAACGGTGGCTTTGAAAGAAAGTTGAAATGATACCCTGATTTGTCCTGGAAATAACCACTTGTCAGTTAAGATCACCTAAATACCATATCCTGTGTATTATAAAAATAATCTTCTATATACCATGTCTATAATATGTGCCATGTTATAGTACAATTTTCTGAATATATATCCCTCTCCACTGTCATATTGTGAGTTGCATGAGGAGGGGACACAGGAGACACCCCTATTTCACAGGGTTAACTTCCAAAATACCAGCCTTCTGAAACGGTCTCGGATCCTTTTTGCATGTCCAGGGGAAAATATTGTAGCTCCACAAACAAAAGAGAGGGCCAGTAGTGGTGGCTCCCACCTGTAACTCCAGCACTTTTAGAGGCTGAGGCTGGAAAGATCACTTGAAGCCAGGAGTTTGAGACCAACCTGGACAACACAGTGAGACCCTGTCTCTATAAAAAGTATTTTTTTTTTTTTTTTGAGATGGAACCTTGCTCTTGTCACCCAGGCTGGAGTGCAGTGGCACGATCTCAGCTCACTGCAACCTCTGCCTCCCGGGTTCAAGTGATTCTCCTACATCAGCCTCCTGAATAGCTGGGATTACAGGTGCCCGCCACCACAGCTGGCTAATTTTTGCACTTTCAGTAGAGATGGGGGTTTCTCCATGTTGGCCAGGCTGGTCTCAAACTCCTGACCTCAGGTGATCTGCCCACCTCAGCCTCCCAAAATGCTGGGATGACAGGCGTGAGCCACCATGCCTGGCCTATAAAAGTTTCAAAATTAGCTGGGTGTGGTGGTACA